>NC_000009.12:133241638-133555456 GCF_000001405.40 Homo sapiens
TAACCAGGCATGGTGGCACGTGTCAGTAGTCCCAGCTACTCAAGAGGTTGAGGTCGGAGGATCTCTTGAACCCAGGAGTTCAGCGCTACAGTGCGCTATGATTACGCCACTGCATTCTAGCCTGGGCAACAGAGAAAGACCCCCATCTCTTAAAAAAAATATTGACACCTGGGCCAGGCAAATAATCACAACGTTCAAGTGTGGCGCCTGGCAAAGGGAATTTTAAAAGCACCCTAGGTGACTCTAACATGCAGCCAAGATTAAAACCATTGTTTTCTAGAGAGAGGGGGACATGCGGAGAGGGTAGCAGGAAAGAGAACAGATGTGTTTCGCTTGTTCTTTCAGTATTTCTTTAGGCTCATTAATCAGGAGTGCTTGGACACGAAGAAGGGAACAACAGATAATGGGGCCTACTTGAGAGTGAAGCGTGGGAGTAGGGAAAGGATCAAAAATAAATACCTATCGGGTACTATGCTTATTACCTGGGTGACTAAATAACCTGTACACCAAACCCCCGAGACACGGAGTTTACCTATATAACAATCCCGCACACGATCCCCTAAACCTAAGATAAAAGTTTTTTCAAATCAGGAATACTTAGCCTAGTCCATTTTCATCCCGAATATTGCAGTTCATTTTTCATATTCTACATTTCCACAGATCTTTAAATAAAAACAGAGCAAGAAACAGGCACCTCAAGGGATGGTCACTGTTACAGCGTTCGCCTGAGACAGCCACTTCCGTTGAGAAGTCACAGAAACCTCCACCCAGGCAGGTACCGAGGACAGCAGACCCAGTGATGATGCGCTGAGGGGCAGCTCCAGAGGCTGCAGAATCTCTTTCAACCCCTGAGCGGGAGCCCAAGTCACCACCCTCAGCTGACACAGGAGGAAAACGACGCTCAGAAGGTCCAGTGGCCCAGGCAGCAGCAAAGCTGCGATTTCGAGGCCGACTTGGTTCCAAAGCCCAAGCTTTTAACCGTCACGCTATAGGACACCATGCAGTCCTCCAGATTCGTTATATTTTTTATTATTTATTTATTTATATTTTTTCAGAATTGAATAATTTTATTTTTGCCTTAAGAAACTCTAAGAACCGGCAGTGGCTCACACGTGTAATCCCAGCACTTTGGGAGGCCGAGGCGGGCGGATCACGAGGTCAAGAGATTGAGACCATCCTGTCCAACAGGGTGAAACCACACCTCTACTAAAAATACAAAAAATAGCTGGGCGTGGTGGCGCACGCCTGTAGTCCCAGCTACTTGGGAGGCTGAGGCAGGAGAATCGCTTGAACCCGGGAGGCGGAGGTTGCAGTGTGCCGAGATGGGGCCACTGCACTCCAGCCTGGGCGACAGAGTGAGACTCCATCTCAAAAAAAAAAAAAAAAAAAAAAGAAGAAGCTCTGAGAACTAACATCAGGAATGGTTAATGAAACGTAGAAGTTAAAGTCATGACAGGGAAGATTGTAGAAGTATGAACATCACAACACTGGGAGAAATGAACGAGGTTTCCTATGGTTGACCAGCCAGGAAGCCAGTGCTGCTGAGTTGGCATTTAACTCTTTAGAATATGCACGCGTTGACAATACAAAATACCTTGATTAATGTTTACCATCTTTATCTTTTTGGTACAATAGGGGAAAATGTGGCGTCATTTCTTCACAGCGGTTGTGTGTGGGGGATCGTTACCACCAAAATCATAATAATCATTTATAGTATATTTTAAAGTTAGTCTTGCAAGATCGTTATGGCATTTTAAAATCTCTGTAGTTTGAACATTTTCATTTTATCATTTCTTTTAACAAATACTATTTCAAATAGTTCCTATCCAGAATATTTACAGGTAATTTAGCATAGAAGCAAATTTGAAGCTAACTTCAAAGAAGAAAAAAAAGTTCAATAGCCAGAGAGCTAAGGATAAGATAGAAAAACCACATAGTAATTTTAAACAGCATTTTGCTGCAGATTTCCAATCCAATGAATACCAGGAATGAAGGATTTTTTTCTCCCAAAGAAGTATTTCACATGAACTCTGAACCTTGGATATGGAAACTTCTAGAAAAACTGAAGACCCTGAGACACATGCAAGTAAGAGTCTTCTGGCAAAAATACAATTTAATTTTCCAGTTTCCCTCCTCTCAAAAAACTCCAGAGGATACCTTTAGTAGGCACAGAGTATAATGTCATGTTCAAAATTTACAAAGGACAGCAGCAGCAAATAATTACGTCCCTATCATTCAGAATGGATAGTTTTTCATTACAGAATTAGCTCCTGGTTTGTCATAATAGGCTTGTAGAAACTGCCAAGTTTTATTATGCAAACTAATTGACCTAGTAGTTGAGTCTGAAAGATCTGGAAGCTCTGTGCGCATCAGTGTCATTTACACTGGTAGAAGTAATTATGTCTAACTAGTGAAATAGCATTAATGAAACTCAAACAAATTTCCACTGATAACATTTCAGAGTGCACGCTATAGTCAAACAGCAATGTTATAAATACCTACGCAGAAAAGAAACAGATAGGGTGATTCCAGAGACCACAGAGTCTTAAGTTATAAGGTAATTTCAAATTTCCCAAGGGTTGGTTTACAAAATGGTTTGAAAGTCTAAACTTACAGAACAGAAAACAGATAAATGCACATCACTCTACCCCTTGGCAAGCAAAGGATATATATTTTTTTGTCTTATTGCATGAACTGATGCCTGATACCCTCAGCTACCAACTTAAGTAACGCTGAAACCCCTACCTTCAAATCCAGCTTACCGTCAGATGAACTATGTATACGTGGGAAATTATGATTAAAGCTTTACGTTCAAAGTCAAGTAATAGACTATTTTTAAAAATACATGGTAAGGAGAAAAAAGTGTCTATGTTGAACAACTGAGAAACACTTAAGCGAGGTTACAAATGACTAATAACTATGCACAACAATCTTTTCCAGGATCAACTTTTTCCTTTGCAAAAAAAAATCATTTACAGACATTCAACAAGTTAATTCTGTTATAAATGATAGGCCATATGTATGTTCCAACCTGCTTCCTTTTAGTACTAGGACAGTGTAGTACCGGCACTTCAGTAAGTGTTAACTTTATTTTCTAAGTGTTTAAATATGTTTTGTTTTGTTTTATGAGGCGGAGTCTTGCTCTGTCGCCCAGGCTGGAGTGCAGTGGCGCGATCTCCGCTCACTGCAAGCTCCACCTCCCAGGTTCACGCCATTCTCCTGCCTCAGCCTCCCGAGTAACTGGGACTACAGGCACCTGCCACCATGCCCTGCTAATTTTTTTGTATTTATAATAGAGACGGGGTTTCACCATGTTAACCAGATTGTCTGGATCTCCTGACCTCGTGATCCGCCCACCTCGGCCTCCCAAAGGGCTGGGATTACAGGAGTGAGCCACCACGCCTGGCCTAAATATGTGTCATTTTCAAAAGAAGAAATGTGATATTTATTGTTGTTAAGATAAATGGGAACTGACAAGCCTATATAACATTCCTTACGTAGTTTCTGATCGCTATAACATTGCCACAATTTGCAGATGAAATAAAACTTATTTTTGAAGGGGTAAAAACCTAACAGATCTTGCTGAAAGGAAAATACTAGAACACGGATTCAACTATTTCAAATAAAGACTTCCTATTGGAGATTCTAAGTAATATGAACATTTAAAAATATATGCCAGTAGGCTCCCACCTGAAATACATAAAAGTCTCACCTATGGAATCTATCATTTACAAGGATTTATACATAAAGATTCATTTGGTGGCTTTCAAATTCCAAATTTGAACATTTTCATGGGAATATTTCCAACCCTAAGAAGCAAAAGGGAAATCTCCATTCAATTCCATTCTCTATCATGTGACAGCCACAGAATTAAAAATACGTGCAACCGGTGAAACCCAGTCTCTACTAAAAATACAAAAAATTAGCCGGGCATGTTGGCAGGCGTCCGTAGTCCCAGCTACTCCGGAGGCTGAGGCAGGAGAATGGCGTGAACCCAGGAGGCGGAGCTTGCTTGCAGTGAGCCGAGATCGCGCCACTGCACTCCAGCCTGGGGGACAGAGCGAGACTGTCTCAAAAAAACAAAAAACAAAAAACAAAAAACAAAAAAAAAAAACACGTGCAACAGAACTTTTCACATCCTCCTGTCTGCATTACAGATATTTGTTTTTTACCCACGGAGACCGTATTGCAAAGGTATAAAGTGGTCTACCCAACAAAGTATTTTACAGATGATGGCGATGAAAGCAAGGATTAATTCTAATTAGCTAAATCTAATTCGTTCTTCAGAGGAGAGACTTGTCTGCAAGGTTGCAAGGGAGGGTAGCAGGAAGTTGCTGTCCACTTGGACTAGCAGAATACACAACTCAAGTGGAGATTTATTCTGACATTTTCCAGAACAACTCTAAAACTTCTTATTTACTCTTTATGCCATCTACAAGACACAACACACATTTATTGTCTCAATGTTAAGAAAACTGAGAAGCCAGCACTAAAGTGCTAACATGGAAGGGAAAGTTGTAAGAGGTACTAGGGTATGCTAATAACTCCAGTTTTCTACTCTCCATGCCTGCTTCAGAGAGCCACTGCTTCTCCTTCTCGGGCCACAGGGAAGGCTGGGAGTCCCCCAGCAACAACAAGGGCACTCCCCGGCGATTCTGTCCCTTCCTTAAACTTCGCTCCAGTCTTGGTCGACGTGGACGCAGCCGCCGCCTCATTATATTTTTTAAAACACATGAAAAGTCATGTCATATTCTAGCCATATAACAAATGAACCGTTTCGGATCACAAATCCCAAACCCAGTCAAAAGCGTGTAGCCATTGTCTTAAATTCCAAGTCATTGGTTCAGATGAAACCTGTGAAGCTAAAAATCTACTAAATCCATTTTTAGGAAGAAGAAAAAACCACCCTGCCACAAACCAGCAAACTAATCGCACCTGTATGTTCACAGGGATGGGATGCGCAAAGCAAACCCTGCCGTGTGAAGGCAGCTGAGACAAAGAGCTGGCCAGGTAGGTCCCTGCCCGGCCATCCCCCGTCACAGTACCTGCTGAGGCTGCAGAGCAGGGGCCCAACACGCAGACACCCAACGTGCAGGCCACGGGCGGGGCTTCTGCCCAAAACCAGCTGTACCAGGCGCCATCCTGACACCTGCCCGCCCGGGAGAGCAGAACACAGTGGGAGATCCAGGGGCTTCTTCGGAAGAGCACCGAGAGATCCCGTCTCCTCTGCAGGCTCCCTCTCTCCGGGCCAGGCCTGCCCTTCACAGCACAGAGTTCACCCTTAGTGTCCCCAAGGCCCTGGACTTCTTGGGTGTGCTGGTGTCTCTCTGACTTTCTCCCTTTGGACTTTCTGGTAACTCTGGCCCTCCAGGGCAGCTCTGGTACTTGGGAAGCCTCTAGAAAGACTTGGGCAGAGGCAGCGATGGCCTAGGCCCACTCAACCCAGAGAGCTCTGAAGACACGCCCTGCCTTCTGGGAGAACTGCCTGGTGCCTCCTCAAGCAGATCCTGGGGGGCCCTGTGTGGGGGTCAGTTCCCTGTCCTCAAGGAGCTCACTTTGACTCTGGGGCAAACCTAGTGTGGGTGGTCGGCATCAGCCATTGTCCATGTGGGGAGACTGAGGATCAGAGGGGCACATCCAGCCTGGGAAAGCCAGACCACGCGCAGCTCTTGGCATTGTCTTCACCTGCTCCGTCAGCAACACCACCCCCTGGGGGGCAGCTGGGTGACCCCCATCTCACAGCAGGGGAGACAGGGCTTCGAAAAGCCCCTGTGCAAAGCAGAGCTGGGACTTGAGGCCACCGGATTTGGTGCAGAGGAGACAGCTTGGATCCAGGGACAAGCTCTGCCAGCAGGGAGGACAGGACTGGGTGATGGGAGCTTAGTTTTGGAATAAAAAAATCTGCAAAGGAGCCTATCTGTCCAGTAAGCACCACAGAAACAGAGTTCCCAGTGGCAGCCACCATTCCTTGAGGGCCTCCCCTGTGTCTAGCACTTTCCAGAGTTTTCTCTCTGATTCCTCCACTCAGACCTAGTAGGGACAACTGCAGGGCCTGGGCTGCAATGGTGGGGCTGGGCTGCAGTGGTGGGCTGGGCTGCAGTGGTGTGTCTGGGCTGCAATGGTGGGCTGGGCTGCAGTGGTCGGGCTGAGCTACAGTGGTGGGGCTGGGGTGCAGTGGTGGGCTGAGCTGCAGTGGGTGCAGTGGTGTGTCTGGGCTGCAGTGATGGGCCTCAGCTGCAGTCGTGTGTCTGGGCTGCAGTGGTTTTTCTGGGCTGCAGTGGTGAGGCTGTGCTGCGGTGATGGGGCTGGGCTAGCGCTTCACGTGTGGGTCTCTCACGCCTGGTAAACCAAATGCCCTGCAGCAAGGAGTCCACACAGGAGCCTGCCAGGGGCGGCTGCTGATGGCTCCGGCTTCTGCACCACTTGCCCGGGGATGTGGGGGCTCCGTATACCCTAGTATTGTTACCAGAAAGGAGTCCCAGTCCAAACCCCAAGACAGGGTTCTTGGATCTCAGCTGAGTATACTTATACTGATTTCTGGATTATAGGCTCAACAACAGGTGGATTGTTTGTGAGTTTTCCAAGAAAGGGGAGGGGATTTTTCTGAACTGAGGGTCCCTCTCCTTTTTAGACCATATGGGGTAACTTCTGGACGTTGCCATGGCATTTGTAAACTGTTGTGGCACAGGTGGGAGTGTCTTTTAGCAGCTAATGTATTATAATTAGCGCATAATGAGCAGTGAGGACAACTGGAGGTTCCTTTTGTCGCCATCTTGGTTTTGGTGGGTTTTGGCTGGCTTCTTTACTGCATCCCATTTGATCAGCAGGGTCTTGGTGACTTGTATCTTGTGATACTAATCCTGCCAACCTCCTATCTTATCCTGTGACTAAGAATGCCTAACCCCCTGAGAATGCAGTGCAGAAGGTTCAGCCTCATTTTACCCAGTCCCTATTCAACATGGAGTCGCTCTAGTTCACTCGCCTCTGACAGTGATGATCTATCCTTTACTGGGGCTCAGCCTTCACCCACTGAGGGGCCCTGGATGGAAGCATGTGTTTGCTTGGTGGGGATGACAAGTCGAATTTCCCAGCCCCTGTGATCCAGAGGCTCTTCCAAGACACCGGGACTGGAGAGGAGTGGGGGGCCTAGATGGGGGTGGGCACGAGAGGCTGGTGATGGCTTCAAGAGGGGAGGGGCACACTTGCCAGGAAGAGGCTGAGTGCAGCAGAGAGCAGCGGGACTGACATTTGAGGCAAGGGTCCTGTGGAGGGAGGAGGGAAGAAGTTGGAGAGTGATGCCTGGAGGCCAAGGTGGCACCACTGGGCCCTTCCGCAGCTCCTGGGGGGAAACTGGGTTGGGCCCAGGTGAGCAGGAGGGAAGGGAGGGTTCACCCTGGGAGTGCAGGATGGGTGCTGGTTTAGGGTGAGGACCTGGGGAAGCAGGAGAGGTTAGGAGAACGACCACGCTGAAAGTGAAACCGCCTTTGCAAAAACTCTATCAATTAGAAAAATTGTAAGAGTGAGCTGAGCTAACCCGCCCCTCATCTTTCCTTTCCCTTAATGATTCCTGGGCTTTTGGGCTGAGCTAACCTTGGGAGACATTTAATTTATAGTTTAAATAACAGCAGGCCTCCCCCAAAACTCTTCTGCCTGTGTAAACCTAATGAAAAGCTATGAGGCGAGAGGGAGAAGCTAAGGTGTAGACCTCTCTAGCAAAATACACAATTTCCCCAACTGTAGATTGGTCTTTTGAGATATCTTTTCAGGTTTTTTGCAGGTCTGATACCCATGGCTCTACCTGGAACCCCCAACCTCACTCCTGTGACACCCCCCTAAGAAGCGATTTAGCCTGCAGGAGGACAGCTTTGACCCTCCATGAGTTCATGTCTGCCCCAGCCAATCAGTACCTGTTACTTGGCCACCCCTGACCCCCCAAACTGCCTTGAGAAACCCCTAGCTATGAGCCTTTGATGAGATGATTTGAGTACAAACTCTCTCTACCATGTGGTTGGCCTCATGTCTATTAAACTCTTTCTTTACTGGAATGCATGGTCTTTATTTAGAAAGGGAGCAGGAGGAACCCCTTGGGTGGTTACAGAGGGCAGGATGAAATCCCTTTGAAATGAGCAGTACAGAACTCCAAAGGAAGAGATGGGGTCTGTGTGTTTCTTCTGCCACCTGAAATAATTGAAAGGTTCAAAATCCAATGTTATAGAGTTTATTCGAACTCTAAGTTTGACGACCACCACTCAAAAAACACAGACTCTAAAGGAATGGGCTCAGTGCTCTGAGGTGGAGGGATTAGGGCTTCACTTAAATGGGAAAATACAAGGAGGTTTAGCATGATTACATTTTCCACATAAGATTGGCTTATGAGTTGCAGCAATTTGTTTGGTTATATCCTGTTCCCTTCGGGAAAAGTATATTTAACATACTGTCTTATGGAATTTGATAGGCATGGGGTCTTTTGTACCATCTGGTCTGAGTTGGGTGCAAGAAAAGAAAGAAGTTAATTCGTAACAAAAGGTCAGTAACTAAGAAAGGGAAGGGGTCTTACATCTGGTGCCATTTAGTCTTTCATAACATTTTACAAATCAAGAAAGGAAGAGCGTTAATCTATAATTGGAGAAGCAAAGTTCACAGCGACTTGCTGCTTGACTAGGGTGTCAGAATCACATTCTTTCAAGGCTCGAAGTAATTTAAAGTTCCAACAGCTTTAATCTGATGAGCTTATTGTCGACAAAAAGAGTCAAACTCTGAAAAATATTTGAAGAGATTTATTCTGAGCCGAATCTGAGTGACCAATGGCCCGAGACAGAGACCTCAGGAGGGCCTGAGAACATGTGCCCAGGGTGATCTGGGCACAGCCTAATTGTATACATTTTAGGGAGACATGAGACATCAATCAAATACATGCAAGATCCACATTGCTTCTGTCCAGAAAGGTAGGACAACTCGAAGGTGGAGCGGGGAGGTTCCAGGTTATAGGTAGATTCAAAATTTTTTTATTGGCAATTGGTTGAAAGAGTTATTATCACTAGAAAGGAGTGTCTAGGTTATGATAAGGGGTTGTGGAGACCAAAGTTTTATCATGCAAAGGAAGACTCCAGGTAGCACGCTTCAGAGAGTATAGATTGTAAATGCCACTAATCAGACTTAAGGTCTGTGTTAATGTTCATGCTGGTCAGCTTTGCTGAATTCCAAAAGGGAGGAGGACATAAATGAGGCATGTCCACTCCACCTTCTCTTCACAGCCTGAACCGGTTTTTCAGGTTAACTTTGGAGTGCCCTGGCCAAGAGGAGGGGTCCATTCCGATGGCTGGGGGAGTGGGCTTAGAATTTTATCTTTGGTTTACACTACTTTCAAGCTGCGAACATCATAAGCCACCTTCTGCCAGGTGTGGCCCTGGGGAGGGGTCCCTTAACATGTGATAGGAGGTGCCACCACGGCTAGGCAGCTACTTGTCATCAGGACACAGAAGAGCCTCTTGGACCTGGGGAAGGACCTGTGAGACTGTGAAGAGGAAAAGTCAGTTTTGAATCAAACCCATTTTATAAATAAGAAAAATTACAAAACGCTTCTCAGAAGGCGGCGGGGTGGGGGGCGGTGAGGAGGGGGACCCAGGGCACCTAAAGGCTAATTCTTGCTAGAGTCATTTAAATTTTAACTTAAATTTTCTAATGTTGCTAATAGACTTAATTATCTGTTCACACCTTTTAAAAATGGCTAAACATGGCTGAGCGTGGTGGCTCATGGCAAAATCCCAGCACTTTGGGAGGACGAGGAGGGTGGATCACTTGAGGATATGAGTTTGAGACCAGCCTGGCCAACATGGTGAAACTCCATCTCTACTAAAAAATACAAAACTTAGTCAGGTGTGGTGGCAGGCACTTGTAATCCCAACTACTCAGGAGGCTGAGGCAGGAGAATCACTTGAACCTGGGAGGTGGAGGTTGCAGTGAGCCCACATTTCACGACTGCACTCCAGCCTGGGTGACAGAGGGAGACCCGTCTCAAAAAATAAAAAATAAAAAAAGGAATGGCTAAACATAAACATTACTTTTACAATCAAAACCATTTCAAAGGCCTTACTTCACTGGATTCTCAGCCAGTGCTGCCCCCAGAGCAGAAGGCAGCTGTGGCAAGCAGAGGGGCGGCCCCACCTCCACCTGGAAGATTCCTGCTCAGATCCTGGGTCACCTGCCCAACTGATGATGCCCCAGCTGCTCCTGCTGCGAAGCTGAACCCAGAACCCACTCAGGTCTGGTCCCCACTCCGCCCCCAGCACCCCTAGTGCGGCCACGCGGGAGGATGGGGCCCGAGGCTGCAGGGGAGGAAGCGGGTGGATCAAGGCAAGCCTCGCCTCGCCTCGCCTCACCCATGGGTGTTGGTTTTTGTTTTTTAAACCAAACAGAGCAGAGAGGGGCAAGGAAGCAAAAATGACTCAAGCCCACAGAGGCAGCAGCTCTCCCTGTGCTGGGCACATGCCCAAGGCTGGCTTTGGGGACAAAGAATAATCAAAGATGACACTTTGGGGCTGCCCTCTCCCCAGCCCTCCTGGGCAAAGTCGGTGCGTCCCAGGAGTCAGCCTGGACTTGAACCTCTGACACCCGATTGCTGCTGGCCTGGTGCAGGGACCCGAGGGGCCCGAGGACACAGGAAAGGGCCTGGAGGGAGAGAGCAGCCGGACTCCGCCCAAGCAATTTAGGCGCCTGCCTCATCTGTGGTCCCCCACACCCCCAGCTCACCAAGCAGCAGGACAACCCCTGGAAATCCCCCAGGGAGGCGGGGCGCAGGGATTGCAGTGAGGCCCTGTGCCCAGGCTGGCTGTGCCCTACCTGCGGGAAGAGTCACTCCAGTCCCTCTGGGCTGGTCCAGGTGCAACCACAGTAGGACACAGGTCAACTCCAGTGAAATGTGGAGGGAGGAAGGGTGTGCCTGCCTGCTCCTTCCCCTCCCTTGCAGGGAGGGGCGGTTGCCCTCAGCAACAGAATGCCCACGTGGGATACTGGAAGCTTCAGCTTACCCCACCCCACCCCTCCAGGCCCGGTTTGTCCTGGGCGCAAGGGGCTACTTCAGAGCTGCCAGGCCTCCACAGCAACACATTAAATGTTCTGGAAACTAGGAGATGTGGCACTGCTGTACAACGGTCAGGAATAGCCATCCTGTCCTCCTGACCCGGTGAAAACCAGCTTCTGCTGGGAAGGAGCATGGGGTGGCGCCTGGCTTTTGGAGTCAGGAAGAACCAGGCTTAAGTAATAGAACTGCCTGACCTCCAGCTTGTCTCTTCAGCTCCCAGGTCTGTGCTCGATTTGGGATTATTGGGTGGGGCACATAAGAAGCTGCGTTCTGTGCTCTCAGGGTGCTGGACGCTGTTTCAGGTACCAGTACACACCAGAGGGAAGAGAGTGCCTGATGGCATGGTGATTGATTTTAGTGGAGACAGCTAGACACTAAACCAGGAGTTCTGTCATGCCAGTTGGTGATAAATTGATTTCTTGAAGATTTTTCCACTTCCAAGCAAGGTAGAATAGATGCACCTGTCCCCACGCCCTACACTAAGGACAGTTAAAATCTCTGTATATTTCCCTGGGTATTACACATACATATATAACTACATACATAAACGTATGTATATCAAACACTAAAAGGTGGAGAGAAGAAGGCAGACCATGTAGGGACCTTGGGACCTGAGGAATGACATGACAGGAGTTCCCTGGGTTTTCTTTCTGCCTCATATATCTGTGACTGTGTGCTGGAAAAGCCAGCAACACGAAACACCAAAAGACACAGACAAAAACCAACAACAACAAACCCAACAAGTTGGCCCTCAGCCAAAATAATTAGGCAAGAGGAAGAAATAAAAGGTATCCAAATTGGAAAGGAAGAACTTAAATTGTCCCTGTTTACAGATGACATGATCTTATAGAAAACCCTAAAGATTCCACCAATAAGATGTTAGAATAAATGAAATCAGTAAAGTTGCAGGATATAAAATTAACATACAACAATCTGTAGCATTTCTATACCCTAACAAAGAAATCAAGAAAACAATGTCATTTACAATAGCTACAAAAAATACTTGCAAATAAATCCAACCAAGGAAGTGAAAGATCTGTATGCTGAAAACTATAAAACATTTGTGAAAGAAATTGAAGATACAAATAATTAGAAAGCTGTCCCATATCTGAGATCAGGTGCCAAAAAAAAGACATCCCATGTTCATGAATTGGAAGAATTAATATTGTTAAAATGTCCATACAACCCCAAACAATCTACAGATTCAATGCAATCCCTATCAAAATTTCATTGACATTTTTCACTGAAATAAATAAAATAATCCTAAAATTCGTATGAGGGAGTAACACCTGCTCCACAGTGGCACAAAGCACTGTCAGGTGCCACACACAGCCTGTTGGGACATGTGGGCCACAGTACTTCCCCACCTAAAGTACTGTAGAGGCCCAGGAGACATGAGCCAGGGCCATTTTAACTGTCAGTAATGGCCACAAAGACCCCTAAATAGCCAAAGCAATCTTAAGCAAAAAGAACAAAGCTGGAGACAATACACTACCTAACTTCAAGATATACTATAAAGCTATAATAATCAAAACATCATGGTATTGGCATAAAAACAAACAGACCAATGAAACAGAATAGAGAGCCCGGAAGTGAATCCATGCATTTACGGTCAACTGATTTTTGACAGAAATGCCAAGAAACACAATGTGGAAACGACAGTCTGTTCAATAAATGATGTTGGGGCCAGGTGCAGTGGCTCATGCTTATAATCCTAGCACTTTGGGATGCCGAGGTGGAAGGACCACTTGAGGCCTCCCTCCAGGCTCCGGAAGAGACCTCCTCCATGATCCCTTGTCTAAGGGGAAGGTTCCTCAGGACCTTACCGTGGGGGCTGAAGGTGGCCACCCCTCCAGGAACTTATGCCCCAGGCGCTGAATTTGGGCTGCCTAAGTCTGTGTGCGTGAGTCTGTGTTTGTGTGCATGTCTGCATGTCTGTGTGTTTGCATGCATGTCTGTGTGTCTGTGTGGTCTATGTGTCTGTGTGTACACTTCTGTATGTCTTTCTCTGTGCATTTTTGCATGTGTCTCCATGTGTCTCTGTGCATGTCTGTGTGTCTATATGTCTGTGTCTTTGTATCTGTGTATCTGTGTCTGTGTGTCTTTGCGTGTCTGGTGTATGTCTGTGTGTGTGTGTATGTCTGTGTATGTAACGGTGTGTCTCTGTGGCGGGGGGTGTGTGTGTGATTGTGTGTGTGTGTGTGTCTGTGTATGTAATGGTGTGTCTCTGTGGCGGGGAGGGGCTGTGTGTGTCTTTCTGTGTATGTGTGTGTAACGGTGTGTCTCTATGGCCGGGAGGGGGTATCTGTGATTGTGTGTCTGTGTGTGTCTGTGTATGTAATGGTGTGTCTCTGTGGCGGGGAGGGGCTGTGTGTGATTGTGTGTCTGTGTGTGTCTGTGTATGTAATGGTGTGTCTCTGTGGCGGGGAGGGTGTGTGTGTGATTTTGTGTCTGTGTGTGTCTTTCTGTGTGTGTCTGTGTATGTAATGGTGTGTCTCTGTGGCGGGGAGGGGCTGCGTGTGATTGTGTGTCTGTGTGTGTCTTTCTGTGTATGTGTGTGTAATGGTGTGTTTCTGTGGCCGGAAGGGCGTATCTGCGATTGCGTGTCTGTGTATGTAATGGTGTGTCTCTGTGGCGGGGAGGGTGTGTGTGTGATTTTGTGTCTGTGTCTTTCTGTGTGTGTCTGTGTATGTAATGGTGTCTCTGTGGCGGGGAGGGTGTGTGTGTGATTTTGTGTCTGTGTGTGTCTTTCTGTGTGTGTCTGTGTATGTAATGGTGTCTCTGTGGTGGGGAGGGGGTGTGTGTGATTTGAGGTGGGGACGGGGCCTAGGCTTCAGTTACTCACAACAGGACGGACAAAGGAAACAGAGTTTACCCGTTCTGCTAAAACCAAGGGCGGGAGGGGGACGGGGCTGCCGGCAGCCCTCCCAGAGCCCCTGGCAGCCGCTCACGGGTTCCGGACCGCCTGGTGGTTCTTGGGCACCGCAGTGAACCTCAGCTTCCTCAGGACGGCGGGCCAGCCCAGCAGCTGCTGGTCCCACAAGTACTCGGGGGAGAGCACCTTGGTGGGTTTGTGGCGCAGCAGGTACTTGTTCAGGTGGCTCTCGTCGTGCCACACGGCCTCGATGCCGTTGGCCTGGTCGACCATCATGGCCTGGTGGCAGGCCCTGGTGAGCCGCTGCACCTCTTGCACCGACCCCCCGAAGAACCCCCCCAGGTAGTAGAAATCGCCCTCGTCCTTGGGGATGTAGGCCTGGGACTGGGGCCGGCGCTCGTAGGTGAAGGCCTCCCGGCTGCTTCCGTAGAAGCCGGGGTGCAGGGTGCCGAACAGCGGAGTCAGGATCTCCACGCCCACGTGGTCGCGGAACTCCATGTCCACGTCCACGCACACCAGGTAATCCACCTCGCTGAGGAAGCGCCGCTCGCAGAAGTCACTGATCATCTCCATGCGGCGCATGGACACGTCCTGCCAGCGCTTGTAGGCGCGCACCTCCAGCACTGACAGCTGCCGACCGGTCCCCAGCGTCACGCGGGGCACCGCGGCCGGCTGGTCGGTGAAGACATAGTAGTGGACACGGTGGCCCACCATGAAGTGCTTCTCCGCCGTCTCCAGGAACAGCTTCAGGAAAGCCACGTATCTGCAAGGCAGGCGGACGGGGGCTGGGGGAGCCGCCGGCCGTGCACCCCTGGGCTGCAGGAGGCCCGTCCTGCACCCGCCCGCCAGCGGCCATTGGAAGGCTTAGAGCAGCAGATGCACCACGTTCTCCTGCCCTGTCCTGAGCGAGTCCTCGGGCTGCGATTCACTTCATCCTCTTCCCAGCGATGGGGGACCACCAGCACCCCCTCTTACTAAGGAGGGCTGAGGGCAGGTGGCTGGAGGCTGGTAGCAGGCCGCAGGCTGGCGTCTGCTCACTCCCCCTCAGCCTGGCCTGAGCCACGCCTCCCCACGCAGCTGCCCCTCTTATGGCCAGGCCGGCCACGTGCTCCCTCATTATAAGCTGCACGCGAGGCCTCCACACACCCGCCTCTGCACCCTAGAGCTTCCTCCCTCCAGGCTTGAACTGCACCTATTCCTAAGAGTAAGTCATTCCTGGCCTCCGCCACTGTCGCTGGCCCAGCTGCCCACAGCTGCCGAGAAGTCAAGTATGTGTCTGCGGTTGCCTGGCTAGCTCCCTCTCTGGCCTGGCCCAGAGTCCCAGGGCCTTGTGGGTCAGCCACTTCCTTTGGTGTCTGGGGCCAACTGCTTTGCCTGCCCCACCTACATCTGACAGAGAAGTGACCACGGCTCTGCCAGCATCCTCTTTCTAGGGTCCAAGGACAGCAAACAGGTGTCCCCCTCCTGCTATCTCTGGTCAGTGAGCAGGAAACATCTGGAGCCTTGTATTGAGGGGGTGGCTCAGCATGACGGCCGGCCACAGTTACAGAGAGGAGGGGGCAGCAGAAGCCACCATCCCTGGGTGAGACGCAGCCTCTGGAGAAGGAGCTGGGTTTTACCGACCTGGCGAGCCCACGAGCCCACGAGCCCACATGAGCTCAGTAAGATGCTGCATGAATGACCTTTCCCATCTACCCTCTGGGAGGACAAGGCTGGCCGCCACCCCACTCTGTCTTGAACACAAGGAGAGACCTCAATGTCCACAGTCACTCGCCACTGCCTGGGTCTCTACCCTCGGCCACCTCACTGACTTACTTCTTGATGGCAAACACAGTTAACCCAATGGTGGTGTTCTGGAGCCTGAACTGCTCGTTGAGGATGTCGATGTTGAATGTGCCCTCCCAGACAATGGGAGCCAGCCAAGGGGTACCACGAGGACATCCTTCCTACTGCACATGGAGAGAGGCGTGCGGTCACATGGAGCTGGCAGGGTGCCACCCACATGCGCCTCTGGCACACGGCCGCCCCCACCTGGAAACTCCACTCAGCTTCTGCCTCCTCTGACCACCCTTCCAGAGGCAGCCGCCCTTCCCCGGGAAACCAACCAGAGGCAAATGCGACTCCAACCGGGCAAATCATTCCCAGCCCTCCCTCAACATTGGACCTGTGGGAACACACAGCAAGCTGAGCTTTGCTGGCAAAGAGATAGGAACAAACCCTCCCCAGCACCCAACCCCCGCTGCCCCTCCCCAGGTAGGAGGTACCTATCAGGCCTTTGCAGGGGCTTTGGAGAACAAAGGGACAGGAAACAAGAGACGCAAGTCAGAGAAAGCAAAGGGAAAGAGGACAGCCATGTGGGCCTCTGAATTCAGATGTCAGGAGAATCTGAGAGGAGAGAACGAAGCAGCCCCAACTGAGATTTACATCAAGGAAACCGCCCTCTAATACCTTCAGAACAGCCCCTTGAGCTGCGTTCAGTTTCAGTGTCAGTAACTTTACTCACCACGGTGTCAGCACCTTTGGCTGGGGGTAGACCATCCTGCAAGCGCAAAGCGCCGCCACGTGAGTTTGCATGGAAAGCGTGGGATGCAGGTAAGCAGGGGTGTGCACAGCCGCTGAACCATGACTGGGCATTGACCCTCCCGCCAAGGCCACACTCCCAGGCTGGAATCACTGTGGTTGCTTGGGGGCTGTGTCAGCTCATAATCCCGGGAACTCGGGAAAGGGCCAAAGCTCAGAGTCTCTGATTCAGCACTTACAAACTGGCAAGAGGGACTAAGTGACCTCAGGGGCCATTGCTTTCCACTTGACTTAAGGCTGGGAGGGACGTAAGGGGTTGTGTCTCAATTCACTGTGGGCAGAGAGGAGGCTGGGTGTGTGGCCTCTGTCCCTGGTTGTTCCCAGGGAAAGGCCCTGAGATGTGCAGACCTCCCCACCTGGGCCCGAAGCCTGCTGGGCCTCCTTGTGGGCTGCTGGCTTCCAGAGCCCGGCTTCCTCTCTGAGAAGTGGGAGAGTGACACCTGCTCCACAGTGGCACAAAGCACTGTCAGGTGTCACACGCAGCCTGTGGGGACGTGTGGGCCGCAGTACTGTCCCCACCTAAAGGATTGTAGAGGCTCAGGAGACATGAGCCGGGGCCATTTTAACTGTCAGTAATGGCCACAATTTGAATGTCCAAGATGGCCTTTAAAAGCAGGGAGTCAGCAGAAAACAGGAAGGAAATTCTGACACTTGGTACAACCTGGATGGACCGTGAGGACATCACGCTCAGTGATTTGAGCCCGACATAAAAACACAGGTACCATTGACTCCACTTATAAAAGGTAGTTGGAGTAGCAGACTCATAACAACAGACCATGGAATGGTGAGCTGGGGGAGGGAAAATGGAGTTGCTATTTTATGGGGACAGAGCTTCAGGTTGGCAAGATGAAAAGAGTTCTGGAGATGGATGGTGGTGATGGCTGCACAGCAATGTGAATGGACTTAAAGCTACTGAACACTCCAAAATGACTAAGATGGCAAATTTTATGTTAAGCGTATTTCATCACAATTTAAAAAAAATCAAAAGCAGTGTGGCCAGCTTGGCCTTGATTGCCTAGGTCAGCACTGATAAAGGCCCACATCCTGGGAAACAGCCCTCCAAGGCCCCAGACAGAACAGACCAGCTGGTCATCTTCTTTAAAAGCCAATTTGAAGGCCAGGTGCCGGGGCTCATGCCTGTAATCCCAGCACTTTGGGAGGCTGAGGCGGGCGGATCATTTGAAGTCAGGAGTTCAAGACTAGCCTGGCCAACATGGTGAAACGCTGTCTCTGCTAAAAATACAAAAATTAGCCAGGTGTGGTGGTGGGCGCCTGTAATCCCAGCTACTCAGGAGGCTGAGGCAGGAGAATCACTTGAGCCCAGGAGGCAGAGGTTGCAGTGGGCAGAGATGGTGCCAATGCACTCCAGCCTGGGCGACAGAGCGAGACTCCATCACACACACACACACACAAAAGCCGGCGACACGCATTTGGTCAAAACTGAAGCTCCAGCTCCATCGTGCTCTCTGAGTGGCTGCAGGACGAGGGCCAAGTCAGGGTAGAGACTGGGGAAGGAGCGGCCCCCTCCCTCGGAGCCACAGGAGGAAAGAGGACCTGCCCCAGCTCCCACATGGCACACATGTGCCAGGGCTGCAGGACAATTCTGTGACATGGGAGCCACTGAAGGGAGGCACTGACATTATACCTTGGCAACGAGACGCGCTGCAGATGGTCAGGTTCCCTAACAGCCATGCTGCAGAATGAGAACACAGGAGATGAAGTTTAGTCTAGGAGCAGGATTTAGGGCACAAGTGCATGGAAGCCACCCGAGGGTCCCAGTGGAAGGGGCACAGCGTCAGCCTGGAGTGTGGAGCAGAGGCCACCAGAAACAGTCACAGAACAACCATCACTGTGGCGATGGGCCTGACGTGGGCCCGTGTGCCAGACCCTGTAACGGCCAGCGTTGCAGTCTGAGGTCTACGTTCGGGGAGCCTCACAGCCCACACATTCACCAGACACGTCGAAGCCAAGGCCGGGCAGAGTGGAGTTTCAGAACATGTCTACAAACCATGAGGCCCCCTCCCATCAAGAGATGGGGTCTGATATTCTGTGTTTCTAAGAAATAAATGCAGCAGAAGTGATGCTGGGTGACTTCTGAAGCCAGGCCCAAAAAGGTGATCTGGCTTCTGTCTCATCTTTCTTGGGATGTTGGTCTTGGAGCCTCCCAACCAAGCTAAGCAGGAGCCCAGGCCCCAGGGAGAGGCCCTGGGTAGGTGTCTCAGATGACAGCCAGCATCAACTGCCAGAGATGCAGGGAAGTCTTTGCAGTGACCCCAGCCACTGTCTGCCCATGACTGCTGAGGCCCCAAAGTGAACCACCCAGCTGAGCCCAGTCCACCCCAGGAAGCCCAGGGAGAGATAGTAATCAATGATTGTGATTGTTTTCCATGGATGGAGTGGTGTGTTCTGCAGCCATGGATCACTGACACGAGTGGGAATTAGCAGACACAGCAGGGGAGAGACAAGAGTGGTCCCAACAGAGGCCATAGCACAGGCAAAGGCCTGGAGTCAGGACAGTATGGCAGGTGGACGAGTGACAGGCCACGTTGGCTGGAGCACAGAGGGCGAGGGCAGAGGAGGGAGAGATGAGGCTGGGGAGGTCAGGAAGGCAGGATCAGATCATGGAGAGCCTCCTACCTTATGTTCTGGAAAGATCACTCCAGCTGCTGTGAGAAGAAGGGGGACAGGGCTGATGGGGATGGGGAGACAAGTCTGAGGCTGTCACAGAGATGAGGGCAGCCCCACCGGAGCCCTGGAGCAGGACGTCGAAGGCAGGGAGGCCAGTGGGCACGCGAGCTGCTGAAGAGCAGGGCTGGCAGGATTTGGGAACCCAGTGTAGGGGTGAGAGCAAAGGGAGAGTTGAGGATGGCTGGTGGAGGAGGGGTGGGGATGGGGGAGCAGAGACCATGCATGGGAACTCTGGGTAAGCCTGGAGTTGGGGACTGGAGGTCAGAAGGGAGGTCAAGGCTGACTCCAGAGGTATCCAGGTGACCCTTCAAGGCCACAGAGTTGAGCATGTCTACACTGGGCAGAGCATAGAGAGCGGGCCCAGGAAGGGGAGGGGGAGTTCCCAGAGTGGGACCCCCGCCCACAGCCAGCACCCCGGCCAGCATGGATGCTCCACCTGCTCTTCCCTGCACTCACCAGAACCCCCGTTCCAGGCTTCCTGGCATTAGACTTCTGGGGCTTAGGACCCCGTAACTGCAGAAAGGAAGTGTGCCAAGACTCAGGACACAGAACGAAGACTGCCTGTTGGTCCCTTCCTCCAAAAAGTGCATGGTGCGGCCAGCAGCGTGAGCACAAGAGTTCCCGGTGAAGCTGCAAGGCCTCGAGGCAGGTAGGGCAAGTTCTCAGCAAAGCTCAGGCGCCTCGCCACGTCCCACACCGGGAGGTGGGCAGGAGGGTGGTCCCTGGGATATTGCTCACGTATGGGCACCTGCTGGAGCTCCAGAGCCCCAGCTCCCTCACCCCCCGCCACCAGTGCCTTGGTCAGTGCAGTCCCTGAGGCCACGTCAGGGAGTGTTTCCAGACCGTGTCCAGAGATGCCCCAGTAGAGGTGACAGGTGACTTCACTCTTGGTTCTGGGACCTTCTGTGTCTGGAAGCGACTAACAGCTTGGGACCCAGAATTGCCTTCCCCACCCCCAGCCACGCAATTGTGGGCAAGGGGCTTGCTCTCCCAGCCCCAGACTCCACACTTAGGAAAATTTTAAATGGGAGTGAGATGAGCCTGTTGCCCAGGTGAGGCTAAAATAAGGGAGCAAGTAAGCACACCCTCCGCCAGAGCTGGACGCAGGCAATAACTGTCCTTAGGACCCTGATAACTGTGATACTTGGGGAGCTCAGGGAGGCCCCATGGGTCTGATTGGCTGCTGTGGTCACTTCTCCCCAAACCAGGCCAGCCTCGATGGTCAAATGTGTCTTACCCAAACAAGACCAAGACAAGCATTATTAGGAAAAGGATCATAGGTCGAAGTGCGTGGCATTTTGGTTTTCCTGGAAAACAGGAGTAGAAAAATCACATCACTCACCCTCCTTCTCTCACCTGCCCCACTTTACCTGTCCCGCCTTGTAATTCAGGCATCACACCCTGCGACGGGCCTTCATCTGCCAAGATGGTCCCTCTGCCCCACAGGTGATGCTCTGAGCCCCACCTGAGCATCTCCAAACCCAGTCCAGATCTGGCCCTCCTCCCACTCAGAGAAGAGGGAGGCGGTCTGCTCCTCCCAGCTCATCAGCCCGACTGCTCCTGCAGACTCTGAGAGCCACCCCGGCTTCCCATTGACCTCCTTCCACTCAGCACCCCCTTCCCCTGGGAGACCGGAATGAACCACACTGAAATGAGCACGTCGAGGTCACTGTCGAACCCACCGAGGGAGGCCAGGACAGCCTCATGGCCAGGCTGAGCCAGGAGCCCAGACCAGTTCCTGCCAGGGAGAGGAGCCACCAACTTCCCCTAGTATCTCCCTGCTGTCTCAGAGGCTCATGTTCTGGAAACAATCATTGTCTTTAAGGTGATTTTATGTATATTAAAGTCACGTACAGTAGTTCCCTTATCCACACCTTCGCTTGCTGGAGTTTCAGTTACCCATGGTCAACCAAAGGCCAATAATAGGTGAGTACAGTACAGTAAAATATTTTGAGGACAGGCATCGTGGCTCGTGCCTATAATCCCAGGACTTTGGGAGGCTGAGCCAGCAGAATTGCTGGAAGCCAGGAGTTCTAGACCAGCCTGGGCAACATAGTGAGAACTCATTTCTATCAAGAAAAAAAAAAAAAAAACAATTAGCTGGGCATAGTGGTGCATGCCTCTGGTCCCAGGAGGCTGAGGTGGAAGGATCACTTGAGCCTAGGAGGTGAAGGCTGCAGTAAGCCATGATCACACCACTGCACTCCAGCCTGGGTAACAGAGCAAGACCCTGTCTCTTAATAATAAACAAAACTACAACAACAAAAAACCCACAAACTAAGATATATACACATTTTTTTTTAGAGAGACCACATTCACGTAACCTTTATTACAGTATATTGTTTTTGTTGTTGTTGTTGTTTTGTTGTTGTTTTTGAGATGGAGTTTTGCTCGTTGCCCAGGCTGGAGTGCAAAGGGGCACCTTCGGCTCACTACAGCCTCCGCCTCCCGGGTTCAAGCAATTCTCCTGCCTCAGCCTCCCGAGTAGCTGGGTTTACAGGCGCCCACCACTACGCCTGGCTAATTTTTTGTATTTTTAGTAGAGACAGGTTTCACCATGTTGGCCAGGCTGGTCTCGATCTCCTGACTTCAAGTGATCCACCCGCCTCGGACAGTATATTGTTATAATTGTTCTATTTTACTATTAATTATGGTTGTTAATCCCACCCGGTGCCTAATTTATAAATTAAACCCTATCATAGGTATGTGTGTACAGGAGAAAACATACTCTCTGTAGGGTTTGGTACTATCTGTGGTTTCAGACATCCACTGGGGATCTCGGAACCTATCCCCCGCAGGTAAGAGGGGACTATCGTTTTCACAAGGGCAAGCCTGAAAGGCGTCTATCTCCTGGCCCAGTTCCTATTCCTTCCCCCGAAATCAGTCCCTTTCAACTAATTCATCTGTTACTTCTTATCTTATAATGCTTGTGTGTGTTTACCTCCACCTTTCTAAGTCCTGTGACCACGGAGCGATTTATCTCGAATAGCTTCTTGAAACAGAAACGTGGGAGGCAAAACATTTGAACTTTACATGTCCTAAATTATTTTTTCCATTTTTGTAGTTGGTAGATCGTTTGGCTGTAGGGAAATCTTGGTGGAAATAATTTTCCTTCAATGTGGCAAAAATGGTTCCATTTTTTAAAACTTTGAAAATTAATTTAATTTGAGGGATAACTTACATCCAATAAAATGTGCCCACTTTAGGTATACGGTTTTGATGAGTTTCACACAATGTATGTACACATGTAATCACCCCAGTAAGGTCCCTCCTGACCCTGACAACCATGGATCTGATTCCCTGGCGTTTCCCATACACGGAATCCTCTGATACATGCTCTTTTATGTCTGGCCGCATCACACCGCATGCTGTTTTGAAGATTCACCTATATTGTCACGTGTATCAATCGTTCGTTCTTTTTCATTTCTGAGAAGCACGCCATTGTTAATCCGCCACAATTCATTTATTCTGTCTCCTATTGACAGACACTGTGGTTTTTTCACTGTTCGGGGCCACTAGCAACAAAGCTTCTGTAAACACTCATGTGCAGGTATTTGTGGACCTGTGTTTTCATTTCCCTTGAGTAAATACCAAGGAATGGAAAAGATGGGTCATATGGTAAGTGTATGTTTAACTTTGTAAGAAACTGTGTTCCAAAGTGGTGACTGAATTTTCCATTCCCGCCAGGAATGTACGAGAACCACAGTCCTTGCCAACACTTGATGGTCACTCTTTTATCCTTTAGCCATGCTAGTGGATGAGGAGTGGTATCTAAGTGTGTCCAATGACTAAGGAGGTAAATCATCTTTTCATGTATTTATTGGCCATTTGCTTGCTTCTTATGAAGCCTGTCCAGATCTTTAGCTCATTTTATTATTTATTTATTTATTTATTTACTTATATATATTTTTGGGGGGCACAGTCCCACTCCAGTTGCCCAGGCTGGAGTGTGGTGGCATGATCATGGCTCACTACAGCCTCGACTTCCTGGGCTCAGGTGATCCTCCCACCTCAGCCTTTTGAGTAGCTGAGACTATAGGCATGCACCACATCTAGCTGATTTTTTGTGGTTTTGGTAGAGATGGGGTTTCACCATGTTGCCCAGGCTGGTCTTGAACTCCTGGGCTTAAGCAATCCACCTGCCTCAGCCTCCCAATGTGCTGGGATTACAGGCATAAGCCACCTCACCTGGCCCTCTATTTTTATTTTTTTTAGACAGGATCTTACTCTGTCACCCAGGCTGGAGTGCAGTGGCACGATCACAGCTCGCTGCAACCTCGAACTCCTGAGCTTAAGTGATCTTTCCCCCTCAGCCTCCTGATTAGGTGGGACTACAGACATGCACCAACATGCCCGGCTAATTATTCTACTTTTTGTAGACACTGGGTCTCATTAAGTTGTTTCTCTTTTTATTATTGAGCAGAATTTATTTCTATATTTTGGATACAAGTCCTTTGCCAAATACAAATATTACAAATATTTTCTCGCCAGGCACAGAGAGACAGACACTGCATGTTCTCACTTATCTGTAGTATCAAAACATCGAAACAATTAAACTCATGGAGATAGAGAATAGAAGGATGGTTCGCAGAGACTTGGAAGGGTAGTGGCAGGGGTGAGAGGGTATGTAGGGATGGTTAATGTGTACAAATAAATAGAAAGAATGAATAAGACCCAGTATTTGATAGCATAACAGGGAGACTATAGTCAATAATAATTTAATTGCACATTTAAAAATAACTAAAAGAGAGGTCGGGCACAGTGGCTCATGCCTGTAATCTCAGCACTTTGGGAGGCCGAGGCAGGTGGATCACCTGAGATCAGGAGTTCAAGACCAGCCTGGCCAACATGGTGAAACCTCATCTCTACTAAAAATACAAAAACTAAGGCCAGGCGTGGTGGCTCACGCCCGTAACCCCAGCACTTTGGGAGGCCGAGGTGGGTGGATCACGAGGTCAGGCATTCGAGTCTAGCCTGACCAACACGGTGAAATCCTGCCTCTACTAAAAATACAAAAAATTAGCTGGGTGTGGTGGCGCATGCCTGTAATCCCAGCTACTTGGGAGGCTGAGGCAGGAGAATCTCCTGAACCTGGGAGACGGAGGTTGCAGTGAGCCGAGATTGCACCACTGCACTCCAGCCCGGGCGACAGAGCGAGACTCCATCTCAAAAAAAAAAAAAGAAGAAAAAGAAAAAAGAAAAAAAAAGTTTAAAAATACAAAAACTAGCCGGGCGTGGTGGTGGGTGCCTGTAGTCCCAGCTACTCAGGAAACTGAGGCAGGAGAATCACTTAAACCTGGGAGGCGGAGGTTGCAGTGAGTTGAGATGGCGCCACCACACTCCAGCCTGGGTGACAGAGCGAGACTCCATCTCAAAAAAAAAAAAAAAAAGAATAAAAATAACTAAAAGAGTATAGTTGGATTGTTTGTAACACAAAGGATAATTGCTCAAGAGGATGGATACCAGTTCTCCATGATGTGAATTTTCCATTGTATGACTGAACCACAATATCTCAGGGACCCCATAAATATATACACCTACTATGAACCCATAAAATGAAAAACAAAATACTTCTTAGAAAACAAATATTTTCTTTCAGTCGGTGGCTTATTTATTCATTTTTCCTTAATTTTTCTTTTGAAGGGAAGTGTTAATTTTTATAAACTCTAATTTATCCTTATAAAAATGAAACCATTTTTATGGTTTGGGCCTTTTTTTTTTTTTGCCTCATCTATTAAATTTTTGCCTACCCCAAGTTCATGAACATTTTCTCTTATTTTCTTCAGAATTCCATAATTTTTGTGTATTGTGTGAAAGGCTAAAGTCCCTTTCTTCCCTCAATGGATATCCAGTCATTTCAGCCATTTGAATTGAAAATACTTTCCTTTCTCTATCACATTACCTTAGCACCCTTATCAAAAAGCAACTCTTAAAAAATCAATGGACTATTTCTGTGTAGGTCTATTTCTAAACTCTGCATTCTATTCCATTGAACTATCTGTCTATCCTAATATCAACCTATTCTGATTACTATGTAAAATTTTAGAATCAGCTGTCAACTTTACAAAAATTTCTTCTGGAGTTTTAAGTGAGATTATGTGGACTCTGTAGATCCATCTGGGGAGAAGTGACAGTTTAGCAATGTAAGTCTTCCAATCCATGAGCATGGTATATTTCTCCATTTATTTATGTCTTCTTTAATTTTTGTCATCAATATTTTGCAGTTTTCTGTTTTTTTGTGACCTTCTTTTTCTTTTTTTTTTTTTTTTTGTCAGGGTCTTGCTGTGTAGCCCAGGCTGGAATGCACTGCAATCTCTGCCTACTGGGCTCAAGTCATCCTCTCACCTCAGCCTCCTGAGTAGCAGGGGCTACAGGTGCATGCCACCATGCCCAGCTAATTTTTTTTTTTTTTTGTAGAGACAGGGTCTCACTATGTCACCCAGGCTGGTCTCAAACTTCTGGGCTCAAGTGATCTGGCCACCTTGACCTCCCAAAGTGCTGGGATTACAGGCATGAGCCATGGTGCCTGGTTTATATTGCAGTTTTAATTGTATAGACATTTCTCCTAATTTGGTAAATTATTCTCTAAATATTTCATGTTTTATGATGCTACTGTAAATGGTATTTAAAATTTTTCATGGTTCAATTGATTGTGGCAAGTATTATAGAAAAATAATTGATTTATTCTTGTTTTTCTTTTTTCTTTTTTTTTTTTTTTTAGACTGTGTCTTGCCCTGTTGCCCAGTCTGGAGTGCAGTGGTGTGATCTCCAGTCACTGCAACCTCTCCCTCCTGGGTTCAAGCAATTCTCATGCCTCAGCCTCCCAAGTAGGTGGGATTACAGGCGCACCACCACACTCAACTTTTTTTTTTTTTTTGTATTTTTGTAAAGATGGAGTCTTGCCATGTGGGCCAGGCTGCTCTCAAACTCCTGGCCTCAAGTGATCTACCTATCTTGGCCTCCCAAAGTGCTGGGATTGCAGGTGTGAGCCACCACACCCAGCCTGATTTATTCATTGACTTTGTATCTTGAGACCTTGCTAAGCTGACTTAGCTGATGGGCTCACAGCATAAACATATATAATATATATGACAATAATAGCATAAAGGAGCAAGGAGGCAATGAAGTTATTATATATACTGGAGCAAGGAAAGGTCACCAGACAATAGCTTGAATATACAGGAAGAAATCAAGAGTAAAGTCAGTGATAAATATACAGTGTAATATAAAAGACTTGAAAAGTGTTTTTCTCCTTACTTGTCTTACTGAATTGAAAAGAAATAAGATTGTGTGAAACAATAATTATAACACCATGTTGTTGAGTTTATAACATATATAGATGAACATATACGACAATAATACTACAAACCACAAGCAAGGAGGGAGGAAATGGAGTTATACTGGAGTCAAGTTCCTGTATTTTACTAAAATTAGTATTAATCTGAAGTAGATCCTGATAAATTAAAATGCATATTGTAATCCCTGGAGCAAACACTAACAAAATAACTTTAAAATATACACTTAAAAAGAAAAAGGGAATTTAAATGCTACACTAGAAAATACTTAATACAAAAGAAGGTAGTAAAAGATGAACAGAAGAACAAAAAGGCATAAAACATAGAAAACAAATTGTGAACTGATAGATGGAAATCCAACCACAGCAATAATAACATTGAATGGGAATAGAATGAACATGCCAATCAAAAGGCAGAGATCGTTAGACTGGATTTTTTTTTTAAGCTTTGACTATATGCTGCCTGTGAGAGACATACATACTTTAGAAACAAAGATACAAATAGGTCAAAGCAAAAGGATAGTAGATTTGCTATGCAAACAACCGTAAGGGAGCTTGAGGAGAAATGCTAACGTCAGACTAAATAATTTTTTTGTTTTTTTGAGACAGAGTCTCACTCTATCACCCAGGTTGGAGTGCAGTGGCACGATCTTGGCTGACTGTAACCTCAGCCTCCCGGGTTCAAGCAATTCTCGTGCCTCAGCCTCCCAAGTAGCAGGGATTACAGGCGCACACCATCACAGCTGGCTAATTTTTTTGTATTTTCAGTAGAGACGGGGTTTCACCATGTTCGCCAGGCTAGTCTTGAACTCCTGACCTCAGGTGATCCACCTGCCTTGGCCTCCCAAAGTGCTGGGATCACAGGCATGAGCCACCCCATCTGGCCAACTTTTTTAAGATCAAAAATCTTACTAAAGAGAAACATTCTGCCATGATATAAAGTGAATACATCACGAAAATATAACAAACAGAAATATATACATACCTGACAACCTAGCCCCAAAATACTAGAACAGGAATTAAAAGAAATTAAAAACTGTGTAAGCAAAAACTCAGTTGTATGTAAAAAACCAATTCCCCTTGAGGAAGAGAAAGGGCTGGAGTCCTTTAAAAATTAACTGGCTGTTTTTCTGTGGCTAGTGAGCCTTATCTCTCCCTTTCCCAGGCATTGCGAAGACTCTGTTTCTCTAGCTGTGCAGCTGCAAGGTCACTAAACAGATAATCTTGAGTCATAAAACGTGTTGTTCCTTGAAAAGTAAGAAATAATGTAATGCATGTCTTAACTGAATAACTGTCTTTGTTTCTTGCTTCTGTAATACTCTTCCCCCTGCACAAATCTCCCCCCACCCCACAAAATGCTTAAAAGGTAGCTTGACTCTTTGTTTGGGGCCCAGTCCTTTGGATGTTAATCTGATTGGGTCGGTGCACCTAAATAATTAAATAATTCCTCCTCAACCCCATCGGTCTCTCTGATTCCTTAATTATCCCGCAGCAATACATGAAGCAAAAACTCACAGAATTGAAGGGTGAAACAGTCAATTCACCAGTAATGGTTGGGCCAGGCATGGTGACTCACGCTTGTAATCCCAGCACTTTGGGAGGCCGAGGTGGGTGGGTCACTTGAGCCCAGGAGTTCGTGACCAGCCTAAGTAACATGGCAAAACCCTGTCTATAAAAAATGCAAAAATCAGCTAGGCATGATGGTACTTGCCTGTAGTTGCAGCTACTCAGGAGGCTGAGGTGACCTAAGCCTTGGGAGGTGGGGGCTGCAGTGAGCTGTGATCATACCACTGCACTCCAGCCTGGGTGACAAAGTGAGACTCCACCTCAAAAAAAAAAAAAAACAAACAAAAAAAAAAAAACAAAAAAACAATAATTGGACACCAAAATCCTACCCCACTCTCAGTAATGGATAGAATAATTAGAAAGAAAATCAGTAGATACAAATGACTTGACATCACTGGACACCAACTGACATCTCTAGAACACTCCACCTGGCAAGAGCCGAAGTCACGTTCTCCTCAAGTGCACATGGAACAGTGTCCAAGGTCAATCATATGCTGGACCATAAAACAATTCTGAGAAATTCGAAAGGACTGATATCCACAGAGTTTCTTCTCTAGCCACAGGGGAATGAAATCAGAAATTAACAAAAGAAATTTGGGAAACCTATAAATACATAGAAATTAAACAACATAATTCTAAATAAGCAATGGGTCAAAGAAGAAAATCAAAAGATACACTGAGCTGAATGAAAATGTAAACACAACATACCAAAATTTATGAGATATAACTAAAGCTGTGTTTCAAGGGAAATTTATAGCTGTAAATGTCTACATTAGAAAAAAAAATCTTAAATCAAGTGTGTAAGCTTCCATTGTAAGTAACTACAATAAGAAAAGACAGAACGAATTAAACCCAAAGTGAGAAGAGTGGAAACCAATGAACTAGAGAACAGAAAGAAAAAGATAAAGTAAAAAAATATCAAATGGCAGTTCTCTGAAAAGATCAAGAGAATTGACAAAGCTTTAGCTACATTGACCAGAGAGAGAGAGAACACAAATAACTAAAATCAGGACTAAAAGAGGAGACAGCAATTCCAATCTTACAGAGATTAAAAGGATTTCAAGGAAATACTATGTACAACTGTTTGCCAACAAATTATGCAACTTAGGTAAAATGGACAGATTCTTACACATAAACTAGAAAGCGGTTAGAAGAAAATATAAGATTAAATCTTTGTGACACTGGATTAAGATTTCTTAGATATGATACCAGATACACAATAAAAGAAAAAGTTAATAAATTGGAATGGATCAAAATGTAAAACTTTTCTACTTCAAAATACCAATAAAAAAGTGTTAAACTATTGATGGTTGAAAATATTTGCAAATCATATATCTGGTGTGTATATATATATATATATATATATATATATATATATATATATGATACTGTGTATGTAAAGAACTCTCAAAACTGAACAAAGGAGACAACTCAATTTTTAAAAAGGCAAAACATTTCAATAGGCATTTCACCAAAAACATATACAAATGGCTAAAAAGCACAAGAAAAGCCACTTGCCATCATTTGACCTTGGGGAAATGCAAATCAAAACTATAATGAGATACCACCTTTTACCCACAAGAATGGTATGTATTGCTGCAGACGTACAGACAGTGGAACCCTCAGCCAGGCGCAGCGGCTCACACCTATAATCCCAGGACTTGGGGAGGCCGAGGTGGGCAGATCACTTGAGCCCAGGAGTTTGAGAACAGCCTGGGCAACATGGCAAAACCCCATCTCTACCAAAAATACAAAAATTAGCTGGATGTGGTGGTACTCACCTGTAGTCCCAGCTACTCAGGAGGCTGAGGTGGGAGGACCAATTGAGCCCAAGAGATTGAGGCTGCAGTGAGCCAAGATCATGCCACTGCACTCCAGCCTGGGTGACAGAGCAAAACCTTGTCTCAAGAAAAGAAAAAGGAAAAGAAAATTAGAACCGTTATACACTGCTGATGGGAATGTAAAATGGGGCAGTCACTTTGGAAAACAGTTTGCTAGTTTCTTAAAATGTTAAATCAGACTTTCTGTATGACCCAGCAATTCCTCTGCTGGGTATCAACCCAAGAGAAATGAAAACATGTTCACACAAAGTCTTGTACACAAATGTTCATAGCAGTGCTGCGTGCAGTTTAAAATAGCTAAAAAAGCAGAAACAGCCGAAATGTCCTTCAGCTGATGAATGGATAAACAAAATGTGGTCTATCTGTACAATGGATTATTCAGTAATAAAAAGGAATTAAATACTGATACATACTACAACATACATGAATCTCGGAATCATTATTCTAAGTGAAGGAAGTCAGATGCAAAAGACCATGTAACACAGGACTCCATTCATAGGAACTGTCCAGAAAAGGCAAGACTGGAGAGACAGAAAGTGATTGTCTGAGGCCAGGTGGGAATGGGGAATGACTGCGGAGGAGTTCCAGGGAGTTTTGGTGGGCTGGGGATGGAAAAGTTATAAAATTTATTTCACAACTCTGTAAACTAACTGAAAATAATTCATTTGAAACAGGTGAATTTTATGGCATATCAATGACACGGCAATAAAGCTGTTTCTTTCAATGGTGCCATCAACCCCAGCCCCTTGACCCTAAGCTGAAGGAAGAGAGATGCTAGGTGTGTTCAGTAGGGCTCCGTCAAAGCTGATTTTTTGAAGTTATGGGCAGCATTCCGAGTAAGATGTGTTGTGGCAGGTCAGGTCTCACTAACGCAGGCCTCCCTAACAACTGTTTCAGTACTGACTGAGTGGTTAAATTAAATATTAAAAGCCAGTGCCCTTATAAAAAGGCTGGAATATAACAAAATCCCACCAAGAGTTTTGCCTAGACCTTTCCTGGGCCTTCAAGCATGACAAAATAACGAAGGAATTCTTAACAGGACCCATTTAGGATTAAACAAGTTTTATTGGGGATCTGAAGAAATTCCCCAGGACTCCACAAATAAGTTTACTGGGGGTCTGAAGGAACTTCCCAAACCCCCATGATTTAGGAGACAAGATAAGGGTTTTAGATTAAGTAAATTTACTGAGGATCCAGAGGAAGGTCTTCAGGACTCAGACCTTAGTTATAGATTAACATAAGTCAATTACTTATGTCTTGAGATGAATGCACACTTACACATAGACATATAGCTTAGAAGGTATATAAGCTCTGGAAAACTTTGTAATTTTGAGTTGGTCTGGAGATAATTTCCAGGTCTTCTCCTTGTAACTGGTTACAGAAATAAAAACTCTCTTTCTCCCCAGTTCATCTGCATCTCGTTATTGGGCCGCGAGAGATAGCAGCCCCACCCTCAGTTTGGTCCAGGAACAGTTTGATCTCTTCTTGGCCAATCTCTGGTGAGACCCACCAGAATGGAGGAGAGCCGGGACTGGGTGCACTGCCAGCTTCCAAAACTCCTGCACGTGGTCTCAGTCCTCCAGGGATTATGATGGGTGTGAAGGAGCTGAGCATTCTCTAAGGAGCCAGCACATGACACCCAGCTCACCGCCCACCAACCACATCCTCACCGTCATCTCCAAGGCTCTCTCATGTCCTCTTCCTGCCTTTCGGGGGATCACTCCCTCTGACTCCACTACCCTGCTCTCCTGCCCGCCCCAACAAGCCTGACTGATTTGTGGAGCCGGGCCTTCCCCATGTGAGCTCTTCTCCCTGGCATGCTTGTCCCCCAGATTTCCACACACTGGGTCCCTCGCCATTGGTGTCCCTAAGGACACCAGCTCACCAGCTCCTGGCTGCAGGCACCTTCTAGCACAGGCCTGCTTGTTCTCATCAGTGTTCAACCAACATTGGTTGGATGACTAAATCAACATGCAGAATGTGGGTAACCTGAGAATGGGCACTCATTTGCCAGGTTTCTCAAAGACCTAACCTCTTAGTCTTCAAGACGTTTGTCTTGGGTGCGGTCATGGGCCAGAGCCAGTGCCAGAACCCCAGGAGTATAGAGACCAACTGCCCGACCCTGGTCCTCCAAGGCTCCCTGACATGAGACCAACTAAGACAGCATAACCCGTGGGGCAGGACAGACTCCTGGGGTGGCAGCTGTGTTCATCATCTTGACTGGGTCAAGATGTATCCAGCTGTACCTTTCATGTGCGGTTTATTGTATACATCCGTTGAAACATATTAAGACAAAAAAGGGAAAACAAAGACCACAAAGGAGGGACAGGGAAGAACCCGGAAGGCGCTGGCAGCACAGGGAGGAGGCAGGTGTTTGCAGTCAGACCTGAGTCCCAGGCCCCACTCAGCCCTTCCTGCCTAGGACCAGAGCACTGTCCCAGATCTCTCCAAACCTGTTTTCCCGTGGGTGAAAGAATGACCCGGGAAGTATTTACCGTTCCTTCCTGAGAACTCAGCGATACTGAACACAGTGCTGCCTCACAGTAAACACTGACAAATGGTGAGCATTACTGAGGGCAGGGCCTCGACCTACACCATACCCGGTTTTCTTCATGAATTTTCCACTCCTCTGCCTCCCGCTCCTCCAGGGCTGCACCTCCGGGGCAGGAGCCCTCACCAAGTCAGGCCTCAGTATGCCTTATCCGCCACCTGATTCCAAATCAAAGTAAAACATCTCTCCCCAGATGTGTACACAGCACTCCTCTAAATTAAAGGGCTGTGTGCTGGCTCTGGGTACCCCACCCGGCTCTCCCTGGCCTTTGGCGTTGGGGTTCACTGGCCTGCAGCCTGCACCCCGTGGCCCTGCGTTCTGCATCCCTCCCTCTGAAGCGACGTTGTTGTCTGGGTAAATACTCAATTCATCTTCTGGCGCCAAGAAAATTAAGGACAGGTGATCCACCCTCGGCCTCCCAAAGTGCTGGGGTTACAGGCCTGAGTCACCGCATCTGGTTGCCTCAATAATTTCTTCTTAACTCCTATATCACCTGAGGGCCCGGGGCACAGTTCCCCCGTCACGCTTGGCATTGAACTTGCCCACCTCGCCTTCCCGAGGCGCCTCCGCGTTTGGGGTATGGAGGCTGTTCCCGGTCAACCCGGGCGCCTGGCCGCCGTGCCCGAGGGAAGGGCTGGGGGGCGGGCAGGGCAGCCCAGAGCCTTGTCCTAGTCCAGGGTCGGGCGGTAGGTGCTGAAAATAGCAGCTCATGGAAGGCGGGGAGCGTGGAGGGGCGAGGAGAGGCTGGAGACCGCCACGGCGTCGAGGGACCCCGCTCTCACCAGGACCCGGGGACCCCGGAGACGAGCCCCCCGCCAGGCCGCGCCACCGCGCCCATCCTCCCTGCGGGTCCCAGGCACCCACAGCGCGGCCGAGCCCACCTGCCCGCCGGCTCCCCAGGACGCAGGGTCTCGGAGGCTGGGGCGGCGGCCGGCCCGAAGCCTCGCAGCCCTGAGCGCCCCCACCCCGGCCCGGCTGTCGGGTGCACCCCGCATTCCCTGCGGTAGCGGCTCCCTCGCGGGCACCCGGGGCCGAGGCCTGCACTCACCGGCCAGCGTCCGCAACACCTCGGCCATGGCTCCGCGTCTGGTCTCGGCCTCCGCCTTCCGCCCGGCGGCCCTGGGGCGGGGTGAGCCCGAGGCGCCCCCTCCCGGCCCGCGCCGCCCGCCGCCCCGACTTCCCGAGGCCGAACACGGGAGGGGACAGAGGGGCGCGGGAGGCGGCCGCGGGTCCCCAGGGACCCCTGCTAGGAAGGGACGGCGCCTCCTCGCGCGCATCCCCAAGGGACCCGCGCGCCCCTCGTGGCCCTGGTACCTTGGGGCCCTGTCCCCGCATCCCGCCCTGGGGCCGAGCGGCTCCGGGTGCCCCTGAAGCCCCGTCCCCGGGGGCCCCTTGACACCCTGTCTCCCGGGCGGGGGCGACCCCCTGACATCCTGCTCCCCCGGGGAGGCGGGGGAGACGAACCCGTGAAGCTGCGGCCCCAGAACCCACGATCCCCGGCCTTCCGGCTCGCGCGCGCCGCAGCCTGTAGCCCTCCAGCCCCGCAGGACCCTGTGCCCCGCGCCCGCGACGTCCCCCTAGGCAGAGTCGCTTCCCCGGCCCCGGCTCGCGGCCCCACGGAGCTCTGCGTCCCGCAGACTGAGGAACCTTCGCGTTCCCCCTGCGAGCGAGTCCCCCTCCGGCGCCCGCGCCGGGCCCTGAGGCCTCTTCGCGCGGTCCGTGGACAAAGCCCCGCTCCGCCCCGCTACGACCCCCGCCCTTGCCTGGCGTCCGCTCGAGGAAGCTCAGGAGAGGGCGGCGGCGGCTGCAGGGACTGGGAGAGCGCGCCCCGCTGCGAAGAGGAGTTACCTCCCGAAGGGTCCCAGAGGCTTCTTCCTGCTTTTCCTGATATCTCTCAGAGGAGTTTACACTGATACCCCGTTCACAGGACCCTGATCCCGTCCCGCCCTCCCGGGGCACCGTTCTCATCTCCGTGAAAGCTGGGGGCATCTTTAATGCTTCCTTTCCCTCCCACCCCAAGTCCAGTTCGCCAGCTCCGAGACGTGTCCCTAAACATCACACAGAATTACCGTACGAGGCCGGGCGCGGTGGCTCATGCCTACAATCCTAGCACTTTCAGAGGCCGAGGCGGGCGGATCACTTGAGGTCAGAAGTTCGAGACCAGCCTGGCCAACATGGTGAATCCTCCATCTCCACTAAAAATACAAAAATTAGCCGGTCGTGGTGGCTCGAGTCTGTAACCCCAGCTACTTGGGACGCTGAGGCAGGAGAATCGCTTGAACTTGGGAGGTGGAGGTTGCAGTGAACCAAAATCGCACCACTGCACTCCAGCCTGGGCAACATAGCAAGACTCCTTCTCAAAAAATAAAAATAAAAATAAAAATATTATTACCGTATGAGCTGGCAATCCTGCTTTTGTGTATACACCCAAGGAATTGAAAGGGGGTCTGGAAGAGACATGTGCACATCTGTGTTCCTAGCAACGGAACTCACCATAGCCAAAAGCTGGAAGCAGCCGTGGTGTTCACCAAGGCGTCATGGCTGCACGGAGTGAGTCTGTCTCTAGATGGAATGTTTCTCAGCCCTAGAAAGGGAGGAGACGCTGACACCTGCTACAGCGTGGGTGAGCCTTGATGCCTTATGCTAAGTAAAATCCAGTCCAACAAGGAAAAATGCCATGCGATTCTATTAACTTTTTTTTTTTTTTTTTGGCAGAGTCTCGCTCTCTCTCCCAGGCTGGAGTGCAGTGGTGAGATCTCAGCTCACTGCAACCTCTGCCTCCCAGGTTCAAGCGATTCTCCCGCCTCAGCCTCCTGAGTAGCTGGCACCACAGATGTGTGCCACCATGCCCGGCTTATTTTTGTATTTTTAGTAGAGACTGGGTTTCACCATGTTGGCCAGGCTGTTCTAGAACTCCTGACCTAAGGTGATTTGCCTGCCTTGGCCTCTGAAAGTGCTGGGATTACAGATGTGAACCACCGCGCCCAGCCACAATTCCACATATCTGAGGGACTGGAGTCATCAAATTCGTAGAAATAGAGAGGAGAATGGTGGGCGCCTGGGGAAGGCGGGAATGGGGAGCTGTGAACGGTGTTGAGTTTCAGTCTGGGAAGATGAAAAGAGTGTTGTAGATGGATGCTGGTGATGGCTGTACAACGATGTGAGTGAACTCAACACCATGGAACTGTGCGTGTTTAAATAGTTGAGATGGTAAATTTCATGTTATGTGTATTTTACCACAGTAAGGAAGGAAGAAAGGGGAGGATGAAAGAAGAAAAGGGGAAAGAAGGGAGGGAGGGAGGCAGGAAGGAAGGGAGGAAGGGAGGGAGGGAGGGAAGTTCCCTGTGGGCAGCCCTTAACTATTCAGAGGGACAAGTGGGACAAGCCTGGGGGCTGTGTTCCTGCCCCTGAGGGACTCTGGCCCAAGGCTTCCCTGCCTGCAGACCCCATTCCAACAGGCCACTTCTGAGACTGCAGAGCCTTGGTGGTCTCCAGGTCCACGACCAGGGAGCCCCACATGGGGAGGGTGCTCTCCACTCCACCCACCCATGAGCTGAGGGTTAGGCTGCCGCCCAGCATCCTGGTGCCACCTGCCCTGTTTGTGGGGCTGAGTGTTCTCCCTGGACGGGCCTGGCACATGGAAGAGCTCAGTGATCAGCTGTGGATCTGGTCCTCTGAGGCTGTGCCCTGTACCGTGAAGGACACCAGAATATGTCACTCCAAAATGAGCCTCAGAAATTATCTTGAGTTGAAGGCAACTAAGATGCAGCAGAAGCAGGGAAATCTCTCTCTGCCCTGTCCCTCTGCTGTCTGAGGCAGGATGGAAATTATAGGAGAGAGACGCATCAGCCAGAGGAAAGAAGGCACCCTAGGGCTCTGTGAATGAAACTTCCGCCTTAGTTTCCTCCCAATACTCACCTTGCCGGTTTCCCAAACTTGGAAGCCTAAAACCGCTCTCCTGGGTCCTGTCATTTCCCCACACGTTGATTATTCTTTGTTGAAGTTGCTCCATAACCCAGTTCTAAGTCACTGTTCTGAGTTGCTTTTTGTTGAAGCTTCTTCAGTGAGGTGCACTACATGCATTAATGAACTGTTTTTCTCTTTTGTAAGGAGCCCCAGCTGGAACCCTAAGAGGAGCAGAGGGAAACTTTCACTCCCCTACCATGGCACAGTGGCCTGCCATGTTCAGGGCTGGGGGCTAGTCCGGGTTCTCACACCTTTTGGCTGACTTTCTAGCCCCGACCCCTCGTCCCATCAGCTCACTGTTTCCATAAAACATTTGTCATGGCGATGTGCAAGGAGCTCCCTGCCACTGCCTTGAACTTCTTCCCTGAAAGCAGCCAGCCAGTGTTCAGAGGAAGGGAAGGAATAAAAGGCTCTGCAAAGGAGAGCCCGGTCAGACCAGGAGGTGTAAGCATGAAACCGATGTGTTACTCACAAGACCAGGAGGTGTAAGCATGAAACTGATGTGTTACTCACAAGCGGCTGGGCCAGGGAAGGACTTGGTTCAGAAGAGGGAACAGTCTTGCCCAAGGTCTTGCAAGCTTGTGGCCCAAACCCAGGTCCAGGGAGACCTCCATTCTGGTTTGCATGTGTTGGAAACAAGTGCTCGGTGTAGCGAAAAGAAACCCGCACTTAGAAAATTTCTCAGCAAGTCACTTTTACTTCTGTAGAAGGGTGCTGCCTGTGCCTGTTACAATCCCAAGAGCACACTGAACAAAGGAGGGAAGGGGTTTTTATCCCTAATGCAGTTTCTGTTTCTGTGTCCTTCCCCTATTGGCTGGGGTTGGGCCGCATAATCTAAGCTGACCCCGACAGGCTAATGCTTAAACCTTCCCAAATAAGGTAAAGGTGTGATTTTTGAAAAGGTTGTAGGGGTAGGATTTGTTTCCAAGTTATGGCCAGGAAGTTGAATCTTTGAAGAGGAACTTAGTTGTCCCAACAATTTCCCCTCTTCTGTTTTATAGTTCTTCCCCTTCAAATTTATTTAACAGGAGTTGGCTTTGTTGTTCTTCTTTATCATCTAGGAGCAAGAGCTTATCTGACTATGGATGGGGAGAGGTGGGGGAGGTTTTTGTGAGAGCTGCTTCTATGAGCCTTTGGGTTAACCCACGAATACAAGGTATGATACAGCAGCCCACAAGGATGAGTACACCTGTAACTGTTGCAAGGGAGGTAAATATTTAGGTCATGAGTCCCTTCCATTTTCCAAACCATTTCTCCATGACACCTGCAAAGGGGTCATCTATTCCAGAGTTCTCGGCTAATTCATTTGCTAGGGTGGTAAGGCTTGTAAGGCTTTTGTGATTGTCCTGTCCAGGGCTGTGTTATTGGGGATAAAAGTGCAACATTGGACCCCAATCATGACACAGACTCCGCCTTTTTTTGGCCAATATCATGTCAAGGGCTATCCTGTTTTCCCAGGCCATCTGGCTGGTAGGGCCTAATTGTTGAGCTATTCTTTTTATGGCATCTCTGGTGTAATTGATGAATCACTGTTGATTATAGTATATATAATGTATCCAGTCTACATTTTTGTTTATAGTGGACCACCAGAATAATACAGACTCAAACCTGGTGGCTATTTGGTTTCGAGCTTTGAATTCATTTTGTACCCCCCAGCGCAACCCCGATACTGTCTATGTAAATATGAGAGGTCAAAGGACCCGTGAGGGGTTTCTCTTTTCCTTTGGGTTACCTGCTTCCTGTCTGGTTGTTGAAATGCCAAGGTGAAAGGGATGGCCAATTGGATCGGAGTGCAAATGCTGCTCCAATTGTTTGGCAGAGTACTCAATATTGGTCCCCCACAATACCACTGTACATCTGCTTGGGGATGGATTAGGGCTGACTGACTGGTTAGCTCTTGGAAAGGTTTAGGCCCAGTACATCCCATCAGGTTTCCGAGGAACGTCAGATTTTCCCCTTGCCATGAGAGACATGAGGTAAAATTGGCATCAAGAGCTGGAAGTCGAATGGCCCTTGGGGGCTGTCCCGTAGGGCTTCTGACTTTTGGGAAAACTGGTGGTTTTGGCAATTTGAGGGTGTGACTCCTTTGGTAAGGTGGATGTAAGGTTTTAGGGCGGTGCAACCCTCTGAGGAGGTCCAGCCCTGATACTGGGTGGTCTAGATAACATCTCCCCAATTATAACATAACCCCTGGAAGGCTCGTGGTTGTCCATCACAAGGGTTTCTGATTTGTCTGAAGCGGGTGGAGGGGCAGAGGTACTTTTCTGAAGAAGCTAGCTGTTTTTGACTCTAAAGGTCTCCACAGGGCATGACAAGGCAAGCATTGAATGTGATCGTTTGAGGGCAGGGTGATCGGGTTACATTGATGATAAGATGTTCTTTGGTAACTAAAGGAATTAAAAAAAAAGACAGACTAAACCCTTTTGAACATTGGTTTGGAGGGTGTTGGTCCTGGAGTGACAGTCCATGACTTTGCAAGGGGTGGGTCCCTCCTTTTTCGGCCTTTGGATTGCTATCTCAGTGGTTAGGAGTATTAGATAAGGTCCTTCCCAGGTTGGTTTGAACTTTCCCTCTTTCCGTCTTTTGATAAGGACATGATCTCTGGGCTGGTGTTAGTGAACTGGGAATTCGAACTAGGGTGGAGTTTGCCCTAGAAGGCCTTGAGTCCTGAGGGAGGAAAGGGTGGAAGACAGACAAAATATACATTTTTTTAGAAACTGATCTTTTGTTTCAAATGTAGGAAGGTCAGTAGTGGAATTTAGATAAGGCAGTCCATAGAGCATTTCGTAAGGGGACAGGCCGAGATCTTTTCGAGGGGCAGTTTGGATTCTTAGTAAGGCAATGGGAAGGCATTTTGTCCATGGTAACCGCGTTTCCAAGATTAGTTTGGTTAGGTGACTTTTTAGAGTTTGATTCATTCTTTCTACCTTCCCTGATGAGGGTGGATCAGGGAATATGATATTCCCATCTTATTCCTAGTGCTTAGGTTAGCCCCTTAATGATGTGTGCAGTGAAGTGGGTCCCATTGTCTGAATCAATGTTCTCTATTAGTCCAAACCTGGGCATGATATGTTCCAACAGGGCTTTGACTACGTTACTGGCTGTTGCGCTTGGGAAGGGGAGGCTTCTACCCAGTGGGTGAGATGGTCTACTATTACTAGTAAATACTTGAGGAGGCCTACTGGGGGCATTTCAGTGTAGCCAACTTGGGCACTTTGGAATGGCCTCAACCCTGGGTTTTGTCCCCCAGGAGGTTGCTTCTTTAAGGGTTTGCTTATTAGCTTTTCTGCACACTATGCAACCATCTGTCACTTGCCTAGCAAGGGTATATATCCCTACACACCCACAGACTCTCTGAGGGCTGCATCACACATAGCTTGAGGAACCCAGTGAGTTCCCTGATGAAGCTGTGACAATATTTCTCTCATGAGGGGTTTAGACAGCATTTCCCTTCCATCTGGTATTACCCACTTTCCCTCTGGGCTCTCGTTAGCTCCTATGTTCTTTAGTTTCTCTTGGTCTGCACGGGAGAAGGTGGGGATCACAGCTGGAGGGGGAAGACAAGGGGTGAGATGGAAAATGGGTGCCTCTTGGGAAGAGACAGCTTGTTTAGCTATCTGATCTGCGAAGTTGTTTCCCCAGCTTTCAAAAGATGGGTGTTTGGGGGCCTAGGACATGGACAATTGCAATTTCTTCTGGCAGCTGAAGATTTTCATTCATTCATTTATTGAGACGAAGTCTCACTCTGTTGCCCAGGCTGGAGTGCAGTGGCACGATCTCGGCTCACTGCAACCTCCGCCTCCCAGGTTCAAGCAATTCTCCAGCCTCAGCCTCCCAAGTAGATGGGATTACAGGCGCCCAACACAACACCCGGCTAATTTTTGTATTTTTGTAGAGATGGGGTTTCACCATGTTGGCCAGGCTGGTCTTGAACTCCGGACCTCAGGTGATCTGCCCGCCTCGGCCTCCCAAAGTGCTGGGATTACAGGTGCAAGCCACCATGCCCGGCTCAGCAGCTGAAGATTTTCTAGTGCTTGCATAATTAATTCCTTGTGGACCAGATCTTGGCCCTTACTATTTACGAGGTCTTGTTGAGTCCAGATTTTTCAAAGGTAAGGACTACTCCAAAGGCATACTTGGAGTCGGTGTAAATAGTTCCTTCCTGATTCTGCAGGGATTTTAAGGCTTGGTTTAATGCAAAGAGTTCGCATGTTTGGGCAGACCAGGCATTTGGCAGTCTTCCTGACTCTACCTCTGTGAGGTCTCCCCAACAACTAAGGAGTACCCGTTGTGCCTTTTTCCTTCAATGACCCGGGAGGAGCTGTCTATAAATTGGTGACCCCCTGTTTGGAAGGCGGTTTCGTTTAGATCCAGTCTGACTCTAGTTTGATAACTGATTAGACCCAAGCAGAGATAGAGTCATCAAGGTTCTTGGTGTGTTGAACAAAGAACTGAACAAAATGCACAAAGTAAGAAAGAACAAAGAAAGAACAAACGAAAGACAAAGCAACAAAAGACCCGGAAAGCACAGCTTTATTGAAAACAATTCACAGGGTGGGAGTGGCTGGAGCAAACGGCTCAAGAGCTTCCTCAATTAGGGTTTTTATTAAGCTAAAGGAACCTGGCAACACCCCTTGCTGCCCTTTAGAGGCCTCCGATTGGCTGCCATCTGTCAGCTGCTATCTGTCACCAAAATGTGTCTTATTTTAGCAAGAAGTGGAGCATAATCTATTTAACCAATTGCCTCCTGCTGGACTTTGAGAATATTTTTCTATTTTTTAAAAAAATTGTTTTTGTTTTGTTTTGCTTTTTTTGAGACAGGGTCTGGTCTATTGCCCAGTCTGCACTGCAGTGGTGCAATCATAGCTCGCTGCAGCCTCCAACTCCTGGGCTCAAGCAATTCTCCTACCTCAGCCTTCCAAGTTGCTGGGATTACAAGGCACATGCCACCATGCCTGACTAATTTTTCTGATTTTTAGTAGAGACAGGGGGGTCTCACTATGTTGTCCAGGCTGGTCTTGAACTCCTGGCCTTAAGTGATCTTCCCACCTCACGCCTGTCAGCCATCGTGCTCAGTTGTTAGAGGTTTTATAAAAATGAAAAATGTCACATACTGTTTTTCCAGAAACTTCATTGGCACTAGTAAGGTTCTAGGGAGTTGGCAAACACTGATTGGTGAATGACTGCAGTGGGTAAAGCTTAGATGAGTGATGGTGGCAGATGAAGCTGTGACTAGTGAGTGATGGTGGCGGGTGAAGCTCTGATTGGTGAGTGATGGTGGTGAGCAAAGCTCTACCAGATGAGTGATGGCGGCGGGTTGTGGGGGAAAGAAAGAGCGATCAGACGGTTACTGTGTCTATGTAGAAAGAAGTAGACATAAGAGACTCCATTTTGTTCTGTACTAAGAGATATTCTTCTGCCTTGAGATGCTGTTAATCTGTAACCCTAGCCCCAACCCTGTGCTCACAGAGACATGTGCTGTGTTGACTCAAGGTTTAATGGATTTAGGGCTGTGCAGGATGTGCTTTGTTAAAAAAGTGCTTGAAGGCAGCGTGCTTGGTAAAAGTCATCACCATTCTCTAATCTCGAGTACCCAGAGACACAATACATTGCAGAAGGCCAGGCCGCAGGGACCTCTGCCTAGGAAAGCCAGGTATTGTCCAAGGTTTCTCCCCATGTGACAGCCTGAGATACGGCCTCGAGGGAAGGGAAAGACCTGATCGTCCCCCAGCCCGACACCCATAAAGGGTCTGTGCTGAGGAGGATTAGTAAAAGAGGAAGGCCTCTTTGCAGTTGAGATAAGAGGAAGGCATCTGTCTCCTGCTCGTCCCTGGGAATGGAATGTCTTGGTGTAAAACCCGATCATACGCTCTAAATACTGAGATAGCAGAAAACCTCCCTATGGCTGGAGGTGAGACATGCTGGCGGCAATACTGCTCCTTAATGCACTCAGATGTTTGTGTAAAGTCAAGCATAAATCTGGCCTACGTGCACATCCAGGCACAGCACCTTTCCTTAAACCTATTTACGACACAGAGATCTTTGCTCATATGTTTTCCTGCTGACCCTCTCCCCACCATTACTCTATAGTCCTGCCACATCACCCTGTCCGAGATGGTAGAGATAGTGACCAATAAATACTGAGGAAACTCAGAGACCAGTGCCAGTGCGGGTCTTCCATATGCTGAGCACCAATCCCCTGGGCCCACTTTTCTTTCTCTATACTTTGACTCTGTGTCTTATTTCTTTTCTCAGTCTCTCATCCCACCTGACGAGAAACACCCACAGGTTGTGGAGCAGCTGGCCACCCCTTCAGCAGGTGAAGCTCTGACTGGTGAGTGATGGCGGTGGGTGAAGCTCTGATTGGTGAGTGATGGCAGCGGGGTGAAGCTCTGATTGTTGAGTGATGGCAGCGGGTGAAGCTCTGACTGGTGAGTGATAGCAGTGGGTGAAGCTCTGACTGGTAAGTGATGATGGCGGGTAAAGCTCTGATTGGTGAGCGACGATGGCAGGTAAAGCTCTGATTGGTGAGCGATGTGGTGGGTGAAGCTCTGATAGGTGAATCATGACAGTGGTTAAAGCTCTGACTGGTGAGTGACAGCAGCAGGTAAAGCTCTGGTGGATGATGGCGGGTGAAGCTCTGACTGGTGAGTGATGGTGGTGGGTGAAGCTGGTCTTAGTGTCCCTGCAGGTTGTTTCAGCAGCCATGAGATAAAACTGGCCTCCTCCAACTGGCTAAACCTTATGAAGGATTGGCCTGCTACCAATCAGAGGCTGAAGTGGAGACTTGGCCCATGATCATTCAGAGGCTGAAGTGGAAACATCTGTCATGTTATCACAAGAGTGAAGATGTGGCTTGTATGCTGCCTAGAACTTGGTAGGCAAGTGGTTGAATCTCAGTCTCTCGGGCTTACCGCCCCTCAGTGGGGCCAGGCACGGTGGCTCAGCCCATAATCCAAGCACTCTGGGAGGCTGAGGCGGGCGGATCACGAGGTCAGGAGATCGAGGCCATCCTGGCTAACATGGTGAAGCCCCGTCTCTCCTAAAAATACAAAAAATTAGCCAGGCCTGGTGGCGGGCGCCTGTAGTCCCAGCTACTGGGGAGGCAGAGGCAGGAGAATGGCGTGAGCCTGGGAGGCGGAGCTTGCAGTGAGCCGAGATCACGCCACTGCACTCCAGCCTGGGCGACAGAGTCAGAATCCGTCTCAAAAAAAAAATAAAAGAAAGAAAGAAAGGAAAAAAGAAAAAGAAAGGCTCAGGGGGTAGAGGAGGAGGCCAGATAGGAGAGTTGTGTGGAGCCCAGATAAGGATCATGTTTATATTGACACCTCTGGGCAGTGAGCCTGGCACCTGTAAATGCCTGTAAATCGCCAGGGAGCAGAGGACAGTGCTGGCTGGGAGCCTGTGTCTCAGCCCTGCCCCGTCGAATGATGTGGCCTGTGGCCAGGAATATCACCTCAGTCTTTCAATTTCCTCATCTGCAAAATGGGGATAGCAATGCTGGCCATTCCTTCTCCCAGATCAGTGATGTGGTCCGAAAGTCCTAAACAGTGTCACTAAGTAAGGTGAAGTCTAATAAGTCATAAATCCCAGCCTGCCATAGGGACCTAAGAGCTATTCCCCTTCTCCTTCCCTGTGGAATCTGGGACACAGCAAGGAGCAGGACCAGGTAGCAGCAGGCTTCATGCTCCTTCCCCAGCAGCCTTCAGAGAGGACACCAGGGTTACCCAGGGATGGTTACCTGGTCCCCAGATCACCTTGTTGTGGCAAGTACCAGAATTGGGCACTGGCCAGTGATGGGCTCATAATAGCTCCAGCCAAATGCCCCTCTTTCCTTTGTCCTTACAGGGAAGGTGGGTTACACTTATCCTCCTGGAGCCATAATTCCTTTTTTTTTTTTGGAGACAGATTCTCACTCTGTCACCCAGACTGGAGTGAAGTGGTGCAATCTTGGCTCACTGCAACCTCTGCCTCCCAGGTTCAAGCAATTCTCCTGCCTCAGCCTCTGTAGTAGCTGGGATTACAGGTGTGCACCACCACACCCAGCTAATTTTTTGTATTTTTAGTAGAGACGGGGTTTCACCATGTTGGCCAGGCTGGTCTCAAATGCCTGACCTCAGGTGATCCACCCACCTTGGCCTCCCAAAGTGCTGGGATTACAGGCGTGAGCCACCGCACCCAGCCCGGAGCCATAATTCCGTTAGGCCTTACCCTGCAGTGCCTGGGCACCTGCCCTAGTGCCCTATGTGATTACGAGCATAGGTAACTACTTCTTCTTTCTTCTTCTTCTTCTTTTCTTTTTTTTTGAGACAGGGTCTCAACCTGTCACCCAAGATGGAGTGCAGTGGCATGATCTTGGCTCACTGCAGTCTCAATTGCCTGGGTTCAAGTGATCCTCCCATATCAGCCTCTGCAGTAGCTGGGACCACAGGCGTGCACCACCATGCCTGGATGACTTTTACATTCTTTTGTAGGGATGGGGTTTCACCATGTTGCCCAGGCTGCTCTTGAACTCCTGGGCTCAAGCAGTCTTCCCACCTCAGCTTCCCAAAGTGCTGGGATTACAGGGGTGGGCGACTAGCCAAGCCTAGGTTAACTTCTTATACTGCAAAGTTACAGAGTGTGGCAAGAAAAAAATAAAGCTCTCCATCGAGTTCAGGGATGAGTCATTTCAGGAAATACCATTAGTTTTCAAGACAATGCAATTTATATAATATTGTAATTCCAAGCTCATCAATGTAGTTCAGATATTCTCACAGTCATGGCAGACTAAATCTAACTTAAAAGGAAGCACATGCTATAGAGGTCTCACAAGGACCTCACTAGGACCAGTTCTGATACTGTCCCAGTCTATTGTGTTGCCTTCACAGAATGCTTGAGACTTAGTAATTTATAAACAAAAGATGTTTGGTTCACAGTTCTGCAAGCTGTACGAGAAGCATGGCACCCCCATCTGCAGGGCTTCTGGTTAGGCCTCAGACTGCTTCCACTCAAGGCGGAAGGCAAAAGGGAGCTAGTAAGGAGTGTAATTCCCAGTTTTAAAAGTAAAGATTTGAAAGCATTAGTTTGGAGACTTGTAGCCCACAAAAATTTAGGATTTTGTCCAAACTGCCGAAAAACTCAAGAACAGCGAACAACAGGTATACTATAGCTTTTCTTTTGAAGCATAATTTTTCTCTCTTCAGTCTCCATTTTTATTAAAAACAAATCATGATAGAATGATTTGTTTACAAAATAAACTTTAGTCTTATTATACTTGGCCTGATTATTTGCACAAAGCACACCAAGAATAACTATTTTTCACATAGGCCTTTAAAATTGGCTTTGATGGAACTCTGTTCTGTAAGGAATCTCAAATAAGACTTTTTTAAAGCTAAGCCCAGCCATGGGTTTGTACACTCAAATACCTATGAGTTGGGTAAATTTCTCTCCTCCTGAGGTCCCAAGAAAACTTGGGTCTCCTGAGACTGTTAGAAAGTGACATTCTTTACTTACCACAGGTCAGGAACTTTGAACAGGGACTGTGTAGACAAGGTATAAGGCCAGATTTCCCAAGGGGCTTTTATTAGCTCAATAACTCAACTTTGATTCTCCTTTTTTTTTTTTCTGAGACAGAGTTTCACTCTTGTTCCCCAGGCTAGAGTGCAATGGCACGATCTCAGCTCACTGTGACCTCTATCTCCCGGGTTCAAGTGATTCTCCTGCCTCAGCCTCCAGAGTTGCTGGGATTACAGGCGCCTGTCACCATGCCCAGCTAATTTTTGGAATTTTTTTTCTTTTTAGTAGAGATGGGGTCTCACCATGTTAGCCAGGCTGGCCTCAAACTCCTGACCTCAGGTGATCCGCCTGCCTCAGCCTCCCAAAGTGCTGGGATTACAGGCATGAGCCACCTCGCCCAGCCAACTTTGATTCTTTAAAAAAAGCATGCCATTCTAGTCAAAGCCTTGATAAAATAACCAGTTTCTCCCATTGTGTCCTGTTACAAAAGAAAACAGATTATCATTGTACTTATGCAAATAACTATACTGCCATATGTTGAGAATATTCACAAATAGTTTCCAAATTCTGGAAAAATCAGGTAGGGAGAAACAAATATACTCCAAATTTTTTCACAGGAGTATATTTTATTCAACTGTTAAAAGCTGTAAGTAGCTTAAAAGAAAAGTTTTCTTGGCTCTGGAAAACAAAAAGGATCAGCAATGTTTTAAGCAAAAAAGTTAATACAAAAGATTACTGGGCTAGGCTCAATGGCTCACACCTGTAATCCCAGTACTTTGGGAGGCCAAAGTGGGTGGATCACCTTAGGCCAGGAGTTCGAGACCAGCCTGGCCAACATGGTGAAACCCCATCTCTACTAAAAATACAAACATTAGATGGGCATGGTGGTGAGTACCTGTAATCCCAGCTACTTGGGAGGCCGAGGCAGGAGAATCACTTCAACCCGAGAGGCAGAGGTTGCAGTGAGCCGAGATGATGTCACAACAGTCCAGCCTGGGAGACAAGAGCGAAACTCCATTTCAAAAGAAAAAAAAAAAAAGATTACTTCAGTTTTCTATTAGTTCAATCAATTCCATTAACTCCTGTTCTGTTTGATATTTATGAACATTTCAGCTCCCCATGAGAGTCCTGGAAGTTATTTCCTCTATTCTAATGTCACATTCTCCAAAGTTATTGGAAACCTGAATTCAAGAGCACCTGTCAAAGTTCTAGAGCTGATTATAAACCACCTTTTGAAGAGCATCAAACAAGACAACAATTGTCTGTGGATGACAACAATTGTCTGTGGATGACAACAAATCTTAGGACGGCCATTATTAAAGCCACAGTTGACTAGGAATTTGGTTACTTCTGTGGCATACAACAATTTTACATACAAATTATAACTATTATATTAACAGCATACATTCAATCATATCAGAATTATAGGAGTTTCTCATAATTTTGGAACACATACTAATAACATATTTATACAAATACAGCCCAAAGAAAGCCAAACAACATTTTATATTTGACAATGCTTCCTGTATGATTTTTATACCACGTAAGCCAGATGTCATTTTTGGACATTAGAGGACCTAATATCTAAAAGATTAGGTTAGAAAGAGACATAATTATAATCAAATTATAATTTATAATTTGATTTTGGAAAGTTTGTCAAATATCAAAGATTTATTTTGTGGATATCACAAAATAGAATCCCAGGTCACCATAAGTCATTCATTTGACCAAAATGATAACTCCAAAATTTTAAAAAGAAAAACCCTTTACTCTGATAGAGGAGACATAGCTTTCCAAACAAGAAGACCCAATGAAGATAGCATGAGGCCAACTGAATCGTATCTTCTCTCTCCTCCCCTTTTTCCCTGTAGTTTACCCAAAGGGGCAAACAAAACCCTTTCATTTTCTTTTACTATAAAAAATCTTTTACATAATCTTTTATGTAAAAAATCTTTTACATAAAAATCTTTTTCAAAAGAGAAAACCAAATTTAATGTTTGTATTAGTGCATTTTTAATGCTAAGGCTGGTTTTACAATAAAAATTTACAAATGTATTCAGTCTTAATTAGTCTGACCATAAGGTAAGATTTTCATAAACTTTTTTGAACACTTTATAATTTTTCATTAAACAGTCGATCAGTTTTCTAAGAAAACCCTGTTATTTGGACACCTGGGCTCAGATTCTGGCCCTGTATTCGTGTGCTTTTATTTTAATGTTCAACCTACAGAAAAAAAAATTAAATAATCCCCTTCCAATATTAGCCAACTTGCTCATACCCACAGAACTTTTTTTTACAAGACCAACCCTTCATAAGCCCTTTTCACTTTGTTTAAACCTCCAGTTTTGTCCCATTACTCTTTTAGGTTAAGATAATCTTTAAACCCTCTGAACTAGACAAAATTATATTCCTTTTTTGTTTTGTTTTGTTTTTGATATGGAGTCTTGCTCTGTCACCAGGCTGGAGTGCAGTGGTGCAATCTTGGCTCACTGCAACTTCCATATCCCAGATTCAAGCAATTCTCCTGCCTTAGCCTCCTGAGTAGCTGGGACTACAGGCATGTGCCATCGCATCCAGCTAATTTTTGTATTTTTAGTAGAGACAGGGTTTCACCATTTGGCCAGGATGGTCTCGATCTCTTGACCTTGTGATCCACCTGCCTCAGCCTCCCAAAGTGCTGGGATTACAAGCGTGAGCCACCGCGTCTGGCAACATTCCCTTTAATAAAAGCCATATTCCCATGCCTTCCTATAATCTTTTACTTTCCTTACACACCTTACATGTAGAACTGTTTCTCCAGTGGTCTCAATTACATGTTACAATGTTACCTCTTAGCAGCTTTTATTTTTGGTGAAAACCTGATAAGTGATTTTAATTATGTACTAGGTGTGGAGTCTAGGACATCAGACAGAAGTGAAGATAAGGCCTAACTCTTTCCAAAGTAGGCAAATTAAACAATTTTCAAAAGTCAAAGAAACAGCTTACAACCTTAAAACATTTAGTAAATCTGATATCTGACGTTAATTTAGACCAAATGTCTACATTTTGAAGACATTTTTGTTTTTATCAATAATTTCTAAAACTGTCTTTATTTCCAAAAGATTATTAAAGTCACGTGTACAAAAGGCATTAAAGTTTCTCTTTTTCTGACAAAATATTTGATTTCGGCATCTATTTTTAAGCCAATTAAACAGAGTTCTTTTTGTGTAAATATTACACACACAACACATATGAATACAGACAGATAGAAGATTCAGCACTTGTAAGATTTTTTATTTACCAGTTTCTTAATTGGATTACTGGCTTCAGGGTGGAGGAACAGGGCCAGGAAACCATGCAGTTTCTGGGGCCTAATAAGGAGGCACAGCTGGAAAGGAGAGACAGATCCCCCAAATTAGGGTGCCATTCTATATGTATCCTGGATCCCTAAAAAGGAAAGAAATACTACAGGAGAAGACAGTGCAGTGCTTCCACCACACATGTCATCGCAAGGAAAACCAAAGCCAATCAGCCCATTTTGTAACCAGCCAATCCCCCATGGGAGTCTCATCTCTCAGTGGGGGTTGGGGATGTTTCCGTATCTTCCAGGTGGCCAAGAGCATGTTTCTCTGATCCAAGCTTGCAAAGAGCTAAGTATGTCTTCATAACTGACATTAGCCAATTCTTAAAGTATATTTTTTACCTAGTTATTATATATCAAGCCCTCCTATAATTCAAAGTAATTTTTGATACCCCCAAGACTCAAAACCGTTAGATAGCACAATGCAAAACAGAACAGACTTAGATTTTGAGGGGGACCTATCTGCTTTTAATTCCTGGGGTTTCATGAGGAAAACAGGGTTTTTTCCCAAAATGGGGTCTATAGCACCTCCTCTGTTTTTCCCAAGGAATCTCAGGCTACCAGAAGTTATCTTAGGGCCTCTCATGTGTGCATTAATAGTGGTAAGACAAAATGGAGAAAAATAATTCAGTCGACTAAAAGAAAAAAAAAACCTTTTTCCAGCAAAACAAGATCCATGAAAAGAAAAGCATAAAGACCTTTTAAATATACCTACAGCTTGCTTATGCACTTTTAATTAAGTTGACTTTTAACCATAGTGGTCTTTAAAAAAATCCTTTCACATCTCTGATTACCTGACTTTATCCATGCAGTCAATATTTCTGGCTTTTGAACTTTACCAAAAGTAACCAACCTCCCAGGTGCTTCAAAGGCATGGTAAGCAGTTTCTTTTTTACTAGATTTAGAATCTCCCTAAGGTAGTTCAGAGAAAGAAAAATTCAAGAGAAGAAATCAGAAGCTATCCATAAAAACCTCAAATGGCAAAGTTACACACATAACAAACCAGAAAGGAATCATTCCAGAAGCCAAGAATTGAACCCAGGCCACCACTGTCAAAAGATAAACCCTTAGTTACTGAACTATACAGCATTGAGCAGTTTCTATTGCTTTTCCCAAAAGGAGCCTAGAGAGGCCAATTTTGAGTTTGAGAAGGCTTTTAACTGCTCAAGATAATTCTTAGGGCTGTGACATGAACCTCAAAATTCCTGTCCTCTGGATGGCAGAAACCAAGATAAAGTATCCCCACAAGGTTAAGCTCTTAAGGACACAAAACAAGACCGATCTTACCGAGTATTGTTTTCAGGGACCCGTAGCATAGTTTGTAATTGACCAGTCTGCTGGGTTGGCTTGAAAAATGGGCTTATAGGGATCCTAAACCCACATTGTATCCTGTGATACTCCTTTCTCCATTACAGAATATAGAAAGACAAACTTTTAGTACAAAGTACACCAGATTTGCTACAGCCTAAGACCAGTCTCACAAATCCATTTTTCTATTAATCAAACTCTTGCAGAGGAGACAAATATAGTGACATTTACCATTTATGCAGACAGAGAAAGAGAGACCAGAAACTTGGCTGGTAAGAATTTCTTATCCTTTTTTGGCATACCAGATTTATGGGTTCCCTTTCTCTGCAGCTTCCAGAAGAATGGAGCACCTTCTGATGACCCTGCTCGCTGTGCCATAGCTGTGGGATTCAAGCCACTTTACAAAAGAAAATCACCCTTTTCTGTTTTATGGAACCATAGGCAAAAGATAATCAATTTGCAAGATGTTGCCCAATGGGCTGCATTGGGGAACTGAATGAACATTTTCCATCCCAGCAAAATACACAAAACAAAACAGACACTAGTCACCCCATTCAGCACCCAATATCAACCTAGCAAAGCTCAAACTTTCTCCAGACGGTCCCTGTTGTCTTTGATCCATTCCAGCTGGGGAGGGATGACCTCCAAATGATAATTCACAGTGGGGTCTCTGGGCAAGGCAAAGAGCCAATAGTCACCCCGAGAAAGGCCTATCGAGCTTTCTTCAGGGCTCACCAAATGTGACCAGACAAATAAGGAGGATTCTCCAAGTTAGGCCTGCTGGACTTCCATCAGCAATTTCTTCTGAGATCCCCTCCACATATACAAACACACACAAAGACACGACAGACAGAAGGCCTTCCAAATCAGATCCCCAACAAAGAACTCAAGAGTATCCCTCCCAAACTATCTTCCTATTCTCTGTCTGAGAAATCTCCCCAAAATCTTCTGGACTGAGAAGAAGTCTCCCCAACCAAGATTCTTCCTACTAGTTAGGGAGAGCCAACAGAGACCCCCTAGGAGCCAAACTGAGACAGACACCCCGCAATGGGGCTACAGACAAACAGACACCCCACCAGGGGGCTACAGAACCAGTCGGGAGAAGGAAGGGGTCATTGGCGGTACCTAGAATGCTCATCAACCCAGACCCCCACAATGGGATGCAGACAGACACCCCACCATGGAGCTACAGACAGACACCCTGTGATAGTGCTACAGTTAAGGGATATCGCCCCAGGACTATTTCTCCATTGCAATTAAATCCATGCACATTGGGTTGGCAGCACCCCGCCAGTAGAGAGTACCAAAGTCAGCCCCTAGTCCAAGAGAACTAGGCAGATGCTTGGGCTAGCCTCTGGATCCATCGCTAGAGAGGGGCTACCAAACCACGGGCAGGTAGCTGCAAGGGCAATCCTGATGAGCCTCGAAATTTGTAACCACCCAGTGGGTTCACTTTGCCCACTGCCTAGACAGAGTGGATTTATCAAGACAGGGGAATTGTAATAGAGAAAGAGTAATTTACACAGAGCTGGCTGTGTGGGAGACTGGAGTTTTGTTATTGATCAAATTAGTCTCCTGGAGCATTTGAGGATCAGAGTTTTTAAGGACAACTTGGTGAGTCAGGGGAAGCCAGTGAGCCAGGAGTGCTGATTGGTTAGGCAAGAGATAAAATCATGGGACGATGAAGCTGTCCTCTTGAACTGACTGTTCCTGGGTGGGCGCCACAAGATCAGATGAAGCAATTTTATCGATCTGGGTGGTACCAACTGATCCATAAGGTACAGGGTCTGCAAAATATCTCAAGCACTGATCTTAAGAACAATTTAGGGAGGGTCAGAATCTTGTAGCCTCCAACTACACGACTCCTAAACCAGAATTTCTAATCTTGTGGCTAATTTGTTAGTCCTACAAACACAGTCTAGTCCCCAAACAAGAAAGAAGTTTCTTTTGGGAAAGGGCTATTATTGTCTTTGTTTTAAACTGTAAACTATAAACTAATTTCCTCCCAAAGTTAGTTCAACCTATGCCCAAGAAGGAACAAGGACAACTTAAAGATTGAAACCAAAATAGAGTCAGTTCGTTTAAGTCTTTTTCACTGTCTCAATCATAATTTTGCAAAGGGGATTTCAGGATCAACTCAAACAGAACACCACCAAGACACATTATATAATCAAATTTTTGAAAGGCAAAGTCAAAGACAATCCTGAGAGCTGCCTGAGAGCTGTTACTTGTCAGTATAAGTGATCCTCAATCAGATTAACAGCCAATTTCCCATCAAAAACAATGGGGTTCAGAAGGTAGTGGGATAACATATTTAAAGTGCTGAAATTATTTTTTTTAACTATCAACCAAGAATCCTACATTCAGAAAAGCTAGCCTTCATAAATGAAGGATAAATTAAGACATTCATAAATAAACAGAAGCCAACTGAGTTCATTGCTGGCCAATCTGTCCTATAAGGAATGTTAAAGGAAATCCTTTGGACTGAAATGGAGAATAACAAACAGTAGGTCTAAGCCATAGAAGAAAATAAAGAACGCAGGTTAAATAAATATAAAAGCCAGTATTGTTGTACTTCTAGTTTGTAAATCCTTTTTTTTTTTTTTTTTTTTAAGATGGAGTCTTGCTCTGTCACCAGGCTGGAGTGCAGTGGCGTGATCTCGGCTCACTGCAACCTCCACCTCCCGGGTTCAAGTGATTCCCCTGCCTCAGCTTCCCAAGTAGCTGGGACTACAGGCGTGTGCCAGCACGCCCGGCTAGTTTTTTCTGTTTTGATAGAGACGGGGTTTCACCATGTTGGCCAGGATGGTCTCAATCTCCTGACCTTCTGATCCACCCGCCTCAGCCTCCCAAAGTGCTGGGATTACAAGTGTGAGCCACTGTGCTGTGAATCCTCTTTTTAAAATAGGATTTAAAAGACAAATGCCACCAGGCGTGGTGGCTCACGCCTATAATCCCAGCACTTTGGCAGGCTGGGGCAGGCAGATTACTTGAGGTCAGGAGTTCAAGACCAGCCTGGCCAACATGCTGAAACCCCATCTCTACTAAAAATACACAAATAAGCCAGGCGTGGTGGCAGGTGCCTGTAATCCCAGCTACTTGGGAGGCTGAGGCAGGAGAATCACTTGAACCTGGGAATCGGAGGTGACAGTGAGCCAAGATTGTGCCACCACACTCCAGCCTGAGTGACAGAGCAAGACTCCATCTTAAAAAAAAAAAAAGACAAATAACTAAAACAATAATCATAAATCTATGTTGCTGGGCACAGAATGTAAAAAGATGTAATATGTGACACTAACAATGTAAAGAGGGAAGGACAGAGAAGTACAATAGTAGAACTTTTGTACACTATTGAAACTAAGTTGGTATAAATTTAAAATAGGTTGTTATAAATTTGTTAATTGTAATCCCTGTGGTTACTACTAAGAAAATAAAATATTCAGAAAGTAAATGAAAAGGGAAACAAAATGGCACACTACCAAAAGACCACTTAAACACCAAAGAATGCAGCAATGGGGGAATAGAAGGGAAAACCAAATACCTAACGCACGCGGGGCTTAAAACGTAGGTGATGGATTGATAGGTGCAGCAAACCACCATGGCACATACATACCTACTTAACAAACCTGCACATTCTGCACATGTATCCCAGAACTTAAAGTAAAATAAAATAACAGGTATAAGGCATTAAAAAAAAATAAGAAAATGGCAGAAGTCCTTCCTTATTAGTAATTACTTTAAATGTAAGCTGATTAAACACTTCAATTAGGCCGGGCACTGTGGCTCATGCCTGTAATCCCAGCACTTTGGGAGGCTGAGGCGGGCGGATCACGAGGTCAGGAGATCGAGACCATCCTGGCTAACATGGTGAAACCCCGTCTCTACTAAAAAATATAAAAAATTAGCCAGGCGTGGTGGCGGGCGCCTGTAGTCCCAGCTACTCGGGAGGCTGAGGCAGGAGAATGGCCTGAACCCGAGAGACGGAGCTTGCAGTGAGCAGAGATCGCGCCACCGCATTCCAGCCTGGGCGACAGAGCAAGACTCCGTATCAAAAACAAACAAACAAAAAAAACCAAAACACAAACAGCAACAACAAAAAACACTTCAATTAAAAGACAGAGATTGGCAGAATGGATTATTTTATTTTATTTTATTATTTGAGACGGAGTTTTTCTCTGTTGCCCAGGCTGGGGTGCAATGGCGCAGTCTCGGCTCACTGCAGTCTCTGCCTCCCAGATTCAAGTGATTCTCCTGCCTCAGCCTCCTGAGTAGCTGGGATTACAGGCACCCACCACCATGGCCAGCTAATTTTTGTATTTTTAGTAGAAACGAGGTTTCACCATGCTGGACGGGCTGGTCTCAAACTCCGGACCTCAGGTGATCCACCCACTTCAGCCTCCCAAAATGCTAGGATTAGAGGCGTGAGCCACCACACCCAGCCTTTTTTTTTTTGAGATGGAGTCTCGCTCTGTCGCCCAGGCTGGAGTGTAGTGGCGCGATCTCGGCTCACTGCAACCTCCCCCCTCCCGGGTTCATGCCATTCTCCGGCCTCAGCCTCCCGAGTAGCTGGGACTACAGACTCAACGCTACCACGCCCGGTTAATTTTTTGTATTTTTAGTAGAGATGGAGTTTCACCGTGTTAGCCAGGATGATCTCGATCTTTTTCTTTTTTTTTTTTTTTGAGACGGAGTCTCGCTCTGTCGCCCAGGCTGGAGTGTAATGGCACCATCTCAGCTCACTGCCATCTCTGCCTCCCGGGTTCAAGCCAGTCTCCTGCCTCAGCCTCCTGAGTAACTGGGATTACAGGTGTGCACCACCACTCCTGGCATTTTTGTAGAGATGGGGTTTCTCCATGTTGGCCAGGCTGGTCTCAAACTCCTGACTTCAAGTAATCCACCCGCCTCAGCCTCCCAAATGCTGGGATTACAGGCGTGAGCCACTGTGCCCAGCCTAGAATGGATTGTTTAAATAATACATTGATATACTGTCTACAAAAAACTTACTTTAGATCCACACACAAACCATTGAAAGAGAACAGAAAAACATATTTCACACAAGTAGTAACCAAAAGATAGCTGAGGTGGTTATATCAATATCAAGCAAAATAAACTTTAAGCCAAAAATTGTTACAGGAGATCAAAGAAGACATTATATATTGATAAAGTTTCAATCCACCGAGAAGATATAATAATTATAAACATATACACACCTAACAATGGAGTCCCAAAATATATAAATTGAAAATTGACAGAAAGGTGGAGAAATAGTTCTACAAAACAGTAGGAAACTTAAATATCCGACTTTCAATAAGGCATAAAGCAAATCCATTAAAGAAGTTTTATTGAAAAAAAAAGATCAATTAGGAAGTAGAGGACTCGAACAACTCTATAAACCAACCAGATGTAACAAACATATATACAACACCCAGTCAAATAATAATAAGGCTGAGTGTGGCAGCTTATACCTGTAATCCAAGCACTTTGGGAGGCTGAGGTGAGAGGATAGCTTGAGCCCAGAAGTTCAAGACCAGCCTGGGCAAGGTAGTGAGACTCTGTCTCTACAAAAATTTTTAAAAATTAGCCTGGGGTAGTAGTGCATGCCTGTAATCCCAACTACTTTGGAGAGTGAAGCTGGAGGATCATTTGAGCCCAGGAGTTTGGGGCTGCAGTGACTATGATTGTGCCACTGCACTCCAGCCTGGAGGAGAGAGTGAGACCCCGTGTCAAATAATAATAATACAGCAGACATTCTTCTTGAGTGCACGTGGACCATTCTTTCTCCAACACAAACCATATGTAAATCAACAAAATATGTCTCAATAAATTTTAAAAGATTGAAATTCTACAAAGTATTTTCTCTACCACAATGGAATGAATCCAGAAGTCAATAAAAGAAGAAAAACTGGAATATTCACAAATATGTGGAAATTAAACAATATACTGTCTTAAACAGCAAGTGGGTCAAAGAGGAAATCACAAGAGAAATTATAAAATACTTTGAGACAGGCTGGGAGCAGTGGCTCATGCCTGAAATTCCAGCACTTTGGGAGGCCAAGGCATGTGGATCACTTGAGGCCAGGAGTTCGAGACCAGCCTAGGCAACACAGTGAAAACCCTTCTCTACTAAAAATATAAAAATTAACGGGGCATGGTGGTGCATGCCTTTAATCCCACCTACTCAGGAGGCTGAGGTAGGAGAATTGCTTGAAGCCAGGAGGTGGAGGTTGCAGTGAGCAGAGATCGCGCCACTGCACTACAGCCTGGGCAACAGAGCAAGACTCTGTTTCAAAAAAAAAAGAAAGAAAGAAAGAAAAGAAAAGAAAAAAGAAAAAAATGCTCTAAGACAAATGGAAGTAAAAACACAACATATCAAAATTTATGGAATGCAGCAAAAGCAGTGTTCAGAGGAAAATTTATACCTATAAACACCTATACTTTTAAAAAAAACAAAGATCACAAGTCAATATATATATAAGGAGCTGAATATATAAAGAACTCTCACGATTCAACAAGAAGATAACCCAATTTTAAAATGAGCAAAAAGGACAGGCATGGTGGCTCTCACCTGCAATACCAGTGCTTTGGGAGGCTGAGATGGGCGGATCACTTGAGGCCAGGAGTTCAAGAGCAGCCTGACCAACATGACAAAACCCCATGTCTACTAAAATACAAAAATTAGTTGGGCATGGTGGCATGTGCCTGGAATCCCAGCTACTCGGGAGTCTGAGGCTGGAGAATTGCTTGAACCTGGGAGGCAGAGGTTGCAGTCAGCCGAGGTCACGCCACTGTACTCCAGCCTAGGCAACAGAATGAAACTCTGTCTCAAAAATAAATAAGTAAATAAATAAATAAAAATAAAATGGGCAGAAGGGACAGGCGCAGTGGCTCACATCTGCAATCCTAGTGCTTTAGGAGGCTGAGTCAGGAGGATCATTGGAGGCCAGGAATTCAAGACCAGCCCGGCCACCATGGTGAACCCCCATCTCTACTAAAAATAAAAATAAAAACATAAGTAGAGGAATTTAAATGGCAGAAAAATTAAAATTAAAGTAAAAATGCTTTAAAAGCAACAGTGATCTTAAACGAAATTTACTAATTTCTATGTGACTATTTCATTTATAAAATTAGTAAATTTCATTTAAATTAAGATCACTTTTAAATTAGGATCACTTCATAAATGAAATAATATCTATCTTCCTTCCATGATGAAGTAATGGGGATCAGATTTACTGTTCTGTTTTAAACAACCACCAAAAAAACCCATCAAAGTGTATGGAACAATGATTCCCAGACCTTAAACAACAGATGGCACCCCATCTCCTAGGAGAGCAACCCCTAGGAGACGACAAACCAACCAGGTGAGGTTTATGATTGTCCCATCTTCCTGTCTGGAGAGTTTTTGGACAATGGAGCAGGAAGGGAGAACCCAAAAGAGCCTGGCAGTCCCTGAGTTGAGGAGACAAGTTGAGAATTCAAGGAGGCCAAAGCTAAAGAAAGAAGAACCATAGGGGAGAGAGGTTCCCCAGGAGGGTGGGGGGCTGGGGAGTGGGGGAGGCTCTGCAATTCTTCTCTCAAGCCTTCACCTGAGTATTGATCGCTCTGTGCATTTGAGAAAAACACTGAAGGTCTGTTGGACAGGTGGGTAGATGAAAAAGAAAAAAACAAATACTGAAAGCCAGGGAAAGGACCACAAGACAAGAGCAGGAAGAACAACACCAGAGCTTCCATAGGGCTGGAAATAGTTCTGCCAGCCAGCCTAGAAACATCTCACAGTATCTGGGTAATCAGAAAGAAGGGTATAGCCTCAGTTGTGGTTCCAAATTAGCCTTAGGACAGCTGCTCTAGCCCTGCCCAACAACGCTGGAGATCAAGCCTGGAAAGAATCAAACTATTCCGGGAGGTGGGGGGAAGCCCCCACCCGGCCAGCCGCCCCGTCCAGGAGGTGGGGGGCAGCCCCCACCTGGCCAGCTGCCCCGTCCGGGAGGTGGGGGGCGGCCCCCGCCCAGCCAGCCGCCCCGTCTGGGAGGTGGGGGGCACCTCTGCCCGGCTGCCCCATCTGGGAAGTGAGGAGCCCCCCTGCCCGGCCACCACCCCGTCTGGGAGGTGTACCCAACAGCTCATTGAGAACGGGCCATGATGATGATGGCGGTTTTGTCAATAGAAAGGGGGGAAGTGTGGGGAAAAGAAAGAGAGATCGGATTGTTACTGTGTCTGTGTGGAAAGAAGTAGACATAGGAGACTCCATTTTGTTCTGTACTAAGAAAAATTCTTCTGCCTTGGGATCCTGTTGATCTGTGACCTTACCCCCAACCCCGTGCTCTCTGAAACATGTGCTGTGTCCACTAAGGGTTAAATGGATTAAGGGCAGTGCAAGATGTGCTTTGTTAAACAGATGCTTGAAGGCAGCATGCTCGTTAAGAGTCATCACCACTCCCTAATCTCAAGTACCCAGGGACACAAACACTGTGGAAGGTGGCAGGGCTCTCTGCCTAGGAAAACCAGAGACCCTTGTTCAGATGTTTATCTGCTGACCTTCCCTCCACTATTGTCCTATGACCCTGCCAAATCCCCCTCTCTGAGAAACACCCAAGAATGATCAATAAATACTAAAAAAAAAAAAAAAAAAGAATCAAACTATTGGCAGGTAACTTCATTGCACGCAGAACAAGAATATTTAAAGAAAGGGGAAAATATCCAGCAAGGTTAAATTCACAATGCCTGGCATCCAATCCAAAATTACTAGGTGTGGCTGGGCACGGTGGCTCAGGCCTGTAATCACAACACTTTGGGAGGCCAAGGTGGGCAGATCACTTGAGCTCAGGAGTTCAAGACCAACCTGGGCAACATGGTGAAACCACATCTCTACTAAATATACAAAAATACAAAAAAAAAAAAATAGAAAATTACTAGGTGAAAAAGAAGCAGGAAAATAAGGCTCCTAATGAGCGTAAAAATCAACTAGTGGCCAGATGTGGTGGAAAAATACAGAAATTAGTTGGGCATGGTGGCAGGCACCTGTAATTCCGGCTACTCCGGAGGCTGAGACAGGAGAATCGCTTGAACCCAGGAGGGGGAGGTTGCAGTGAGCCAAGATTGCGCTATTGCACTCCAGCCTGGGTGGGACCAGAGCAAGACTCTGTCTCAAAAAAAAACGAAAAGGAATTATGGCTCCGGGACAGGTGTAACCCACCTTCCCTGTAAGGACAAAGGAAAGGGGCATTTTACTGGAGCTACCATGAGGCCATCACCGGCCAGCGCCCAATTCTGGTACTTGCCACAACAAGGTGATCTGGGGACCAGGTAACCATCCCCTGGTAACCCCAGTGTCCTCTATGCAGGCTGCTGGGGAAGGAGCATGAAGCCTGGTGCTGCCTGGTCCTGCTCCTTGCTGTGTCCCAGCTTCCACAGGGAAGGAGAAGGGGAACAGCTCTTAGGTCCCTATGGCAGGCTGGGATTTTTGACTTATTAGACTTCACCTTACTTAGTGACACTGTTTAGGACTTTTGGACCACATCAGTGATCCGGGAGAAGGCATGACCAGCATTGTTATCCCCATTTTGCAGATGAGGAAATTGAGGGACCGTTGGTGATATTCCTGGCCACAGGCCACATCATTCGACGGGGCAGGGCTGAGACACAGGCTCCCAGCCAGCACTGTCCTCTGCTCCCTGGTGATTTGCAGGCATTTACAGGTGCCAGGCTCACTGCCCAGGTGTGTGAATATAAACATGACCCTTATCTGGGCTCCACACAACTCTCCTACCTGGCCTCCAGCCTCTACCCACTGACACTGAACCTTTCAATCGGCCATCAGCCTGAGACACAGATTCAACCATTCGCCCCCAAACTGGGAGTGCTTCTGGGTCCCCAGCTTCCTGTGGGCAATGTACATGGAGAGCAGAAGACATATTTTGGTGACAGATGTCAGCAAGAACACCTCATTTCTAGAAGTAGCAGTGGCCAATAGGAGATAGACCACAGGAAGAAAAGATGAGAAAATATGGAGAGTTTTTCACCTGGTGAGACTTGGTGGGAGGTAGGAGCTGCCTCCAAGTCTAGACACTGACGATGCTCTACCCTTCCCCTCCCAACCTCTCCAGGCTCAGCGAATCACACCCCTCTCTGGCCTACATTTGGGAGCTGATGTGCAGAAAAGCAAGGACAGCAGATGCGTATTTTGGCGGCAGAGAAGAGCCTCGTGGACAGAGGCAACAATGGACAATAAGATGTGACCGAGAGGGGCTGGCTGGTACGAGTGCTGCGGTGTATATAACTATGGGTCACGACAGATTTCTTTGTTCTTTCCCCACTCCCACTGCTTCCTTTGACTAACTTAAAAAAGAATATGGACAACAGGGAAGAAAAGTTAAGAAAAGCAGAGAGTTGATCCAGAAGGCCTGATATATACCTCTTAGGTGTGGTGCACATTAAGTGCAGAAAGTCTGAATGTGATGTCGTGGGAGGAAACTCCCAAGAGCATCGTATGAGAAACATTTCCAGAAACAGAGGCAAGAATATCCCAATTGGAAGGTCTTCCTCTCAGTGTTCAGAAAATTGGGTGAAAGTACGCCTAGCCAAAACACAGCATGCCCAGGAACTAGGGTTCTCTAAGACCCAGCCTCTAACAGTCCTGAAAGGCCTGGGTAGGTCCACTTTGACCCTGGCCCCTGGGGATCAGGCTGGGAGGTGGCTCACAGCCCAGCCTCATCTTCTGTTTGCAGACAGCAGGAACTAATGAGGCAGGAGAATAGGGAATTAGAGTCACGGGGGTTAAGGCAGAAGCAAAAGGACAGCAGGTGCAGCCAGTTCTAGGCAGCACACAGGCCACATCCTCACTCCCGTGATAACAAGACAGCAGTTTCCACTTCAGCCCCGGCTTTGCAGTGGCTCATACCTGTAATCCCAACACTTTGGGAGGCTGAGGCGGGTGGATCACCTGAGGTCAGGAGTTCGAGACCAGCCTGGCCAACATGGTGAAGCCCCGTCTCTACTAAAAATACAAAAATTAGCCAGGCCTGGTGGCGGGCACCTTGTAATCCCAGCAGCTCAGGAAGCTGAGACAGGAGAATCTCTTGAACCTGGGAGGGGGAGGTTGCAGTGAGCCAAGATGGCGCTATTGCACTCCAGCCTGGGTGACAGAGCAAGACTCTGTCTTACAGTAGGGAAGGAGAGAGCCTCGGAGGAGGGGGCAGGTCGGACCCGGTCCACCCCCGGCGTGGCACCCTCAGCCCTTTCCAGCTCCCGGTGCCTCTTAACATTGCTGGCAGGTGTGAGCCTGGGGTCGTGCCAGCCTCTGAGCGAGCTCGGCCCCTTACTCACCATTTCCAGCCTCACCTTCCTCTCCCATGAAGGGGGCACGAGGGTAACAGCTCCCTCGTGGGAGTGCAAGGCTGGTACGGGCTTTAGCTGCAACTCTGAGCCCTTTCACCGAAAACGACTCAGAGAACGAAACAGCTGCACAGAACATTAGCATCCACCCCCACCCCAGAGACGGCTTCCCGGAGCTCAACAGAGGAGGGCAGGTATGCAGGTGGGAGGAAGAGGAACGTGGCCTCCCTCCATGTGGCTCCTGGTCTGAAGGCCCCAACTCAGACATCTCCAGCCTCCCATGGGGCAGCTGCCTGAGTGGCAGGTGGTGTCTGGGGCCAGGAGACCTGATTCTGCCTAGCTGGGCCTCAGTTTCCCAGGAGGCGACCTGGACAGAGTTACACCGCCCCTCTCAGTGGCACCTGGCTTGGGACTCCCTCCCTCCCCTCTGCTCTTCCTTCTCTTTACTCCTGGGGTCTTCCAGGAAAGTGCCGATCCCGGAGTAAGATTTGGGGGGCAGTTTCTGTGCTGGCCTCAAGCCCTCGGCTCACCCCTTCCCCAGCGGCAGAGCGAGGGCATCTGGTGCTCCAAGAAGAAGAGCTGGGCTAGGAGCTTAGTGTGTTCCCCACGTCACGGGGCCTCTTCCACCCCCTGGCTCATGGACCCCATGTTGGCTGCACTACAGAGGCCGGCCAGGCTTCCAGATGCCGGCAACTCCCCTCCCGGGACCAGCCTTCTGGAAGGGGGTGTTGAGCCCGTGAGGAGCTCCATGAGTGGGGAAGCAGGTGGGGACGGCCGTGTGCACAGCATTACTTTGGCAGCTGATGGGCGGGAGGACAGGTCCAGGCGGCCTCCAGGCACGTTCCTGTTTGTGTGACATTCACCGTGACATGCTGCATGCCGTGGCACACAGGGTCCTGTATTCAGATGAGCCAGGGCCTCGGAGGAACTCAGGCGGAGGAAAGAGCCGGAACACAAACACAGCGCGACCTTTCCCGGGAAGCAGCCCCTCCAGGAATGCGCCCCGGGCCCCCCTGCAGCGCCCTGGGCCCCCATGGCCAGGGGCAGATCCCCTCACTTCCACCATCCGTGACTCGGTTCAGTCCAGTTGAGCCCCAAAAGCCTCTGCTGAGCCCAGCCCGGAAGGGCGAGGGAGCCTCGGTGGCCAGAGAGGGCCGAGGCCTGTCAGGCTGACGGCTCCTTCGGGACAGGCACCCATCTGTGACGGGGACATGCAGGGACCACTGTGGCTGCCCTGGCCCAAGATGCCCCAGAAGCCAGGTGGGCAGGGCCCCTTCCTCCTCCAGGATGTGGGACTGGGCTGGGTTTTGAAGGATGGCAGCGGCCAGGTGGACTCAGGGCATGGACAGGGAAGGCCACGCAGGCCTAAAACACACAGACTCAGGTGGGCGGGAACTTCAAGGTCAAATCCCCGAGCCCTCGGAGGGGGACTCAGGAAATCAGTTGCTCAGTGGGGGGCAGAGTTTGGAGCCTTGGGGCAGGAGCCGTGTCCAGCAGAGGGGCTGCTGCCCGCCATGGCTGGCCTTGCCATTGGCTTTGGCCCCGGCCCCGGGGAAGTGCAAGGCGCAGGAGAGACACCACAAGGCCCTTGGGTGTCCTTCCTGCACCTTCCTTCGGTGGCAGGCGGGTGACGCATCTATGTCACTGCATCCACGTAAGATGCTCTGTTAGAAAAAAAACAAGAAGGAGGCCGGGCGTGGTGGCTCACGCCTGTAATCCCAGCACTGTGGGAGGCCGAGGCTGGCGGATCACAAGGTCAGGAGATTGAGACCATCTGGCTAACACGGAGAAACCCCGTCTCTACTAAAAATACAAACCAAAAAAAAATTAGCAGGGCATGGTGGCGGGTGCCTGCAGTCCCAGCTACTCAGGAGGCTGAGGCAGGAGAATGGTGTGAACCCGGGAGGCGGAGCTTGTAGTGAGCCGAGATCGTGCCACTGCACTCCAGCCTGGATGACAGAGCAAGACTCCGTCTCAAAAAAAAAATTATGAATCCAAATTAGATATGAAAATAAATATTTGAAGTGATAAAAAAACACACAAAGCTCACACATGAAAAAGCTGATAGGTGCACTAAACGTCATCAAATGGAAGCAAAAAACAAGATTTGATTAGTTACTCCCTGGCACACCTCTATCAAACTTATTTCTTCTATATCTCTTGGCTGCTACCCCTTGATTATTGCTTCCTATGAAAATAATTTTTCATAAATAGAATGGAAAGATAACTCCGCCTTCCTGCTGACGTGAGGTTCAGGTTGGTTTCTCATCATCGGTTGGGGGCTGAATGACACACGCGGCTGCCGTCATGATGTGTGTGTGGTGATGCTGCCACGGGCGTCACCCCGTAAGCAGCAGCTCCGATCAATTCTCCTTTGCGAGGTGACCACCAAAGGAGCGCAGAGCTGGCCGGGCATTCGTGCGTGTTCATGACCAAGAACTTTTCACAGAGAGAGAGAGGACTTCTGTCCTGACGAAGGGGCGCAGAGCTGGCCGGGGCATTCGTGCGTGTTCACGACCGAGAACTTTTCACAGAGAGAGAGAGGACTTCTGTCCTGATGAAGGAGCGCAGAGCTGGCCGGGGGCATTCGTACATGTTCATGACCGAGAACTTTTCACACAGAGAGAGGACTTCTGACCTGACAAAGGAGCGCAGAGCTGGCCGGGGCATTCGTGCGTGTTCACGACCGAGAACTTTTCACAGAGAGAGGACTTCTGTCCTGATAGACGTCGGTGAGGACTGAATCCCCACTTACAGGCGTGCACATCAGGGACTGATGGACATCGCTGAGGACCGATCCCAGCTTACAGGCGTGCACACTGGAGGCTCGGAAGAGCTGACTGTGACTCACTTCCGGCTTCCCCCCAGGACAAAACCTGCCTCTCCTTCCAGACTCGCTGACTTCCCTTCATGTCCCGCTGTGATGTGCAGTCCAGCATCCTTGGGTCATGACACCAGCTGCACTGGCACAGGGAATGAGAGAATATTCCTGAAAATGAAGACTACCGCGGAAGGCAGGAGCTTCTAAGCTAGAGTGACTGGCAGCTTCAACAGGCCCTGCTGCACCTGAACCAGCCCGGGGCCCCCCAGTGCCGCGGAAAGAGACAGCTGTGGCAGATTTCACAAACTCATGCCCAGGGGAGCTCCCGGCTTGCTCATGGCAAGGACCACACAGGGGCATCTTAGGGTCCGCGGGAGGCAGCGGAACTGTGGAGTCCCAGGGCACATTGTCTCCAGCTTCGCCAGCTGGGCCATTGCTCTCCAACGCCAGCACCCATGGGTACTTCCTGATGCACCTCATCCTACCCACGTTACTGTCAGAGTGAGGAATGCGCTCAGCCTCAGGCCCTGAGATTGTCCTCTCCTTACTCAGCTTCTCTTTCTGTCCTTGCAGCATCCGGTTCGCCTCTTCCCCCAACTGCCTTTTCGCATCCTCTGCCTTCTCTTCCCTGCAGTTGTCTGTGTCTACATCATTGGCAGGAGTTCCTCGTGCACTCTGCATGCTGAAACCGTGCAGATGGACACATGGCAGGGCTTTCCCTCCCGTCTGGCTTGCCTCCTGCCTCTGTTAAAGACATGACGTGACTCTTCAGCAGCTTTTGAACTTGCCTCTAGGTCACAAAGGGATTGTCTCATCGTTTCTACTACATATTTTTAAAGTTTTGCTTTTCATATGAATCCTTTTAATCTGTCCGGAATCAACTGTGTGCCGTGTGAGGTAGGAAAATAAATGGATATGTCCTTTTCGTACGGATAAAAGCTTCATTTATTCAATATTTTCCCCTCCAATGTTTTTGCTATGCCCCTTATTTTCCGATTCCATTTCCGGTCTGTTTCTGGACTCTCTCCTGTTCTGGTGATCCATCCATGCAGCCTCGTGACAACACCGCAGGCTTAACGACAGTGGCAAAGGATGCCGAGCTCCGCCGGCCGTGTGCCCCTGCTGCGCTTCCCTGAGGCACGTGAGCTTCTCTTTGGCCTCCATCTGCAGTGTCTGTCACCTCGCCTTTCCTAATGACGTTGAATTGCTGCTTTTCTCATTGTTTTCTTCATCAGTCTTGCCAGACGTCTACCCATTTTATTGTAGTTTCCTCTAAGAGCCAGTTTTGCGTTTGTGGGTTATCTCCAGTTTTTCTTTATTTTCTGGTCCACAGATTTCTCTTCTTTATTATTTCTGTCTTCAAATTTCTTTAGGATATGTGTTATTGCTTTTTTATTTGAATGTCTACTTTGTGTGTGTGTGTGTTTGTGTGTGTGTGTGTGTATGTGTGTGACAGAGTTTTGCTCTTGTTGTCCAGGCTGGAGTGCAATGGCATGATCTCGGCTCACTGCAACCTCTGCCTCCCAGGTTCAAGTGATTCTCCTGCCTCAGCCTCCTGAGTAGCTGAGATTATAGGCGCCCGCCACCTCGCCCAGCTAATTTTTGTATTTTTAGTAGAGACGGGTTTCACCATGCTGACCAGGCTGGTCTCAAACTCCTGACCTCATGATCTGCTCACCTCGGCCTCCCATAGTGCTGGGATTACAGGCATGAGCTACCACACCCGGACTAACTTACTTTTGTATTGTATAGTAATAGATGCATCTAATGCTGTAGACTTGAAGTTTATATTTCTTTTTATGTAACACTCTGTTCATTGTTGATTCTAGTTTTATTGCCTTGTAGCTAAAAAAGGCAGGCTCCACTGTGTGGGTTCTGTGAAATTCCCCATATTGCCTGGTATGTGGCCTATTCTTTAAACCACTCTATGGGTACTTTAAATATTCTATGTGTACTTAATTCTTAATTGTTCATTGTAACAATTATAACAATATAATTGTTTAGCTGTTGGAGCAGTGTCTTTGTACACTTTACAATTTTGGTTCCAAATCTTCAACGTTGGTGTGAACTTTTAAAATTCTTGGCCGGGCTCAGTGGCTCATGCCTGTAATCCCACCACTTTGGGAGGCTGAGGTGGGCGGATCACAAGATCAGGAGATCGAGACCAGCCTGACCAACATGGTGAAACCCTGTCTCTACTAAAAATACAAAAATTAGCCAGGCGTGGTGGCATGCACCTGTAATCCCAACTACTCAGGAGGCTGAGGCAGGAGAATTGCTTGAACCTGGGAGGTGGAGGTTGTGGTGAGCTGAGATCGCGCCATTGCACTCCAGCCTGGGCAACAAGAGTGAAACTCCAACTCAAAAAAAAAAAAAAAAAAAACAAAAGAAAAACCCTCTTGCTCTCTGCTTCTAACGGAGAAGTTCTGGCATCTTCCATTCTGACTGTGGATTTGACCCCTTTGTTCTTCAGTCTCTTTTGGCTTCCTGCATTTTGATGCAGTATGCCTTCAAATTCATGAACATTCGTCTTCTTGTGATTGTGCTTTTAATTGTTTTCATGTTGGCCCCCTTTCATCTATACTGATGAAAAATAAATCATGCTTTCATCTAACAGGCTTATTTGTTTATTTATTATTATTATTATTTTTGAGATGGAGTCTTGCTCTGTCACACAGGCTGGAGTGCAATGGTGTGATCTTGGCTCACTGCAACTTCCGCCTCCCAGGTTCAAGCGATTCTCCTGCCTCAGCCTGCTGAGTAGCTGGGATTACAGGTGCCCGCCACCAGACCTGGCTAATTTTTGTATTTTTAGGTGAGACGGGGTTTTGCCATGTTGGCCAGTCTGGCCTTGAACTCCTGACCTCAGGTGATCTGCCTGCCTCGGCCTCCCAAAGTGCAGGCATTGCGGGTGTGAGCCACCATTGCACCTGGTCCTTTATTTGTTTTGAAAATGTATTATCCCTGCCCACCCCGTTCCAGTTCCCTCTCACCATAGATCATTCTCCTGCACTTAACGGGCATCTTTTGTTCCTATGAACACCTGCATGTGGGCACATGTGTTTTGTGTGCATTTAGCACTCTTTAAATATCCACTAAAACAGAACCTTCCTCCCCCACCATTAAAGTCTGCACCAATCGTGTTTGTACAGCCAGCAGGTAGTTTGCTTTGCTGACATTGATCCCCCGCCCCCGGTCTGCTACAGAAGTGCTAAAATTCTCCCTTTCAAACTTCCTCTGATGGAAGCCAGTGAGTGGTAGAGGCTGTCCGTTGTTTTTTAACGTCTGAGATGTCTTTATTTTGCCTTCAATATTTTATGAAAGTTGTGCTGAGAATAGCATTCAAAGGTAAATGTTATTTTCCCTAGGTCTGTTAAAGACGTCACTCCACTGTCTCCCAGGAGGTAGCGTTGCTGTTGAGAAGTCTGCCGTCAGCTGACATCTGCATTTTTGGTAGGTACTGTGGCTCTTCTTTCTGGTCGTTTTGACTTTTTTCTCCTCTCCTGGATGATCTGCATGTCACTGTAATATTCTAGAAGTGGATTTCTCTTGGTTTGTAATTTAGATCTGGGATCTCATGTCTTTTCAATTCCAGAGAATTCTGAGCTATTATGTTGCTTTGTTGCCAATTTAAATATGTTTTTCTGGGGGGAGGAGCCAAGATGACCGAATAGGAACAGCTCCAGTCTATAGCTCCCAGCGTGAGCGACGCAGAAGACGGGTGATTTCTGCATTTCCATCTGAGGTACCGGGTTCATCTCACTAGGAAGTGCCAGACAGTGGGTGCAGGTCAGTGGGTGCGCGCACCGTGCACAAGGTGAAGCAGGGCGAGGCATTGCCTCACTGGGAAGCGCAAGAGTTCCCTTTCCTAGTGAAAGAAAGTGGTGACAGACGGCACCTGGAAAATCGGGTCACTCCCACCCGAATACTGCGCTTTTCCGACGGGCTTAAAAAACGGCGCACCAGGAGATTATATCCCCCACCTGGCTCGGAGGGTCCTACGCCCACGGAGTCTCGCTGATTGCTAGCACAGCAGTCTGAGATCAAACTGCAAGGCAGCAGCGACGCTGGGGAAGGGGCGCCCGCCATTGCCCAGGCTTGCTTAGGTAAACAAAACAGCCGGGAAGCTCGAACTGGGTGGAGCCCACCACAGCTCAAGGAGGCCTGCCTGCCTCTGTAGGCTCCACCTCTGGGGGCAGGGCACAGACAAACAAAAAGACAGCAGTAACCTCTGCAGACTTAAATGTCCCTGTCTGACAGCTTTGAAGAGAGCAGTGGTTCTCCCAGTACACAGCTGGAGATCTGAGAACGGGCAGACTGCCTCCTCAGGTGGGTCCCTGACCCCTGACCCCCGAGCAGCCTAACTGGGAGGCGCCCCCTAGCAGGGGCAGACTGACACCTCACACGGCCGGGTACTCCAACAGACCTGCAGCTGAGGGTCCTGTCTGTTAGAAGGAAAACTAACAAACAGGAAGGACATCCACACCAAAACCCCATCTATACGTCACCATCATCAAAGACCAAAAGTTGATAAAACCACAAAGATGGGGAAAAAACAGAGCAGAAAAACTGGAAACTGTAAAAAGCAGAGAGCCTCTCCTCCTCCAAAGGAAGCAGTTCCTCACCAGCAACAGAACAAAGCTGGACAGAAAATGACTTTGACGAGCTGAGAGAAGAAGCCTTCAGACGATCAAATTACTCCGAGCTACGGGAGGAAATTCAAACCAAAGGCAAAGAAGTTGAAAACTTTGAAAAAAATTTAGAAGAATGTATAACTAGAATAACCAATACAGAGAAGTGCTTAAAGGAGCTGATGGAGCTGAAAACCAAGGCTCGAGAACTACGTGAAGAATGCAGAAACCTCAGGAGCCGATGCGATCAACTGGAAGAAAGGGTATCAGTGATGGAAGATGAAATGAATGAAATGAAGCGAGAAGGGAAGTTTAGAGAAAAAAGAATAAAAAGAAACGAGCAAAGCCTCCAAGAAATATGGGACTATGTGAAAAGACCAAATCTACGTCTGACTGGTGTACCTGAAAGTGACGGGGAGAATGGAACCAAGTTGGAAAACACTCTGCAGGATATTATCCAGGAGAACTTCCCCAATCTAGCAAGGCAGGCCAACATTCAGATTCATGAAATACAGAGAACGCCACAAAGATACTTCTCGAGAAGAGCAACTCCAAGACACATAATTGTCAGATTCACCAAAGTTGAAATGAAGGAAAAAATGTTAAGGGCAGCCAGAGAGAAAGATCGGGTTACCCTCAAAAGGAGGCCCATCAGACTAACAGCAGATCTCTCGGCAGAAACTCTACAAGCCAGAAGAGAGTGGGGGCCAATATTCAACATTCTTAAAGAAAAGAATTTTCAATCCAGAATTTCATATCCAGCCAAACTAAGCTTCATAAGTGAAGGAGAAATAAAATACTTCACAGACAAGCAAATGCTGAGAGATTTTGTCACCACCAGGCCTGCCCTAAAAGAGCTCCTGAAGGAAGCGCTAAACATGGAAAGGAACAACCGGTACCAGCCGCTGCAAAACATGCCAAAATGTAAAGACCATCGAGACTAGGAAGAAACTGCATCAACTAACAAGCAAAATAACCAGCTAACATCATAATGACAGGATCAAATTCACACATAACAATATTAACTTTAAATTGTAAATGGACTAAATGCTCCAATTAAAAGACACAGACTGGCAAATTGGATAAAGAGTCAAGACCCATCAGTGTGCTGTATTCAGGAAACCCATCTCACGTGCAGAGACACACATAGGCTCAAAATAAAAGGATGGAGGAAGATCTACCAAGCAAATGGAAAACAAAAAAAGGCAGGGGTTGCAATCCTAGTCTCTGATAAAACAGACTTTAAACCAACAAAGATCAAAAGAGACAAAGAAGGCCATTACTTAACGGTAAAGGGATCAATTCAACAAGAAGACCTAACTATCCTAAATATATATGCACCCAATACAGGAGCACCCAGATTCATAAAGCAAGTCCTGAGTGACCTACAAAGAGACTTCGACTCCCACACATTAATAATGGGAGACTTTAACATCCCACTGTCAACATTAGACAGATCAACGAGACAGAAAGTCAACAAGGATACCCAGGAATTGAACTCAGCTCTGCACCAAGCGGACCTAATAGATAGCTACAGAACTCTCCACCCCAAATCAACAGAATATACATTTTTTTCAGCACCACACCACACCTATTCCAAAATTGACCACATACTTGGAAGTAAAGCTCTCCTCAGCAAATGTAAAAGAACAGAAATTATAACAAACTATCTCTCAGACCACAGTGCAATCAAACTAGAACTCAGGATTAAGAATCTCACTCAAAACTGCTCAACTACGTGGAAACTGAACAACCTGCTCCTGAATGACTACTGGGTACATAACAAAATGAAGGCAGAAATAAAGATGTTCTTTGAAACCAATGAGAACAAAGACACAACATACCACAATCTCTGGGATGCATTCAAAGCAGTGTGTAGAGGGAAATTTATAGCACTAAATGCCCACAAGAGAAAGCAGGAAAGATCCAAAATTGACACCCTAACATCACAATTAAAAGAACTAGAAAAGCAAGAGCAAACACATTCAAAAGCTAGCAGAAGGCAAGAAATAACTAAAATCAGAGCAGAACTGAAGGAAATAGAGACACAAAAAACCCTTCAAAAAATTAACGAATCCAGGAGCTGGGTTTTTGAAAGGATCAACAAAATTGATAGACCGCTAGCAAGACTAACAAAGAAAAAAAGCGAGAAGAATCAAATAGACGCAATAAAAAATGATAAAGGGGATATCACCACCGATCCTACAGAAATACAAACTACCATCAGAGAATACTACAAACACCTCTACGCAAATAAACTAGAAAATCTAGAAGAAACGGATAAATTCCTCGACACATACACTCTCCCAAGACTAAACCAGGAAGAAGTTGAATCTCTGAATAGACCAATAACAGGAGCTGAAATTGTGGCAATAATCAATAACTTACCAACCAAAAAGAGTCCAGGATCAGATGGATTCACAGCCGAATTCTACCAGAGGTACAAGGAGGAACTGGTACCATTCCTTCTGAAACTATTCCAATCAATAGAAAAAGAGGGAATCCTCCCTAACTCATTTTATGAGGCCAGCATCATCCTGATACCAAAGCCGGGCAGAGACACAACCAAAAAAGAGAATTTTAGACCAATATCCTTGATGAACATTGATGCAAAAATCCTCAATAAAATACTGGCAAACCAAATCCAGCAGCACATCAAAAAGCTTATCCACCATGATCAAGTGGGCTTCATCCCTGGGATGCAAGGCTGGTTCAATATATGCAAATCAATAAATGTAATCCAGCATATAAACAGAACCAAAGACAAAAACCACATGATTATCTCAATAGATGCAGAAAAGGCCTTTGACAAAATTCAACAACCCTTCATGCTAAAAACTCTCAATAAATTAGGTATTGATGGGACTTATCTCAAAATAATAAGAGCTATCTATGACGAACCCACAGCCAATATCATACTGAATGGGCAAAAACTGGAAGCATTCCCTTTGAAAACTGGCACAAGACAGGGATGCCCTCTCTCACCACTCCTATTCAACATAGTGTTGGAAGTTCTGGCCAGGGCAATTAGGCAGGAGAGGGAAATAAAGGGTATTCAATTAGGAAAAGAGGAAGTCAAATTGTCCCTGTTTGCAGATGACATGATTGTATATCTAGAAAACCCCATTGTCTCAGCCCAAAATCTCCTTAAGCTGATAAGCAACTTCGGCAAAGTCTCAGGATACAAAATCAATGTACAAAAATCACAAGCATTCTTAAACACCAACAACAGACAAACAGAGAGCCAAATCATGAGTGAACTCCCATTCACAATTGCTTCAAAGAGAATAAAATACCTAGGAATCCAACTTACAAGGGATGTGAAGGACCTCTTCAAGGAGAACTACAAACCACTGCTCAAGGAAATAAAAGAGGATACAAACAAATGGAAGAACATTCCATGCTCATGGGTAGGAAGAATCAATATCATGAAAATGGCCATACTGCCCAAGGTAATTTACAGATTCAATGCCATCCCCATCAAGCTACCAATGACTTTCTTCACAGAATTGGAAAAAACTACTTTAAAGTTCATATGGAACCAAAATAGAGCCTGCATCGCCAAGTCAATCCTAAGCCAAAAGAACAAAGCTGGAGGCATCACACTACCTGACCTCAAACTATACTACAAGGCTACAGTAACCAAAACAGCATGGTACTGGTACCAAAACAGAGATATAGATCAATGGAACAGAACAGAGCCCTCAGAAATAACGCAGCATATCTACAACTATCTGATCTTTGACAAACCTGAGAAAAACAAGCAATGGGGAAAGGATTCCCTATTTAATAAATGGTGCTGGGAAAACTGGCTAGCCATATGTAGAAAGCTGAAACTGGATCCCTTCCTTACACCTTATACAAAAATCAATTCAAGATGGATTAAAGACTTAAACATTAGACCTAAAACCATAAAAACCCTAGAAGAAAACCTAGGCATTACCATTCAGGACATAGGCATGGGCAAGGACTTCATGTCTAAAACACCAAAAGCAATGGCAACCAAAGCCAAAATTGACAAATGGGATCTAATTAAACTAAAGAGCTTCTGCACAGCAAAAGAAACTACCATCAGAGTGAACAGGCAACCTACAAAATGGGGGAAAATTTTCGCAACCTACTCATCTGACAAAGGGCTAATATCCAGAATCTACAATGAACTCAAACAAATTTACAAGAAAAAAACAAACAACCCCATCAAAAAGTTTGCAAAGGATATGAACAGACACTTCTCAAAAAAAGACATCTATGCAGCCAAAAAACACATGAAAAAATGCTCACCATCACTGGCCATCAGAGAAATGCAAATCAAAACCACAATGAGATACCATCTCACACCAGTTAGAATGGCAATCATTAAAAAGTCAGGAAACAACAGGTGCTGGAGAGGATGTGGAGAAATTGGAACACGTTTACACTGTTGGTGGGACTGTAAACTAGTTCAACCATTGGGGAAGTTAGTGTGGCGATTCCTCAGGGATCTAGAACTAGAAATATCATTTGACCCAGCCATCCCATTACTGGGTATATACCCAAAGGACTATAAATCATGCTGCTATAAAGACACATGCACACGTATGTTTATTGTGGCATTATTCACAATAGCAAAGACTTGGAACCAACCCAAATGTCCAACAATGATAGACTGGATTAAGAAAATGTGGCACATATACACCATGGAATACTATGCAGCCATAAAAAATGATGAGTTCATGTCCTTTGTAGGGACATGGATGAAATTGGAAATCATCATTCCAGTAAACTATCACAAGAACAAAAAAACAAACACCGCATATTCTCACTCATAGGTGGGAATTGAACAATGAGAACACATGGACACAGGAAGGGGAACATCACACTCTGGGGACTGTCGTGGGGTGGGGGGAGGGGGGAGGGTTAGCATTGGGAGATATACCTAATGCTAGATGACGAGTTAGTGGGTGCTGCACACCAGCATGGCACATGTATACATATGTAACTAACCTGCACATTGTGCCCATGTACCCTAAAACTTAAAGTATAATAATAATTTTTAAAAAATGTTTTTCTTTGGGAACTCCTATTCTGTTTATATCAGAGCCTCTCAATCTATTCTCCATATATGTTACCTTTGAGTGTGTGTACGTGTGCATTTGTATATGTGTGCATGTGTGTGTATGTGTGTGTATGCATGTGTGTGTATATGTGTGTGTGCGTGCATGTGTGTGTATTGTGTGTGTGTGTGTATGTGTGTGTGTGTTGTGTTTTTCAAAGCTGCTGCACTCTGGTTGGTTTCCTCCACTCCATTTTATTGCTAGATACAGGCTGGAGTCTCTGAATCTATTTGTAACACCTCAGTTTCTCTTTTGAATTTTTCTTTCTTCATTGACTATGTTAGTACTATCTTCCATGACACTAAGTCTCTTTTCTACTATGTCAAGTCTGGAATTTATCCTATCTATTGTGTTTTTTATTCACTCTACTCTTCATCTTCAAAATTTATAATTATTTCTACTTTCTCTCTCCTTATTTCTTTATATTCTGGCCACTTCTAATTTTATACTACTTTTTAAAAAAAAAGTCTGGTGTAAGTTCCTGTACCAATTGCTCATTTTTAGCCTGCCTTTCTTAGTGTGGTGTTTCCTTGGGTAATTTGGAAACTGGCCTTGCTTATTTCAAGGTGAGGATATTGTGTCTCTGCATTTCTGCCTTTCTCTGCCATCTTGTTGTCATTGTCCTCTGTCTAGCAGTGTTTTGTAGCCTCTGCTCCCATCCTGGGTCCCAGGCTTCTGCTCTGCAGTGATGCAGAGCATGTCACAGATAAAGTCATCCTTTCCGAGGACGGCTTGTCTCAGCTTCTGCCCTTGAGGCTGTGTTGATGTCCTCTTGCCTTCCTATGCCCACAGTGCTCCACTAAGTTATACGAAGTTACAGCTCTGGGATGTATCAAGGAGGGTTTCTCAGCCTCCTTTCTGGAGTCAGGGAAGACACACCCATCACTCCCAGGAGGTGGATCTAGGCCCTCTCTGCCTGCCTTGGGACTTGGAGCTGACAGGCCCCTGCCTCTGCCCCATCACCAGCCTGTGCTTCTCCTCCATTCCTTGTTTTATGTGAGTGTGTGTGTGTTTGTGCATGTGTGTGCATGTATATATGTACACACCTGCATACACACACACACACCTGTCTTGGTCTTCTGTCTGTCTGACCTATTGCTGCTCTGTGTGTGGAGCAGAGAGGGTCCTTACTGCACACCTTGCTCAGGACAGTGGACACCGTCCTTAAATGCACACGGTATCGTGTTCACACAGGAGGGTCCCTTTTTTTCCATGATGAATCTGAGGCCAAGTAACCTGCCCAGAGATGCAGGAAGCTCAGCCGAGCCCCAAGCCCACGACCCTCGGACTCCAACCCCAAACCCCCTTGACGGTGTGCACGTCAGCCCGTGTGGGATGGCTGGGGGGCGCCTGTTACTGCCGCACATGTCCCCAGGAGGCCTGCACGCCCTTCACTCCCTTCAGTTTCCTCCCAGGTGAAATCTGCAAACCCGCTCCTCTGGACCTGGTCCTGTCCGGATGATCCTCTGGAATTAACAAGCTGTTATTCACCAGCCTCCAGCAACAATGGCACGTTACCTGCTCCATTGCAGAACTGGCCGTGGTTTACATCCAGGAAGGGATTGGTCAGTCACCTGTGCCAGGTCCCCGGGGGATCCTGAGCCCAGCGGTATAAAGGGTGGCTGTGGGAGTGGCACACCCTCTCCCAGCCCCAGCAAGCAAACCGTCAGGCGGCCGTGGACTCAGATCCCGGAGATGAAGCCCCTGCTCCTGGCCGTCAGCCTCGGCCTCATTGCTGCCCTGCAGGCCCACCACCTCCTGGCCTCAGACGAGGAGATTCAGGATGTGAGGCTTGGATGGGAAGGGTGGGCTGGAGGGGGCAAGGGGCGAGGCTGAGACTGCTGGATGGAGACCACATCCCTCCCCCATCCAAGGAGACCCTCATTTTCGGGTTGGGCGTAAAAGCCCTGCCCTGAAAGATGGTGAGATGGGACAGCAGGAGTCTGGGCTGGGGGGACAGGGATGCAGAGGGGCAGAGCTGGGAAGGTGGGGGTCTGGCTGACTTCACTTCTCTCCTGGGGGTGAGGGCTCCTGTGGTCCTGGCCAACTTGTGGGGGCTGGAGCCACCTTCGGGTGGACCTGGCGAGGGTGCTGGGTGTTTTCTGGGTGGATTAGATTGGGGAATGTTCCCCGTCTCCAGCCTGTGGGGTGCGGTAGAGTCTGGGGGCTGCAGGCCAGGGAAGGGGGAGGCTCTGGAGCGGTCGGCCTGAGCCTGATAGAGAGGGGCCTTCTCCAGGTGTCAGGGACGTGGTATCTGAAGGCCATGACGGTGGACAGGGAGTTCCCTGAGATGAATCTGGAATCGGTGACACCCATGACCCTCACGACCCTGGAAGGGGGCAACCTGGAAGCCAAGGTCACCATGCTGTGAGTGTCTGCCAGCCGGCCGGCCAGCCTGCAACCTGGTCTAGGGCCTTCCCTTTCCCCACCCAGGAGAGCTCTGGTGCTGGGGAGGTGGGCAGACCTGCTGGGAGGCCTCTCTCAGCCCCTCCTACAAGGCTCGGCAACTGGCAGCCTTGAGGGCAAACTGTGCCACTGAAGAACCTCAGCTGGAGGGACCCTGAGGGGGCAAAGGCCCCGGATCAGACCCTGTGAGCTACCAGGGGCAGTGCTGGGTACCACCCACCTCCTCCTAGGACTGAGGAATGTGATCTGCGTGCTGAAGCCTTCTGCTGAGCTGGGGCAGAGGTTTCCGTCTCCACCACCCCCCATTCTCTCCGACCTTGTCAACACCCTCAGATGAAAGTCGAGAGCAAAGGGGCAGTGCTCAGCAAGATACACCTGACAGAGAACGCTCAATGATGCCAGCTGCTGTCATTATTGTGCTAATTAAATACAGAGTAATTCTGGAAGAAAGTGTAAAATAATAAAAATAATAGCCAGGTGTGATGGCTCAGATCTGTAATCTCAGCACTTTGGGAAGCCAAGGCAGGTGGATCACTTGACGTCAGGAGTTTGAGACCAGCCTGGCCAACATGGCAAAACCCCATCTCTACTAAAAATACAAAAACTAGCCAGGTGTGGTGGTGCACAGTTCTCCTGCCTGGTGGTTCACATGATTCTCCTGCTTCAGCCTCCCGAGTAGCTGGGATTACAGGCACACACCACCACACCCAGCTAATTTTTTGTATCTTTAGTAGAGATGGGGTTTCGCCATGTTGGCCAGGCTGGTCTTGAACTCCTGACCTCATGATCCACCCGCCTTGACTTCCCAAAGTGCTGGGATTACAGGCGTGAGCCACTGAGCCCAGCTGTAAGGTTCTTATACTAGATGAAGGTAGACTGTGATAAATTAAAGACATACTATAAACCCTAAAGCACCTGTTAAAGTCAACAAACAAACAAGAAAACAAAAGACTGTCAGTGAATAAGACAACAAATAAACTGAAAAGATTGTTTTAAAAACTAAATTCAAAAGAAGACCAGTAAGAGGGAAAGGGGCCTGGCGCAGTGGCTCACGCCTGTAATCCCAACACTTTGGGAGGCTGAGGTGGGCAGATCACTTTAGGTCAGGAGTTCAAGACCAGCCTCACCAAGATGGTGAAACCCTGTCTCTACCAAAAATACAAAAATTATCCAGGCATCGTGGCATGCACCTGTAGTCCCAGCCACTCAGGAGGCTGAGGCAGGAGAATCACTTAAGCCTGGGAGGCGGAGGTTGCAGTGAGCCGAGACTGTGCCACTGCACTCCAGCCTGGGCGACAGAGTGAGACTCTGTCTCAAAAAGAAAAGAAAGAAAAAAAAATCCATGGCAGACAGAGGCCCTGCAGTGGGATCGGGGTGAAAGTCCAGCATCTGTGACCTCAGACGTGTCACATCCTTGCTCATCACAGCTTCAGCATCGATCACACTGGCATTCATTCATTCAAGAGACATTTGCTGGCTGGGCGCAGAGGCTCACACCTGTAATCCCAGCACTTTGGGAGGCCAAGACCAGTGGATCACCTGAAGTCAGGAGTTCAAGACCAGCCTGCCCAACATGGTGAAACCCTGTCTCTACTAAAAATACAAAAATGTTAGCTGGGCGTGGTGTCAGGCACCTGTAATCCCAGCTACTCGGGAGGCTGAGGCAGGAGAATCACTTGATCCTGGGAGGTGGAGGTTGCAGTGAGCCAAGATAGCACCATTGCACTCCAGCCTGGGCAACGAGAGCGAAACTCTGTCTTAAAAAAAAAAAAGAGAGAGAGAGAATTGCTGAACGCCCACTAAGTGCCAGGCACCATTCTGGTTGCGGCCTCATTGCTGAATAATGCGGGCAGAAACCCCAACTCCGTGGAGTGCCTGCTTGGTGAGAAGACTCCCTTGTAGAACTCTGTGAGGGTCAGAGACGATGGATGGGAGGTCCTGCCAGGAGGAGGCGCTCAGGAAGTTTCTTCGCTGCTCCTCCCCACTCCTTCACTCCTTTCTTGTTGCTCCTCTTTCAGGCCTGGGTGTTTGGGGAGCTTCATTCTCTCATTCCACAGATATGCCTGCAGTGCCCCGCCTGGCCTGTGCTGAGCCTGGTCCAGGTTTGTTGAATGCAGACGTGCTCAGAGAGGTCATTCCGGCTGCTGGTCACTGGGAACTCCGTTGCATCTGCCTCGGGCCCAGGTGCCCCCCTTTCACTGGAGCATCAGCGAAGAGCAGTCACCCCCCTCCCCGCCCTGGGTATGGCAGGCCCAGGCTGCAGAGCTTTCTTCGTGAAAAAGGAGCTAAACATGATCAAGATCTTGCCACGGCCCAGGCAGGAGTCTCACCACACTGCTGGTGTCATCTCATGAGACTGCACAACAAACCTTCGCAGCAGGTCCCCGAGTGTACCCTTTCACAGCTATGGACAGGACCCAAAAGTCTGAGTCGAGCGTGTGTGTCACTACCCTGTATGTGGATTCACAGCCTCTGGCTATCTTAGAAGGTCCTTCCCCCATGGCCTGGCTCTGCCCGTGAACCGTTGAATGTCTCTGCTCCCTTTGCCACTTCCGCCTTCCTGATACTGGGGAACCAGGTCATCTCTCTACTCTTTCCTGGAATCTTCTCTTTTCCAAGGATCATGGTGACTGAGAAACTGAGGAGCTGCACAGGCCCAAGACAAGCCCTCTCCCACCAGCCCACAAATGTACTGCCCATGGGCCGGGCATGGTGGCTCATGCCTATAATCCCAGCACTTTGGGAGGCCGAGGCGGGCGGATCACCTGAGGTCAGGAGTTCGAGACCAGCCTGGCCAACATGGTGAAACCCCATCTCTACTAAAAATATAAAAATTAGCCGGGTGTGGTGGTGTGCACCTGTAATAGCCACTCAGGAGGCTGAGGCAGGAGCATCGCTTGCACCTGGGAGACAGAGGTTGCAGTGAGCTGAGATCGCACCACTGCACTCCATTCTGGGTGACAGAACAAGAGTCCATTTCAAAAAAATAAAAAATGTACTGTCCATGTTTACTGATGACTTTATGTAGTTAGTGGATCCTGCCAGCACAGCCACAGTTCCTGCTGATCTCTGTCCCGCAGTTGACCACCCCGTCTGTGTTTTTGCCCCAGCCTGTATTGCTGGGCTTGAGTCTTCTGTCCTCACGACCCTCACCGGGGACTCAGACACAGCCCTTCTGCTCTGGGGACATGTCAGTCCTTGGCCTGAGCGTCCAGGCTCTGCGCGGCCCCGTTGTCCTTACAGGGACTCCGTCCCTGGGGAAACTTCCCACGTGTCAGAACCTTCCCTTCCTTTGTTTGAGAAAACAAAAAATTCTTCCTCTCTTGACCAGGAGCAGTGGCTCACGCTGGTAATCCCAGCACTTTGGGAGGCCGAGACAGGAGAATTGCTTGAGGCCAGGAGTTCAAGACCAACATAGCAAGATCCCATCTGTTTATAGATCTATATCTATGTATCATCTCTCTATATAGTACATGTAATATGTATATAATATATAATAATCATATATATAATTCTTCCTTTTTTGCGGGGGGAGGGGGTTGGAGTCTCACTCTGTCACCCAGGCTGGAGTGCAGTGGCATGATCTAGGCTCACTGCAACCTCCCCGTCCTGGTTCAAGCGATTCTCCTGTCTCAGCCTCCCAAGTAGCTGGAACTACAGGCATGTGCCACCGCATCTGGCTAATTTTTGTATCTTTTTTTTTTTTTTTTTTTTGAGATGGAGTTTCACTCTGTCGCCCAGGCTGGAGTGCAATGGTGGGATCTCAGCTCACTGCAACTTCCGCCTCCCTGGTTCAAGTGATTCTCCTGCCTCAGTCTCCCAAGCAGCAGGGATTAGGCGCCTGCCACCACACCTGGCTAATTTTTTGTATTTTCAGTAGAGATGGGGTTTCACCATGTTAGCCAGGCTGGTCTTGAACTCCTGACCTCAGGTGATCCGCCCGCCTCGGCCTCCCCAAGTGTTGGGATTACAGGCGTGAGCCACTGTGCCTGGCCAATTCTTCCTTTCTTGAATGCCCTTTTCTGCCATCCTAATTTTCCCATCGTTCAGGGTCAAGGTTGATGCTCACCTTCCCCAGTAAGCCCTCCCTGATGTCTTCCCAATTCCTGTGGGGTAAGCAGGGCAGCTCAGTGGCTGAAGGCACATGCGTCACAGCCAGGAAGCCCTGGTTTTCGCTCTGACCCCACTGCTTCTGGCTGACCCTGGAGAAGCCATCCACGCTGAGCTGCAGAAGGGCCACTACAGCCTGTGTGCAGCCCTCACAAGGCGTATACGGGAATTACTGCAGCGATACGGGGGATTCCTCGAGGAGCTCACTGAGCATGCAGGTGTTACACCCCAGAGCGCGCTGAAATCATTCAAATGAGCCAAGCCTAAGCCTCCCTACCGCCTCGCCCACCCCCTCCCATGGAAACCACATTACGGGCTTCACCCACAGTTCTGCCCTCTCCTGCCTCCTGACCGACTCCAGCACTTCCCCGTGTGGCCCTGTGTGGCTTGGGGTACCCCTTCTCCTGGAAACTGTCGTAAACTATCCTTTCAATGGCAATTATCTCCTGATCTGGTGGCCTTACTGAACCTCAAATTTTCAATAAATACGTTGTTTTTTAAGCCAGGCTTAATAGCATGCACTTGTGGTCTCAGCTACTTGGGAGGCTGAGGTGGGAGGATCGCTTGAGGCCAGGAGTTTGTGGCCGCAGTGCAGTATAATTGCACCTGTGAAGAGCCACTGCACTCCAGCCTGGGCAACGCAGGGAGACCCTGTGTCCAAAAAATAATTATTATATTTTAAAGACAAGCAGACTATGCATGGAGTCCCGAGGGTGAACAGGTGTCGGGGGGCAGCGGGAGCGTGGAGAAAGCCGGGAGGAGGTGGGAACAGGAAACCCTCAGGGTCACACCCCAGAAGGAGAAGGCCCTAGCCTGAATGGGACTGCTGGGAAGGGGCTGAACACCAGCAGGGAGTGGAGCTGCGGAAACACACACGGAAGTGGGGCATGGGTGCTGGGTGGACACTCCACTTCCAGATAAGAGGGGATCTTGTGGATGGTGGTGGAGGCGCTCCTGGCCCTACTGGGCTCCGGCACTCAGCCTGCCCTGCCACAGAGGCAGCCCATACTAGAGGCTACTGCACGTCAGGAGAGGGGCAGGCTCAAAACCAGAAAAGTTATACTCTGGGCTCTGCCAGCCCCACCCTCCCAATCCAGGAAACCCAATTCATCCAAATATGAGTATCAATATCCACCCAAAGATACCAGAGGGAAAAAAGAAACCTAAAAGGAGCGGGTGGCCAGTGCAGTGCTCACTCCTGAATCCCAGCACTTTGGGAGGCTGAGGCGGGAGGATCGCTTAAGCCCAGGAGGTCAAGACTGCAGTGAGTTGTGACTATGTCACTGCACTCCAGCCCAGGCAACAAAGCAAGACCCTGTCTCAAAAACAAACAAACAAAAAGGGAACAGCAAGACTTCCCTGCAGATGAAGAAAACACAGAGAAAACCACTGCCACAAAGCCAAGTGAAAGTGGCAAGCCAGCGGGCAGCCCCATGATGCAGCTGGGGAAGTGGCCAGGGGAGTGGCTGCAGCGGAAATGGCCATGGGGAACTCTGCGGCCCCAGGAAGAACAGGTGGACAGGTGCTGGTGGAACTTAGGAAGGACTGGAAGCAAAGGCCACAGACACAAGTCTAGAGATGCTGTGGAAAGTGCAGCCAGGAAGAAACAGGGACGTGAAGAGGCACAACAGCAGCAGAGCAAGCAGGCAGGAGAGGCGGTGGCGGGGGAGGCAGCAGCAGGGGAAGCAGCGGTGGGGAGGCAGCAGCAGGCAGGTCCTTGGCTGGCAGGGCAGAGCCAAGACAGGACAGACTCCAAGGTAGAAGTCCAGACAACTTTGCTAAAACAAACGAATTGAGGCGGAGCATTACTGCTGAGCTTTGCCTCCTGTCAGATCAGCGGTGGCATTAGATCTTCATAGAAGTGCAAACCCTACTGTGAACTGCGCATGCGAGGGATCTAGGTTGCTCACTCCTAATGAAAATCTAATGCCTGATGATCTGAAGTGGCACAGTTTCATCCCCAAACCATCCCTCCCACCACCCCTACTGTCCATGGAAAAATTGTCTTCCAAGAAACCAGTCACTGGGGCAAAAAATGTTGGTCAAAAGTACCGCTGTACTAGAGTGAATTTTAGTTAACTGAGAGATGATCACAGATAGTAAGAGGAACAGGGAGTGAGCACTCACATATTCAACTAGAGGACAGGGACCGAGATAAAAACAGCAGCAAGTTGTGATGGGTACGTACGGTGTGTTCCCTGCCAAATCCACACACTGATGTCTTAACCCCAAGCACCACAGAACGTGACCTTGTTTGGAAATGGTGTCACTGCAAATGTTATTAGTTAAGATGAGGTCACTAAGGTGGGCTCTAATCCAATGTGACTGGTGTCCTTATTATAAGAAGAGGCAATCAGGACCCACAGACAGGCACAGGGGGAAGATGAGAGGATGCTGTTTGCAGGCCAAGGACAGCACCCAGGAACAGCCTTCACTCAGGGTCCTCAGAAGAAACCAACCCTGCTGATGTCTGGACTGGACCCCTGCCCTCCAGAGCTGTGAACAATGAATTCCTCTCACCTAAGCTGCTCTGCGGTGCTTTGTTAATGGCAGCCCTAGCAAACTCATACACAAAGGTAACAGAATGTGTAAAAAAACAATTTTACAAAGGCAGCTATAACAGTATGAGACAAGAAAGCAGAGAGAGGATGGAAAATAGAATCGCCCTGCTGATTCCTTCATATTATAGTTGGATTCTAAAGACATCACTTAATGCTGACAAACTGAGAAGTTTAGCATATTAAAGAGGACAGAGGCAAATACTAAGAAATATAATAGTATTCATTCAAAAAATGGGTGGGCCGGGCATGGTGGCTCACACCTGTAATCCCAGCACTTTGGGAGGCCGAGGCAGGTGGATCACCTGAGGTCAGGAGTTCGAGACCAGCCTGGCCAACATGGTGAAATCCATCTCTACTAAAAATACAAAAATTAGCCAGGCTTGGTGGCGCGCATCTGTAATCCCAGCTACTAGGGAGGCTGGAGCAGGAGAATCGCCTGAACCTGGGAGGTAGAGGTTGCAGTGAGCTGAGATGGCGCCATTCCACTCCAGCCTGGGTGACAGAGCGAGGCCTGTCTCAAAAAAAAAAACAAAAAAAACCATGGGTGGTAGAAAAGAGAGAGAAGGGAGAGAGGGGAAAGGTTTACAAATTATTTCATAGTAGGGAACTATGAGAACTCTTTTAAAGGTTGAGGGGACTAAAGATATTATTTAAGGGTATGAACAGTAAGTAGCAACTAGACCCAAAAAAAATCAAGCCTTCCTAAAAACCAGAAGAGCTACATTTTTTAAGAGCAAATGCAGATTAAGTAATGACTATATGTAGTAAATGTGAAATAAAACAATTTCAAAAAGAACAAAGTTGGAAGACTCATGCTACCCGATTTCAACACTTACTATAGAGCTGCAGTGATTAAGACGGTGTGGCGCTGGCGAAAGGTTCAGGGGAACAGAACACACAGTTTAGAAATAGACCTACACAGATTTATGGCCAATTGATTTCAGATGAAGGTACAAGGGCAATTCTACGAAGACAGTCTTTTCAGCAACTGGTCCTGGAACACTGGACATCTTTATGCAAAAACGAACCTTCAAAATGGTTATGCCATTTTATTTATTTATTTATTTACTATTTTTTGAGATGGAGTCTTGCTCTGTCTTCCAGGCTGGAGTGCAGTGGCGACAGCTCGGCTCACTGCAACCTCCGTTTCCCAGGTTCAAGTGATTCTCCTGTCTCAGCCTCCCAAGTAGCTGGGATTACAGGCACCTGCCACCACGCCCGGCTAATTTTTATATTTTTAGTAGAGATGGATTTCACCATCTTGGTCGGGCTGGTCTTGAACTCCTGAGCTCAAGTGATCCACCTGCCTCGGCCTCCCAAAGTGCTGGGATTACAGGAGTGAGGCACCACGCCCGGCCACAAGTCCTTTATTATACTGTATGTTTTACAAATATTTTCTCCCACTGTGAGCCTTTTTATCTGTTTTCCTAATTTTTAATTTTTGATGAAGTGCAATAATTGACAGAATGAATAGATAGAAAATTGGCACCAGGTGCAGTGGCTCACGCCTGTAATCCCAGCACTTTGGGAGGCCGAGGAAGGCAGATCACCTGAGGTCGGGAGTTCGAGACCAGCCTGACCAACATGGAGAAACCCCATCTCTATTAAAAATACAAAATTAGCCGGGCATGGTGGCGCATGCCTGTAATCTCAGCTACTCAGGAGGCTGACAGGAGAACTGCTTGAACCCAGGAGACAGAGGTTGCAGTGAGCCAAGACCGCGCCATTGCACTCCAGCCTGGGCAACAAGAGCAAAACTCTGTCTCAAGAAAAAAAAAAGAAAGAAAGAAAGAAAAAAGAAAAGAAAATTGGCAAGGATACAGAACTTGAACTCCACTGGACCTGACATTAAAACACTTGACTCAACAAGAGCAGAAAACATTCTTCTCGAGCACACACAGAACATTTACCAGGAGAGACCACAGTCTGGGCTATGAAACAAACCCTGTTAACTTCAAAAAGATTCAAGTGGTTTTTTGTTGTTTTTTGATACACGGTCTCACTCTGTTGCCCAGGCTGGAGTGCAGTGGCAGGAACATGGCTCACTGCAGCCTCAACCTCCTGGGCTCAAGTGATCCTCCCACCTCAGCTTTCTGAGTAGCTGGGACTATAGGCATAGGCGTGGGCAACCGCCCCAGGGTGATTTTTTAAATTTTTTTGTAGAGACAGGGTCTCGCTGCATTGCCCAGGCTGACCTCAATCTCCTGGGCTCAAATGATCCTCCTGCCTCAGCCTCCCAGTATCGGGATTACAGGTGTGAGCCACCACGCCCCAGCCAAGGACTCAAGTTATACAAAGTATGTTCTCTGACCACAATGAAATTCAACTAGAAATCAGTAACAGAAAGATCTCTGGTAAATTCCCAAATATTTGGAAACTAAATGACATACCTTTAAATAACTCATTAGCCAAAGAATAAATCAAAGGGAAATTAGCAAGTATTTTGAACTGAATGAAAACACAACATATGAAAATTCGTCAGGTATCACAAAAGCAGACTGAACTTTTTAGACCTTACAAATGCATGACTGTCCCCCTTGCCTCTGATCTTCTGCCTGGGGTCTGCCTTTCCCCAATCTTTGTTCACTATACTGAATCCTACATGACACAGTCAACCTATGAAGAAATCCAGAGATAGACTCTCTAAAATAAATGGATTTGGGAATAGCAGCTTATCTGGAATACTGCAACCGTTGAGGATGGTCTTGCAGTGAGTCCTGTTATTGGTCTGTTTGTAGAAATGTCTTGTGGTAAGTCCTGTTGCAGGAATGTGTGCGTGAGGGCTGCTTCATCACCTCCAACTGTTTTAGTTTGACATAAGTGACTCCATTTTGGTACCGGCAACGTTCACAACTTTCCATGTGACTTCAGCACCCTGCACCCCGATCCTTTCCCTGGCCACTTTGCAGGACCACTACCTATGAGACTATGGGTTCCTTGAGAGCTAGGGCTGGGTCTCATTCGCTCCTGAAACTTTCACCCAGCAGAGTGATGGCCCACGCCATGCATGACATGCGTTGCTCAATGACTGCATCCACTCAGCCAGTATGCCAGTCCCCACTGAGCCTCACTCTCAACCTCCCTGGCTGGCATAGGTTCCTTGTGCAGACATCCAGTGGCAGTAAAATATTGCTGGGTTCTCAGCTTCCCCCACCTGCAGCCCTCACTGGCCCACCCAGTTGTCCTGTCTCTGCTCAGGACGAGACCCCCCCCCGCCTCTTCAGTCTCTGTAGCCAGGTGATGGCAGTGGCCTTTTCCAGACCCTCACTGGCCCCTTAGTTCACTATGATGACTTCACCTCTTGGGAACCCATGGGGATGTCTTTCCCTCCAATACATCTACATTTGCCTGACCCAGAATGTAGTTTCAAGATGGGTCCATGCCTGGCTCCAAATCCCCTTATCAGAGTAAGGAAATACCTTAATTCCTAGTTTGCTAAAAACTCGTTATAAATGGCTGTCGCGTCATTTACTGTGTTCCTGTTCTGCAACCATTGAGATGGTCACGTGGGTTTTGCTCCTTTAATCTATTGATATGAATTACACTCTTGATTCTCTGGCATTGAAACTGCTTTGCAATTCTGAATTAAATCCAGTGTGGCACTTTGCTAAACTTGGTTTATTATTGTCTAAAATCTTGACATTGGTATTTGTAGGGACCAGCCCCACAGGGTCCGTGGGTCTCTCCCTCCCTGTGTGCAGCAATGAGAGAGTGTAGAAATACACACACAAGACAAAGAGATAAAAGAAAAGGCAGCTGGGCCCGGGAGACCACTACTACCAATGCTCGGAGACCGGTAGTGGCCCCGAATGTCTGGCTGCATTGTTATTTATTGGATACAAAGCAAAAGGGGCAGGGTAAAGAGTGTGAGTCATCTCCAATGATAGGTAAGGTCACGTGGATCACGTGTCCACTGGACAGGGTGCCCTTCCCTGCCTGGCAGCCGAGGCAGAGAGAGAGAGGAGACAGAGAGAAAGACAGCTTATGCCATTACTTCTGCATATCAGAGACTTTTAGTACTTTCACTAATTTACTACTGCTATCTAGAAGGCAGAGCCAGGTGTACAGGATGGAACATGAAGGCGGACTAGGAGCGTGACCACTGAAGCACAGCATCACAGGGAGACGGTTAGGCCTCCAGATAACTGCGGGCAGGCCTGCCGGATGTCAGGCCCTCCACAAGAGGTGGAAGAGCAGAGTCTTCTCTAAACTCCTCCAGGGAAAGGGACACTCCCTTTCCCGGTCTGCTAAGTAGCGGGTGTTGTTCCTTGATACTTTTTGCTACTGCTAGACCATGGTCCACCTGGCAACGGGCGTCTTCCCAGACGCTGGCGTCACCGCTAGACCAAGGAGCCCTCTGGTGGCCCTGTCCGGGCATAACAGAAGGCTCGCACTCTTGTCTTCTGGTCACACCTATGTCCCCTCAGCTCCTATCTCTGTATGGCCTGGTTTTTCCTAGGCTATGATTATAGAGCGAGGATTATTATAATATTGGAATAAAAGGTAATTGCTACAAACTAATGATTAATGATATTCATATGTAATCATATCTAAGATCTATATCTGCTGTAACTATTCTTGTTTTATATTTTATTATACTGGAACAGCTCGTGTCCTCTGTCTCTTGCCTCGGCGCCTGGGTGGCTTGCCGCCCACAGGTATTTGGTAACTTCCCTTTCTCTTACCTAGTTTTGGTATCAAAGCTAAGTTCACGAATGAAGTGTTCTCTCAATTGATTCTGTTAGAATTTGTCTACGTCTGGAATTACCTGTTCTCTATATCGTGGAACTTCCCTGTAAAACCGTCTAGGGGAACATTCTTAACTACTGACTCAATTTCATCAGTGATTACAACTCAGGCTTTCTATTACTTTTAGTCAGTTTTGGAGATTTTTCTTCCATTTACTTTGAGTTGTTCCAACTTAAGCTGCATGCTTATTTTTCTTTAGCTTTAAAAATACAGACATACAGCGTATGTGTGTATAAATGGCACTATTTATCTGTAGATGCACATACATTTAGGGGCTATGTTTTTTTGTGCTGCTTTAGCTCTGTTCCACAAATCTTAAATTTTTTCTTTTTGAGACAGTCTTGCTCTGTCACCCAGGCTGGAGTGCAGCGGCTCGATCTTGGCTCACTGCAGCCTCTACCTCCTGGGTTCAAGTGATTCTCCCGCCTCAGCCTCCCAAGCAGCTGGGACTACAGGTTTGCACCACCACACCCAGCTAATTTTTTATTTTTAATAGAGATGGGGTTTTATCATGTTGTCCAGGCTAGCCTTGAACTCCTGATCTCAAGTGATCCACCCGCCTCCCAAAGAGCTGGGATTGACAGCATGAGCCACCATGCCAGGCCCTGTTCCACAAATTTTAATACGTAGCATTTTCATTATCCTTTAGTCCCAAATATTTCTAATAGCCATTCGGAATTCTTTAACTCATAGGTAATTTATAAGTGTGTTTTAAAAATTCCAAATATGAAATGCCACTGCACTCCAGCCTGAGTGACAGAGCAAGACTCTATCTAAAAAACAAAAAAAAATAGCTCAAATTTTTTTTAATGACATTGGGATACGGTCAGATAACGACACTGATTCCTTGAAATATCTTAAGACTTCTTTTCTGGACAAAGTAGGTGGTCAGTTTCCATCCATGTTCCATATATGCATGGAAAGAGTATGTATTCTTTTCAGATACTGTTGTGTCTGTCTCTCAGCTCAAGCTCATGCTCACCTCACATCCTATCTTTCACAGGGCTTTTTCATCAGTTGCCTCTGTCTGGTAACAGTCACACCAGCTCCTGTTCAGTTACAGTCTTTGTCTCATAACCGGAGAGTTTCATCAAAAGAATTTTATTTACAGCTTTATCATCCATATGCCACTAAAATTCACCTGTTTTCTTTCAACCTGCACTCATTTTGATTGCCTGGAACTCTGGATTTAATTCTTCCATCCCACTTTGTATCTTGCATTCACTTCACTCTCTCTCCAGCTTTTATTCTTTCTTTCTCTTTCCCTAGGTCCAATGCACTTGACCCAACTCACATGCGTGGACTCCGGGAAGGTACTGCTCCCTCCCTCCAAATTCTGAGCAGTAAAATGCCGCCCCGGGGCACTGGGGAACAGAAAGGAATGAGACCCCAACAGGCAGAAGCCAAGAGAGCGGGGAGGAGCCATGGCGTTCTGCCCCAGGATGCACCACGCCTGGACGTGCTCCCCCGACTCCCAGTGCCAGGTGCCCATATGCCACACCTCAGGGTTGTCCTCTGTTCGGGTGAGCTGCGGACTAACGTGGCCCGGCAGCAGAGGCCACCGTCTTCTGTCCCGTGGCTCCTGCGAACACAGGCAGTGGGGAACAGGCAGTGACTGCCCACCCCCACCGTTCCTCCTCCCTGACCCTGCAAACCTCGGGGAAGCTTTCAGGCCCGGGAAAGCAGACCAGGCCCCAGTCTCCCTCACCCTTTCCCTGGGTCTGAAGGTCCCGGATCCTGCGTTCAAGGATGACGCTGAAACTCTCTCTTTCTCACATGGGATCTGTGATCTGGGCCCTCACAACTCAGCAGAGCACCACTGTGTCCCCCTCACATGGAGAGGCCGAGGTCTGTGGAGATCCTGGGACAGAGCCAGCGTCAAGGACTCAGAGGGTGTCCTGGAGTCTCCTAGGACGGAAGACGGCGGCCCCAGGTGGGAAAGACTCAGACCAGGCCTGCGCGCTCCAGGTCCTGCGGCAGGATGCGGCCCTTCTTGCGGGCTCTGAGCAGGCGGCGCTCGGCGCGGGCCGCCTTCTTCCTGCGCAGGTTCTGCCGCCGCCGGTCCTGGCGCTGCTGCATCTTCTCCACCACGCCGGCCGTGCGCTTCTCCCACCGGCGCTGCCGCTGCGCCCTGCGCTTCTCCTTGCGCTTCAGGGCCTCCTGCAGCAGGCGTTCGTCGTCACGGATCTTCACGCCCTCCGCCTTGTAGAGGAGGTTGGTCCACTTCATCTTCGCCTCCAGCTCCTGCGCCTTCCCCTCATCCTGGCCGCGCAGCTCGTCCAGCCGGCTCTGCCGTGCCTGCAGGCGCTCCAGCAGCTGCCGGTAGTTCCTCCCGGTCAGCGGCGTGAGGTTCCCCTTCACCCTCTGCCTCTTCTCTTTTCTGCGCTGCGCCTTGCTGGCCGGCTCGTCTTCGCTCACCTCCACCTGGGAGGAAGGTATGACATCAGCTCATGCCAGCCCTGCACTAGGCCCCAGCCTTGGCCAGTACCCTAAGGGACCTGCGAGGTCCCCGTCACCACCTTACAGACATGATGGGGTTCGGAGAGAGATCATGAAGCTAACAAGGGGCAACGCTGAGGCCTGAAGCCGACCCAGCCCGCCCAAGGACCCAGCTCCCGCTCACCTTATTGAAGATCAGCCCGGGCGGCTCCCGCGGCTCCGTGCAGGCCCCCTCTGGGGTTGCCTCCACCACCTCCTGGGCCTCCGTGGCCTCCTCAGCCTTCCTGGCCTTCTCTTTCGCCCGCAGCTCCTTTCGCTTCCTCTTCTTCCGGTCCCGTTCCTGCTTTCTCCGCCGCCTTTTCTCCAAGGCGGCAGGGGACAGCTCCTTGGCACTGCCCTGGGGGAAAGAGGCACCCACTCATTAAAGTTCTCTCGATCCCAGGGTCCCCCAGCCTGGCCCATAGTCGAGAAGAATCAGGGCTGGAAGGCAGGTGAGAAAATCCTCACGCAAACAAGGGGCCCGCGGAGTTCAATGTTCCACCATGATGTTCCCCAAAAAGCAAATGACCCCAAAAGAGAGAAGGGACCCCCAAATAAGAATCACAGCTTCCAATTCCCGGGTGCTTACCCCGTGCCAGGATACATTACGCACATGGTTTCAAATGTCATACATCGTTTTATAGATGAGGAGGGTCAAGACCACTGCCTAGAACTTGGAGTTGGCGTCTGAACACCTGTCCTGACCGCTGCCCATTCTGTTCACGAGGTACCCAACGAAGCCCTCCCCAATGGCCTTTCCCATCCCCGGGCCAACAAGAGCCCTACACCAGCCCAAACGAGACCTGTGCTTCAGGAACAAGGGCCCAGAGCCTTGCTCACCTCTTAGGAACCACACACTGTACCTCGGGATGGCGGAGGAGAGTAGCTGGGGACTGTCCCCCACACAGCACGAGGCCTTAAGGAAGGGCCCCAGGAAAAGGGTGGGTAGGGGCCAACACAGGGGAGACAGTACCATTCAGCACAAAGAGCTGCATTGGTGCTTCCTGTGCCTGGCCACTCAGCTCAAGTCCCTACTCAACTCACAGGACTATTACGACATTCAGAGAAACAGACACAGGAGGTGCCCATCCCAGTGTCAGTTCAGCAAAGGCAGCTTCCCAGAAGGAAGGAGGCTGATGAGCTTGGGGACTGAGGTTCTCCAAGAAAATAACTGCTCTCCCAGAGCACACCTGCTGGGGCCCTGCCAGACTCGCTGCAGAGGGGAGAACAGGGGCTACGGCCCCTCGCTGACAGCTGACCCCAGGGAGAACACAGGCAGAGCAGTGACGGCACTCCAGCAAACCTGCCCGCCTACCTGGCCCCGGGCCTCCTGGATCTTCTCATGCAGTCGCTGTCGCAGAACATCCAGAGCAAAGACAGACTCAGGCTCAGTGGCCAGGCCATCTGCAGGGAAGGAGACAGGACTGCAGGGGGCCCTCTCTTCCCCTCCCCCTCCCTCCCTAGGGCCACGAATCCCTGTCCCACTGTGGCCACTCATGGATCTGCAGGGCAATTCCAGTAAATTCCACTCCACCGCTTCAACCTGGACTGGTTCCTACAACATCCTCCAGAACAGGTAACTCAGTGCCTCACGAGGTAGGTCACCGTGGTATGAGAAAACACTTCCTACGGTGCAAGCCAAACCACCTCCTCCAAATTTTGTAGCCTGGGCCCCAGAACAAGTTGGCTCTCACAAGGCCCCTGCAGAGACCTGAGGGCAGGGAAGCTCTTCAAGCCAAGCTGCTCCAGGTCCTCAGAGAGACACAGCCTTGCCCCCTGACATCCTGCTAGCCATGTGGCCTGGAATGCCACACAGTTCCTTCGGTCCCATCCACCCTAGCACTCCTGTGATCTTTGCTCTTGGGGAAGTCTCGTGCTATCCCTGTGCGCCTGCTGCTGCTTTTTTTTTCTTAAGAGCAAAGGGGACCAAGCCCAAGCCCAGCCCCAGCCCCGCCCTGCACAGAACCAACATGCCCTGAAGCCTCTCACCTGCAGGGTTCCCTGCTGAGCTGGAAGCCCAAGCTGCTTCCTCTTTGGCTGCCTCAGGCCTCCTGGCCCCAGAGGCTGCTGGAGATTTCTCCCCCAAGGACTTGGCCTTGTGCTCAGCAGCCTTCTCTTCTCGCTTCCGGAATTTCTTTTGTGTTTTCTTCCTTTTCTTTTTTGGGGGCCCTGCAGTTTCTGAGCCTTGAGTTTTGCCAGCTGAAATGCAAAATAAGAAAGAGTTAAGTCCCAATCTCATGGCCCATTCAATAGGCAGGAAAGGCTCACCAAGGCTTTGATCCCAGGAAGATGCCGAAAGAGGATCAGGATCGGGGGCCAGAGACACTGATCCTAGAGCTCAGAACCACAACCTTGACCCAGTAGTTCTGCTTGTGAGAATTCATCAGGCACAAAGATGAGGCTTCAAGGACGTTCATCACCATTATTTGAGTGAAACATTAGAAAAACCTGAATATCCACCTCCACTAACAATTTCTGGCCCTGCTTTACAATAAGCTACCATGCTGCCATCAAACACAATGGCAAGGGCTTTCATTTTAGCTGCTGGGGGTTATGTTTACATTTTTTCTTTTTTGAGATGGAGTCTCAATCTGTTCCCCAAGCTGAAGTGCAGTGGCGCAATCTCTGCTCACTGCAAACTCCACTTCTCGAGTTCAAGCGATTCTCTTGCCTCAGCCTCCGGAGTAGCTGGGACTACAGGCGCCCACCACTGTGCCCGGCTAATTTTTGTATTTTTGGTAGAGACGGGGTTTCACCATGTTGTCCAGGATGGTCTTGATCTTCTGATCTTGTGATCCGCCCTCCTCAGCCTCCCAAAATTCTGGGATTACAGGCATGAGGCCGCACGGCCGGACAATGTTTACATTTTAAATGGGAGAAATCAGTCTAAGTAAAGTAGGAGCTGAATCGTTTTAATGAAAAAAAAAAAAAATTTCAAAAAGGATGAGAAAGACAGACGGAAGACATACTAGGTAATGAGAAAATTCACTTAAGATTTTGGATTTGCTATAACCAATATATCGTCCTTGAATAAAAAGGAAACCCCGTTTTACCTCTGGTGGTTCCAGAGACCCTGCTGCTCTCCTCTCCTCCTGGGCCCAGACAGCACTGACACGTCCCCGCTGTCGGCTTCCCCACCCGATTATCTACTTCCCTTGTGCAGCGTGGTCACCAGGCCATGAGAACCCTAAGCGCAGGAGCCCTCTGCCATCCTCCTCCTCCCCACACCGCACCATGCCCGTAGTGAAGGGACTGAAAGGGTCTTTTCCCACTGACTGACCATTACTCCTGTCTCTACTAAAAATGCAAAAAAAAAAAAAAAAATTAGCTGGGCGTGGTGGCGGGCGCCTGTAGTGCCGGCTACTCGGGAGGCTGAGGCAGGAGAATGGCGTGAACCCGGGAGACGGAGCTTGCAGTGAGCCGAGATCGCGTCGCTGCACGCCAGCCTGGACGACAGAGCGAGACTCCGTCTCCAAAAACAAAAACAAAAACAAAAAAAACAAATAAGGGAAACGGCGATAATTTCACAAGTCACTTAGATTTTTTTTCTAGTACTTTACAGACTCGTCTACACCGGCTCCGGCCGCGTCCCCCGTTTCGCAGGCCCCTTAGTCCCGGCCCGGCCCTGTGCGTTACCCCGCGTGCGCGCCTGCTGTTCCGGGGCCGAATGGGAGCAGATCTTCTTGGCCAGGCTCTGCAGGTAGGCGTCCTTGGCGAGTAGAGAGGCCATGGCGGAGACCCGGGCCGTTCACGACTCACACCTTCCCCGCTGCGCGTGCGACTCTCACCACCTCCGCCGGAAACCACCACACGGGCAGGCGCGGCCAAACGAACGCCGAGCCGCCAGCCCGCGCGCTCGATTAGCCAAGCCTGACTCCGCCGGAAGCGGCGCGCGGGGCGGGGCGCACAGCATTGCGGGCCGAGGACAGCCAATCTCCGCCCGGAGTCGGTGCAGCAGGGCACCCCCGGGGCCTGGCCTCAGTGCCTCTATCACCCCGGTCCCGCACGTGTTCCTGTGCTCCCCTCACCCCCAACCCCGACACAGCAGGCGCTCATGAGTAGGGGCGAAATGAATGAATGACCAGCAGTACATTCATTCCGTCCTTTGGAGTGGGGGGCCTCAGGTCTCAGGCGGACACAGACTGAGCGCCTGGCACGTGGCAGGCCCTAGGTTCAGTCCTAGGGGACACAAGCAGTGTGTCACACACACAGATGTGTTCTCGGCGAGTGTCTGCCGTAGAGGTGACTGATAAACCTGGCAAGCGTGTGACTGTCAGGTGAGGGGAGCGCCAAAGAAAGCCCAGGGGAAAAGGGAGAAGTGTTGGGCGGGAGGGAGCCTGCATGTTCAAGGAAGACCCCCTGGGCAGTGGCTTTTGCTCTGAAAAATAGAATTACACACTACGATTCCCTCCCCCACCCCGGTGACGGAGTCTCCCTCTGTCGCCCAGGCTGGAGTGCAGTGGCAAGATCTCGGCTCACTGCAACCTCCACCTCCCGGGTTCAAGCAATTCTCCTGCCTCAGCCTCCCGAGTAGCTGGGATTACAGACGTGTACCACCACGCCCAGCTAATTTTTGTATTTTTAGTAGAGACGGGGTTTCACCATGTTGGCCAGGCTGGTCTCGAACTCCTGACCTCAGGTGATCCGCCCACCTCCGCCTCCCATAGTGCTGGGATTGCAGGCATGAGCCACCGTGCCCAGCCCACACTGCGATTTTTAACACAAGATGTGGTCTTTATAATAACTCACTAGGGGCAGGAGAAAAGAGAGGTCATGGCCTGAGGCTTGGGACCACCACACCCCAGTTCCTGCACTGGAAAATTACAGGCTCATTAAGGACCCAGAGCCCCTTCCAGGGCCACCCCGTTGGTAGAGAAGGGAGAACTTAAGAGTCTTAAATTACAATTTGAAAAGGTGGCTGCTGATATATATATTAGAAACAGAACTGTTGTATTTGAAACAGAACTAAACTTTCTTCCCCTAACTTCTGCCATGAGGTGATTTAAAAAAATTTTTTTGGCCAGGCGCAGTGGTTCACGCCTGTAATCCCAGCACTTTGGGAGGCCAAGGCGGGAGGATCACTTGAGCCCTAGAGTTGGAGACCAGCCTGGGCAACATAGTGAAACCCTGTCTCCACACACAAAAAAATTTAAAATTAGCCAAGCGTGGTGGCCGGCCCCTGTAGTCCCAACTACTCAGGAGGCTGAGAAGAGACGATTGCTTGAACCGGGGAGGCAGAGGTTACAGTGAGCCAAGATCACGCCACTGCATTCTAGCCTGGAGTGCCAGGCTGTCTCAAGATATATGTATTTTTTTCACTTTTAAAAAAGGCAGTCAAATTTAGCAGTGTGGGGGTCGAATGCCAACTATAGTGACACTAAGGTTAATTAGTTCTGACATCCCACTGCCATTCAGACCAGCCTAGAGGTGATGTTTCATGGAGGATAGGCGTGACGCTGCTGCTGACTCCCCTGAACTGCTGGGTATCTTAACACCATCACCTACTGAGTTCAGAATGGGCATCTGACCCCCCAAGCCCCATCTCTTCCTCTCACTGTCAACCCTTTTTTCAGTTAAAGCGGCTCCATCCTTCCAGGTGCTTGGGCCAGACCTTGAAACCACTGACTCCTTTCTTATTCCCCACATCCAATGCTTCAGCAAATCCTGTCAGCTGTGCCTTCAGAGCACCTCCAGAATCTCAGTGGACCCACTCCCATCTCATCACCACTTTGGTCCTGTTTTATTTATTTTTTGAAATGGAGAGTCTCACTCTTCCTCCCAGGCTGGAGTGCAGTGGTGTCATCTTGGCTGACTGCAGTCTCCACCTCCTGGGTTCTGCCTCAGTCTCCTGAGTAGATGGGACTATAGGCGTGTGCCACCATGCCTGGCTAATTTCTTTTTCTTTTTTCTTTTTTTTTTTGAGGTGGAGTTTCGCTCTTGTTGCCCAAGCTGGAGTGCAGTGGCCCGATCTCGGCTCACTGCAACCTCCGCCTCCCGGGTTCAAGCGATTCTCCTGCCTCCGCCTACCAAGTAGCTGGGATTATAGGCATGGACCAGCACGCCCGGCTAATTTTTGTATTTTTAGTAGAGACAGGGTTTCTCCATGTTGGTCAGGCTGGTCTGGAACTCCCGACCTCAGGTGATCTGCCCGCCTCGGCCTCCCAAAGTGCTGGGATTACAGGCGTGAGCCACCGCGCCCGGCCAATTTCTATACTTTTTAGTAGAGACAGGGTTTCTCCATGTTGGTCAGGCTGGTCTGGAAATCCCGACCTCAGGTGATCCGCCCGCCTTGGCCTCCCAAAGTGCTGGGGTTGCAGGCGTAAGCCACCGCGCCCGGCCGATTTCTATACTTTTTAGTAGAGACGGGGTTTCTCCATGTTGCCCAGGCTGGTCTCAAAACTTCTGACCACAAGTGATCCACCCGCTTTGGCTTCTCAAAGTGCTGGGATTACAGCAGGAGCCACTGGGCCTGACCTGGTCCTGTTTTAGATTTTAAGACTCCAAAATAACAACCAAATGCAACACACAATAAAAACAGGCATAAAAGCCTTTCAGCTGGAACCGCCACCTTCCAGTAATTCGCCAAAATGACGAACACAAAGGGAAAGAGGAGAGGCACCCAATATATGTTCTCTAGGCCTTTCAGAAAACATGCAGTTGTTCCTTTGGCCAAGTATATGCAAATTGATGAGAAAGGTGATATTGTAGATATCAAGGGAATGGGTACTGTTCAAAAAGGAATGCCCCACAAATGTCACCATGGCTAGACTGGGAGAGTCTACAGTGTTCCCCAGCATGCTGTTGGCACTGTTGTAAACAAGTAAGGGCAAGATTCTTGCCAAGAGAATGAATGTGCATATTCAGCACACTAAGCACTCTAAGAGCCGAGAGAGCTTCCTGAAACGCGTGAAGGAAAATGATCAGAAAAAGAGGGAAGCCAAAGAGAAAGGTACCTGGATTCAACTGAAGCGCCAGCCTGCTCCACCCAGAGCAGCACACTGTGAGAACCAATGGGAAGGAGCCTGAGCTGCTGGAACCTCTTCCCTATGAATTCATGGCATCGTGGGTGTTAAAAAAATAAAAGACCTCTGGACTAGAAAGAAAAAAAATAGGCATTAAAAAAACTATTTGGGGAACAACTGAAGAAATCTGAATACAGCTAGATACCAGAGGATATGCAATCATCATCCATTCTGGTTGTGGTGATGGACGAAGGAGAATGTGCTCAGAGAGGCAAACTGACAAGTACTTCCATGAGTTCCACTGCCCTCAAAATAAAAAGCTTGGGATAAAAGAGTTACATGGACTGAGAATGGGCCGGGGCTTAGCAATGTGGAGGCCACTGGTGACCTTAATAGGTGTAGTTTTGCTAGAGTCATGGAGACAAAACCTGTCTGACGTAGGCCCAAGAGAGAACTGCAAATGGTTATCAGCTGCTTCCCCGTGGAGCTCTGCTGCCAAGGCCATGAGCTGGAGAGGAAAAAAGGTCAGCAGAGCGGCTTGGCTTTAAGAAGGAGAAATAACTTGATTTTCACATGGGAATGATGGTCCTGGCCAAGCAGAAAATGAAGCTGATGGCAGGTCTTATCGCTCAGGATTTTAGGAACAGGGTAAGTGGGATCCCACCACAAAGTCTGGCCAGTTCCTTCCGGGCTCTCGCTTCATATATGCTTCCATCTGGTTGTAATCTTTTTCTTCCTCAGTGGTTAAGTACAAGGCATTTCCACAGCTAAAATAGTGCGGGAACAGATCACCACACGTATCAATGGGGAAATTCTCCCTCAGAGGGGAAGCAACTTCCCTAGGCCACCCCAGAAGCCAGGTCCAGAGCCAGGACTGGGCCTCAAGCTCCTGTCTGTCTGGTGCCTTCTGCTTGGCTGTGGGGTTCTCTGGTTCAGGTGGTGATGGGTCAGCTGTGTTCTTACCTGTCCCCAAGGCTGGATCCTGGGCTGTCACCTCATTCATACATCGGGAAAGATGATGGCCTCCCCCATGAGAAGATGAAGCACATGGATGGTGCTGGAGGAACTGGGGTGGGGTGCTCCCCCACACTTCCTGTGGACGAACTGTGCTCCCCCCACACTTCCTGCCCAGTGTTGTGACTTCTGCATTTCTAAGGTGAGCCTGGCACCAAAAGACACTGGGTCTAGACTTCCATCAGGTTCAAGTTCTGATTCCTGCCACTTCACTTCCTAGCTCTGTGGCCGTGGTACACCTCACCCCTTCTAAGTCCACATCCTCTCCTCTCTAAAATACCGGCACTAGGAGCACCGGCTCTGGTAGCAGTGAGGATGAGATGCCAGCAGAGGCACAGGTGCCTGGATGTGCAATGATGGCAGCAGGTCCATTCACTGAATACTGGGGACCTACCAGGTGCCAATGAGGAGAGAGTGACCTTGGGCCAGGCTGTCCAGGCAGAGCTGAGGAGCTGCTGCTCGGACAACTGCTGGGAGACCAAGGATGGTCCTGGACTGACAAGGAATGAGGAAGAAAGAGCAGCAATGCAAAAAAGTGGCGGTGTTTTAATCAAGTCTCATTACAACGGCAGAATTAGGAATGAGTCCCACCTAGCTTCCACATGCGTGGGCAGCAGCTGTCACACGGGCCTGTCGTGGCACTCAGCCCATGGCACAGACATATGTGGCTCAGGGCAAGAACCAGTGGATGGGGCTCTGCACAGGAACGCTGGCCTCGGGATGGGAGACCCGGCCTGCCCAACACTGCTCAGAGCCCCTCCCAACTCTGACAACAGGCTCGGGTCAGGACTCCCCGAAATCAGGCACCCTCCTGCCCCACTGCTGAGATCCCCAACGGGCCAGACCTAGCTTGGAAACTTTCTTCCACCTGGCTGGCCAGGAAGGCAGCAAACAGAGATGATGACTCGGAATGATGGGCTATTCGGAAATGGCTAGGGAAACAACTGTTTCCCTACTGTCCTGGCGGGACCCACCCTGGGCTAACGGGCTTCCCAAGGAAGTCCTAGTGGCTCTGGGGTCCTGAAGTCCCCAAATGGGAACCTAGGCTGAGAGAAGCAAGGCTGTGAGGGCATCCAAAGGGCTGCCTCAGGTTTTGTTCCTGAGAACGAAGCGTGGCCCCGGAGGCTCAGGCGTGCTCAGTGGGGCCAGGGCCACCAGCATGGGAGTGGGCAGGGGCTGCCACCTGTAGGGGGCCAGCACTGGGCTCCGGGGACGCCAGCAGAGGGGCCGAGAGGCCATCAGCAGAGTCTGTGTCGAGGTCCAGCCTCCCGTAAGCTTCGCACAGAGGCAGGTCATTAGCTTCGCAAAGGCTTGAGCTTTTCCACCACCAGAAACCCCAGGGAGAGACAGGAGCAGGCAGAGAGGAAAGCCAGGGGAGGGGAGAGCAAGACAGAAGCAGAGTTAAGAAAACACGACCACACCCCAGACCTGCCTTTCCCTTTCTCCACTCCTGCTCCATCTGTCCCCTGAGTTGGCAGGCCTGGCAAGGAGAGGCGGCCAGTGGTGAGAGCCACCCTAGCATTCTGAAAGGAGGAAGCCGCCCTGGCCCAACCACCAACAGCTGTGTGACCTCAGCAGGCCCTTCCTGCCCAGCCTCCACGTGGGCCTGTCCTAGCCTATGCCTCCCAGCTGGTGCTGGTCCCCCTCCTCTTGCAAAAAGCTGTCAGCCTGGCCACCCTCCCTCCTCCCTGACTGCAGAAACCCCAGTGTCACTACACTGCAAAGAGCTCTCTGAGGGCAGACTGTGTTCTTTCTGGGTCTGTCCCTGCCTGAGACTTAGCCTGAAGGGGGCGACAGTTGGGAACACAGGCCCTGGCACTTCCCGATAGCCCTACATCAGCCAGGCGGCCTCCAGCAGGCGTCCCCACCTCTAACACGGGGAATCCTCACGGCAGCCAGGATGCAGGTGAAGAGCTCAGCTAGCCCTTCCCATGCCCGCAGCTGTGACAATCCACGCTCGCCTCTTTCTAACCTGCAGGCAGGGGCCCTGGCTTTCCCGCGGCCTGCCTCGCCCCTGGCTTCCTCCCTTGCTCCTGCCCTCAGTGTTCAGTCTCAGAACCGTCCTGGGCACAGAGTGGCATCCCGAGGAACGCAAAGGAGAGGCAGAGCCAGAAAGAGCAACTAACAAGCAGAGAGGGGGCAGGCGAGCACAGAGGCGCAGCTCATGCGGAACAGGGCAGGGCAGGGCAGGGAGCGGAGCGCCCTTTGGGGGACCAGCAAGAAGGGGCAGAGGAAACTCGGCCAGGACCTGGTCGCTTAAAGGCAATGTACAGAGGAGGGCAACTGCTTCTGCCACAGGGGCTGTGTGAGGCCCCCCAGGGGGCGCTGGTGTGGACAGGAGGCCTGCGGGAGGGGACACAGGCTGGCCTGGAAGCCCCGCTGGGTGAAGCTGAGGGACTGTTGGGGGAGGGCATGGGAAGCCTGGCACAGATGTCCTGGGTTTGCGCCCTGCTCTGCTGCAGGGCCGTGAGCAGGTTCCCTCTCTCCCTGCCCCAAGGCAAGGCAGGCAGGCTGAATTACAGGCCCACAGCTGCTCTGTGCAGGGGCCCTCAGGGACGGTGGCTGCCTCAAAGAGACCGACAAACTGAACAGCTGTGGAAGGAGATGCCCAGAAGGGTCTGAAACACCCCAGGACCCCTCTCAGCCACCCTAGTGTGGAGGAAATGCTGCCTCATGTCTGCTGAGTTAATGAGTACTGGGGACCAAAGATTCCCTCAGAACCCCCTGGAAAACTCTAGGACTGCTGCAGCTCAGCAGTGCCACTGAGCCCAGGGCAGGGAAACCAAGCCCCAGGTCATGCTGGCTCTGGATATCTGTGGCTCCCAGCATGGCCAATGGGCAGAAAGGAGTATTTTAAATCCACCACCAGGAAGGAAAGGTTTGTCCAGGAGAAGGCACAAGATGGACATGGACTCTGCATCTGCTGGACTGAATCTTGATTTTCTAAGCTAATGGGGCAGAGTGGAAGGCCTCCCTGTCTCCAGCCTAAGTTTCCCCCTAAGTAAATGATACGTAGACTCTGATTTCTCAGGGCCCCTCCAGCTCAAACGGTCGAAGGTTTCAGCTTCTTACGGAGCCCCACAAGGGTCAGGATGATGGGTTTTGACCCTTCTGCATCCCTGGGACCCAGCACGGGGCCTGGCACGTAGGTTGGCTCCAGCTCCGTGGATAAGGCTGAGTGGGTCACGAATTGGAGCTCCAATGGCTTTCAAGGCCATTCCCTGCCTGGGCTTCATCCCCCACATTCCCATGACTGTCCCTGCCTCCACACTGGGGTTTGGTGACATCCACATGGAATTGCATCCCTGGTGCCCTGGACATAGGTGTGGACCTGACTGCCCAAAAAAGGCTGGCCCAGCCTTGGCTGAAATCTCTACATATGGATTCAGAAGGTAACAGGAGCAGCACAGCCCCAGAACGCACTGCCCGAGGAGGAAGGCTCTCGGAAGAGGGCCTGCGGGGGATACAGCCAGGCGCCTCCCTTCTCCAGACTCGGCCTATCCGACTGGCGTGAGTCCTGTGGTTTTCATCACATTGCACTGTGGGAAAGGCCCAGGGCCCTGGCATATGGATGTGAATTGTCTGTCGGTCAAACGCTCTGGCCAGGAGCTCTGCTCTGAAACCCAGGCATGGCTCCACTGCTAAGACCAGCAAGAATTTGAAAAAGCAGAAGGCAGCCCTGCCTGCTGGCCAGGCCCAGGTAGGCAGGCTCCCGCTCTGCATGGGGAGTCCAGCGCTATTTATACCTGGACGAGTAATACTCCTCCTCCAGCTCGTAGAGGTCAATGGAGATCTCGTCTCGCAGCGTGATGAGCTTCCGGTCGCACTCCTCCTGCAGTGTGCGCAGCTGCTGGTTGCGCTGGTCAATGGCCTCGTTCACGGAGGGGAAGTCATTGAGGATCAGGAACTGCTTGAGGTCGGACACCAGCTTCATCAGGGACTCGCCGGCTCGGACCTGTGGCCATCAGAACCAGGGCGGGCACAGGGTGAGGGGGGACAGCGGCCTTGCCTACAAGTAGCTGATGCTGGGCAAGGGATGGCCTCTCTAGGAGCCTCAGCTTCCTCATCTGCAAAGTGGGACTCTACCCCTGACCTCCACAGGTTCATGTGTGAGAATTAAGTGAGAAAACTGGGATGTCAGTTCTGCAGGGCAGGCCCTCCCCTCTCGTCAGCCTCTGGCTTCCACTCCTGCAGGACTGGCCTCCAGTCCAATTATGCAGGTGTACATTCTGCTCATGAAAAACTCAAACCCCACAGATAAAACTGCGATCCCATTTTGCCTCCTGCCCCGGGGTAGGATTAACATGGCTGCCAGCTGGGCAGAGCTCCTGTGGGACCTTTTTCCATGCATTTTGAGCCCTGGACGTGCACCTGCGGAATTATCTGCTTGCTGTGTTTCTCCTGTGATCCGAAGGAATCCAATGGCGCCTACAGTTCCATTCGGCTGTTTGTCTTTTCACTCACAACTGACCTTAGGAACTCCTGAGTTAGCAGGAAGGGCTACCCTCTTTCTGGCCACTGCACGGCTACAGGACGGGCATGGGTGGCTCTCTGCCCAGCCCTCCTCCAAGTGCCCCACGTGAGGACAGTCTCCTGAGAAATGATTTGCCCCCACCTCATTCTTTAAAGCTGCCGAGTGGTGAAACCAAAGCATCTCTACATTTGCCTCCTTCTGCTCCTTCTCGGGGGAAGAAGACCAGACCAGCCCCAGAGCCCCCTCCACTCCACCCAGGAAACCTGAGGGGACTGATGCTCTTGGAGCCCAGGCCGTGCCCTCCACCCTGGCCACTCACGATGTTGGCGGCTCGCACATGCATCTCGTAATTGTCCTGTTCACCCTGAGTGGCCCGTGACACCTGCGTCTCGTCCTCAATCTGGGGGAAAACAAGAAAACCTAGAAATCAACCCAGCCAAGGCATCCCCACCCCTGGCCCGGCCCAGCCCAGCTTACGGTAACTGTCATCTACCCAGGATGTCCACACTGGCCACAACCTGTCTGTGGTGCCATCTACAGACCTAAGCGCTGTCAGCCAGACCTCTGACAAGGTTCAATTCCACCCTCTCTTGTTCTGGCCATGGGAGACAACATGCACCTTTGCTCAAGACAAATAGAGGCAACCCACGCTGCTTGCTGTACTAGGTGCAGGGATGGGGGCTTATCTTGGCCCGGTCTTTTTGGGCTGTGGGAGCCCTGTTTGGTAGGAACCGTTGTCACTTGCTTGGCATTTGGTAAACTGTTGGATGAGTGAAGGGATGATTTAAGTTTTTTTTCGCGACCATTTCCTGATCACTTCCCAGGTGCCAGGCTGTGTCATGCACTTGACCACCATTAACCCATGCCAGTTTCACAGAAGCCTGGCCTGCCACCCCTGGTGTATAGGTGGCCAAGCGAGGCTGGATGGGGCTTCCCGGCAGGCCTTGCAAAGGCTCAGTTCGGGGTGGGTGTCAGGTACCCTCAGTGGTTAAGACCCAGACTTCGTGGGTTCAAATCCTGGCTCAGCCAGTTGTGAGCTGAGTGACCTTGGGCAAGTCACTAAGTCTCCTGGGCCTGGGTTTCCTCCTGAAATGAAGAGGACAACAGTGCCCACCTCACAGAGTCCTCATGAAGATTCAGCAGAACAGGCACAGATAACCTCACAACGTGGCTTGATACATGGCAAGCACTAAGTACATGCTAGCTTCCATCCTCATCATCATCGCTTATGGAGCCTGCCAGGTCTGCAGCAGCCAGGAGGGATCCAGCCCAATCTGATGCAGCTGTAGCTGCAGTGGTCAGCAGGCTTGCAGGCCCCAGTGCTGACCGCTCCACCTGCCTGGAGGCCCCCCCCCACTTCTCCCCTCAGTCTGCTTTTCTCCTGCTCATTGGCTGTGTGCCAGGCCCCGAGGTAACTGTTTTACACAGATAAACTCACCAGTCATCACAAGGACCCCACCATGCAGGAGAAACTGAGGCACTAAAAAGTGAAATCTCCATCCAAATCCATACTGTTAGTAAGGGCTGGACGTGCCATTATTTGGTTTGCTTATCTACTGACCAGCTCCCTGTGCACTGGGTGCTTCCTGCCTAGAACACTATTCACTCGCGCTGCTCAGCCCCTGGCCTCTCCTGTCTCCACCCCTTCTCAGACTCTGCTCCCCTTGGTGGGCCACCCCACCCCCACCTTGGCGGTCTTGATGATCTCGGTGAAGTTGTCCATGATGGACTTAATGTCGTCCTTCAGCCGCTTGTTGTAGGACTGCAGCAGCGTCTCCTTGCTCTGGGGCAGGGCTCTCTGCTGGGCCATGGCCGAGCCTCAAGCAGCGCAGCGGGGAGACCTGGGACCTAGAGTGCAGCACAGACCTCTGAGTGCAGGCAGAGTCTACCCCAGCCACCCTCTATGCCCCAACCTTAGCAGAACACGCAGATTTCTGGGGATTCCCTTTCTGCCAAATAAAGTCAATCACTGAAACACAGATGAACTCATTCCATCAGCAGACACCGCAGGGGGTGCCAGGACTGGCCCCGCCTTTGCCAGAGCAAGCTCATCCTGGAACTCCTGGCCAGCCCTCCAAGCCCTGTCCAGGGCTCCAGTCCAGACTTCACGTCCAGGCCCACAGCGTGTCCCAGGGAGCCCTGCAAACTCAACACCAGCTCCCCGTCCCCAGCCCTTGGCTTAACTTCTTAGCCCGCCGCCACCTTCGCCACGCCCTCCCATCCGAAGAGTCCTTCCAATTCGACCCCTCTGCACCGCCTACATCCACGCTTTCCTTCCACTCCCACTCAGGCTGCCCCGCTCCAGACCTCATCCCTGCACTGCGGGCCCCGCTCCCTCCAGTCTCTGCGCGGCAGGGAAGAGGTCCTAAAAAGTGGTCATTCCAACCGGGCGCGGTGGCTCACGCCTGTAATCCCAGCACTTTGGGAGGCCGAGGCAGGGATCACCTGAGGTCAGGAGTTTGAGACTAGCCTGACCAACATGGTGAAACCCCAACTCTACTAAAAATACAAAAATTAGCCGGGCGTGATGGCAGGCGCCTGTAATCCCAGCTACTCGGGAGGCTGAGGCAGGAGAATCGCTTGAACCCGGGAAGCACAGGTCGCAGTGAGCCGAGATCGCGCCACTGCACTCCAGCCTGGGCGACAGGGGGAGACTACGTCTCCAAAAGAAAAAAAAAAGGGGGGTAATTCCACTCCCTCGCTTAACATCCCTCATGGTTCCCCGGTGCGCCGGGACAAGGGGCTCAAGTTCCGCGCCGCGCCTCTCGGCCTCTGCCCTCCAGCCGCACTGGACGGCCTCGGCGCTGGAGTTGCCTGGCCCTGGGGCCGGGCCTTTGCGCGCGGTGCTCAGGGAGGGCCCGGGGCCCCCTAGGTTCGGAGTCTGGCGCACGACCGAGCGGACTCCTGGACGCACTCGCATTGTTTGTGCCCATTTTTGGCGGGGTGTGGGAAATAAGTCACACGCAGGAAAGGGGATCTCCGACCCCAGCGCCTACGCACCCACCCACCCCCACTCCCGCCCACACACCCACCCCCCCTCCATCCCCACCCCCCACCACACCCTCATACCCGCCCCAGCGCCCGCACACCAGACGCCGCGTCCGCCGGGTCGGCCTAGGGCGGGGTGGTCAAGTGCCTCTGCGACCCGCACTTTCCCGCGTCTCTCCCACGGCCTGGCCCTCCCGCCGCAGTCTCTCTTCCCCGCCGCGCCGCGGTCCGAAAACCTAGTCAGCCGCCGCAGCCTCTCGGCCCCGCCTCGATTTTTAGCTTTATAGGAATGCTGTTGCTTTAAATCCGAAATCCCGTGCCGGTATCAACTCTCGCGATCTCCGAGGCCGCATACATATTACCCACAATTCCCTTTCCTTTCTCTCTCCTCCCGCCGCCCAAGATGGTGAGTGAGCTGTAGTTCCGTGGCACTATAGCCAGGTTCCGGCTGTATCCGCTGCCATCCTCCTCCAGGCGCGGCCTCGGAGGGCCTCCTGCTCCTCCTGGCGCTAGGAGAGCCCCACTCGGTGTGGCACGGAGACACCGAGGTGGATTAGAGCCCCACTTGGTGTGGCACGGAGACATTGAGATGGACTAGAGCCCCGGGCGGCCGAGAGCGGAATGCGTTGTTCCCGGTGTCGCAGGGCTGGGTGTCGCAGGCCTGGAGCACCGCAGTGCGGGGCTCGGAGCCCTAGCGTCTCTCGGGCTTGCTGGGGGCCGCTCCAGAGGCCTTGTGAGCGACGAGTTCTGAGCCCGCCCCTGTTGCTTCTAGAGCCTGTGGGGCCGCGACTCAGAGGAGTCATGAGTCCGGGGTGTCTCCTGGGTGGGCGACGCGAAGAGAGCGTGGTCTCGGGCTTAGCCTTGCTCTGGCCACTCGGGGTTCCCGGGGCTGCATGCTTGTGCGGCTGAATGTGAGATGCTCCTGTCGAGGGGTGGTGCTGGGGGGTTGCAGAAAGCTGCTCGCCAGCTTAGTTCAGGCAGGTGCTGTCAGCGTCCCTTGTTTTGGAGGAGCCAGCCTGAGCCCTACCCCCGACGAAGCGAGTGGAGGCGGCGGTTTAACTGACGTTTTCTTTCTGCCCAGCCGAAAGGAAAGAAGGCCAAGGGAAAGAAGGTGGCTCCGGCCCCAGCTGTCGTGAAGAAGCAGGAGGCTAAGAAAGTGGTGAATCCCCTGTTTGAGAAAAGGCCTAAGAATTTTGGCATTGGTAAGTAACAAACGGCAGAATGAAAACGGTCTATGTTTTTCTCAAGGGAAGGTGGTAATTGGGTTGTGTTGTATCTTGTAGGTTTTAGTGGGTGTAAAGTGGTCGCAGTCCTTAATTTGTGTCTCTTAGAGACGGGGGCAATGATACATGCTTCTTGCTTTCATTGGGAGTTGCTGAGCGAGCATTCAGCTCAATATGGTAGTGGCCTTGAATTCAGCTTAGCCATCTGGAAACAAGTACAGTAGCAGTGTCGCAGCGAGGTACTAGGACTGCAATTCTGCTGTACTTCGTGGCACCTTGGCTTCTTGTTAGATGAGGAAAAGCATCGTGCTCTTTGTTCTCAGGTGTTTGTGTGCAGATGATGTAAAAGAATATTTGCTATCTGAGAGATGGTGATGACATTTTAAACCACCAAGATCGCTGATGCACCAACACCCTTCCTAGTGGCCCCAGACATGAACTTGACATGGAATTTGAGCCTCACTCGGTGTCACCCTTTACTTCTCAGGACAGGACATCCAGCCCAAAAGAGACCTCACCCGCTTTGTGAAATGGCCCCGCTATATCAGGTTGCAGCGGCAGAGAGCCATCCTCTATAAGCGGCTGAAAGTGCCTCCTGCGATTAACCAGTTCACCCAGGCCCTGGACCGCCAAACAGGTGAGGTTCTGTGGCGTGGAAAGGAGTTTCTCAGGCAAGGATTCCTTATTTCATCCAGAACATGAGGGGGATGGTCTTAGGCTTCTTGAACTGCAGTTGTCATTAAATTATAGTCATATAGCAGGACCGCAGTCCAGCATTTGTTATTAAGTGTTAAGTGACAAGGATTAGAACCTTGACTCCAAGCCTAAACTGAAGAGTGTTTTTCCAGCTACTCAGCTGCTTAAGCTGGCCCACAAGTACAGACCAGAGACAAAGCAAGAGAAGAAGCAGAGACTGTTGGCCCGGGCCGAGAAGAAGGCTGCTGGCAAAGGGGACGTCCCAACGAAGAGACCACCTGTCCTTCGAGCAGGTGAGTAGGCCCCACCTTAGGGTGAACACTGGGGGCGGGCTGTTGCAGTGATGTAAAATTTCTTGGCCTGAAATTACTGTGAAGAGTAAAACCGAGCTTTTTAACACTGAGTCAGCAGCTGAGCCCAGCAGCTTCTTGTGACTAGAGCAGGCCCTGTGAGTGCTCACAAAGTGGTTGTGTGTTCTAGGAGTTAACACCGTCACCACCTTGGTGGAGAACAAGAAAGCTCAGCTGGTGGTGATTGCACACGACGTGGATCCCATCGAGGTGCGTTTGCCTGTTGACTGCTAACCCAAGGGCTTCTGGCAGTACCAGGAAGAGAGAGTAGACCTAATGCCAAGTCAGTGATGGGACCGAAGTGGGTGAGGGCAGTACTGACACAGATCCAACACATGCGTGGCTCTTGCAATGATGTGAATCTCTCACTGAATTCAACCTTGAAGTGCGAATCCATGAGCTTTTTAACCCTGAGCAATTGTTACAAGCTAACTGAAATTTGCTGCTTTTGGTCAAAATACAGTCTTCAGCTAATGCTTTCTTCCAGCTGGTTGTCTTCTTGCCTGCCCTGTGTCGTAAAATGGGGGTCCCTTACTGCATTATCAAGGGAAAGGCAAGACTGGGACGTCTAGTCCACAGGAAGACCTGCACCACTGTCGCCTTCACACAGGTGAACTCGTAAGTACACAGCCTGGCCCCAAACTTCCCCCCAGTTCATTTAATCCATGCCTCACAGTTGTTTCCTTTTGCCTTAAAGGCCAATCTTTTAGTTTAAGAAATATATTTATCTGAACTTTTGCCAATGATGGTTAAGAATTTCTTCACCTGAATAAACCATGTGGTCAGCATTGCATCTGAGGCAAAAGACTGTCTTGAGCTAAAAGGTATTTTTGCATTCTAAAAGGGAAACTAAGGCAAAAAACCCACTTTTGTTTCCCCTCCTGCCTTTTAGGGAAGACAAAGGCGCTTTGGCTAAGCTGGTGGAAGCTATCAGGACCAATTACAATGACAGATACGATGAGGTAAGAGGCAGCTTTACACCAAAATACTGTCATTCACAAATCTTTCTCCCAAATAACTGGCTGGCTTAACCTATGAGAAGTTCTATCTGACGATCAGCTTGGAACAGCCAAACAGAATTAACGCAACTAATAACCTTGAAAATCTCAGAAAACAGTAAGCCAAGCTAACTGCCTCTTTTTGTCTTTTCAGATCCGCCGTCACTGGGGTGGCAATGTCCTGGGTCCTAAGTCTGTGGCTCGTATCGCCAAGCTCGAAAAGGCAAAGGCTAAAGAACTTGCCACTAAACTGGGTTAAATGTACACTGTTGAGTTTTCTGTACATAAAAATAATTGAAATAATACAAATTTTCCTTCAGCCAGTGTCTGTTGAGTATCTCGGGTTGAATCTTACTTGGGGTTAGCAAGTATCTTTTTGAGACACAGCCTCACTCTGTCGCCCAGGCTGGAGTGCAGTGGTGTGATGTCAAAGCAACCTTCGCCTCCCAGGTTTAGGATATTCTGGTGCCTCAGCATCCCAACTGGCTGGCCCATATTTGTGTTTTTGGTAGAGATGGGGTTTCACCATGTTAGCCAGGCTGGTCTGAGCTCCTGACCGCACCCGGCCCTTCCCACCCTTAAATACATTCTTAAACCAGGCATTTTGTTCCCTAGAGATGTAACTTGAGTATCAAGTTTTGGGAAAGTTCTTTGGACTGAAACCAAGCCAGGATTTTATGATGAACCAGTCATGAGCTCATTTAAGGTAGAAGGCCAGAACTTTATACCAGTAGCACATGATCCAGCATAAAGGCAGTCTTGAAATACTGCATTATCCAGGGACAGGGCTTCAGCAGCTGATCTGTCACACACCAGGTGTCCCACGTAGGAATTTCTTAAACCACAGGTAGGATGTAGCTGCAGAGAGTCCATACCTAGGGGTTGAAAGCAAGCCAGCATTAGCAGGCTGCTAGGCTGAAGGGGAGGAAGCCAGAGGGCCGCTGGGGACTCACCAGGTCACGATGTACTGCAGATGCTCGTTCCTCAGAGTAACTCTGGTTTGCCCTCCAATGGGTCCTCCAGGGACTGTGCTCTCTGTGGAGACAGCAGACTCAAGTCCACCCCCTACTGGCCTGCCAGCCTCTGCACCACTTCCTAGTGGCTGTCATTTTTGCGTGGCCAGTTGGAAGTCCTGTATGGCCTTTACGTTGGGTGACCATCCCCGCCCTTGTCCGCTCAGTACTTGCCTAGGTTCTTTGCTGAGTTGCTGCCTCCTCCCACCCGCCATATACACATGTGAGAACATAAGCCACAGTAGTGACTGGGCAATGAGGGTTAGGAGGAAGGACAGTATTCACAAAAGCTACTTGTTCCGAGATGGGCTGGTCCACAACGTACGGAAGTTGGCATCAATGAAGATGGGCTCTGCGCCTGTGATTCTGGCCATAGCTTCCAGGTCTCGATAATGCCAGTGGTTCCTTTCTGGATTGTTCTCAGGGACAAAAGGCTGCCTGGTTTCTGTCAGCCTCACCATCCCAATGAGGTCCACTTCTCCCTCAATCTATAAAGGAAGGTGTGTGAGATTGCATGGAGCCTGGTGGACTCCCAGAGCCTTCTCTAAAGTAGGAAGAGTCCATGTCCCTTACCTGGCCTTTCTGCCGGGTTTCAGGATTCACTTTCTTCCTGGGAACGAACCCTCTATTTACCAGGATGGTGACTCTAGGGTAATGAAAGTGCTACTTCAGGTGGGGAGGGTTTTTGACTAAAGACAGTCACTCATGGTCACTCAGGCACCCATAGGAACAACTAGAGCACCAAGGAAGGCTTTTAAAACAGGGCTGGCTCAGTGGAGCCCTGGCAGTGCCACACAGGCAAAGTCTTCCTCTCTTGAGGCACCTTCGTGGTTGGTAAAAGGCTCCCTGCCACCATCACTACCTTTTTACCAGTGTGGCTTTCCCCTTCTATCTCTGCTTCTTGTGGTCTACCTACTACAACGTGCAACTGGTGAGCAACGCTGCCACGCCAGAGTTTAGACCCCACACCTCTCCCCTGAACTATGGCAAGAGCTGTCTCCAATCCCTCCTCCTAACCAAGGCAGCCGTGAGGAGCAGCCCTGGCACCCCAGCCTGCTGGAGATGAGTACTTGGGCCCCATCCCAGCCCTAAAACAGGAACCCATGGGTTAACAAGAGCCCCAGGTATTTTCATTTTTACGTGAATCCTCCAGTTCCCTAGTTAATCACACAGGTGCTCCTGTACCTGTCATTTGCTTTGCCTGGAATGTTCTTCCCATCTCTTAACTCCCAAATAGCCCTCTAGGGAGCCACCCCTGCCTCCACTCCCTCAAGGTAGGGCTGGGGTCCTTTCTCTTGAAGTCCTCTTGCTGGCCCCTCATAGCTTGCCATCATCTAATGTGTGGGCAACTAGACAGTTCTCCAGAGGCAGGGCCCCTGTTTCACGAATCCCTCCTTTCCCTTCAGAGGTCAACATACAGAAATTATCCAGTCATAAATGAGCTGGCTGAGAAGATTAAGTCAATGTCACAATTAGGGACTTAAACTATGCAAGGAATTGAATCTCCTGGGTATCTTGGGTTCCCCAGGGTCCTACCAAGGTTGGGGATTGTGAAGGAAATAGTGATGTAAATTAGTATACCCTGACTGCCTCTGCCAGGACAGCCAGCTCCCACATGTCCTACTCACCCCAGGTCGGTGCAGTGGAAGGGAGTGACCACATAGGCCCCACTCTGAGTTGAGGAGGAGATGAGGCCGCCCTCCCGGGCCTCCCGGACAGGGTCCACCATGGTCCGGGGCATCATATACAGCTCCTTGGAATGGTCAAAGCACCCCCTGACCTTCACTGGCCTATACTCCAGATTTTTCAGTTCCATTGGGCTGCATGGAGATAAGAACAGTGGCCGAGCAAGGTTTGGCTGGAAAACGAATCCCCTGAGGGTGGCAGACTACACAGCCCACCAGGGCCAGACAAGTGAAGGAGAAAGGCAAAGGGCGTGCTCTTCAAAGGGGAACTTTGATGCCATGTGGGAATGTGGATCTGCACTGCCAGAGTCCAACTTTACAAGAGAGGCTAAAAATCTGGACTCCTCAATGAATATTTTATGTGAAATTTTAAAAAATATGTGGGCCAAAACCCCATCTGCAAGCCAAATCTGGCATACTGTTTGCTACCCTGAATGGAAAATGTGGCTGAATATACCTATCTCTGTAGGGCATATTCTAGGGAGAGAGCAGACAAATCATTCAGGGCACTTTTTCAAACGACCACCCTCACGGTGAGACCTACATTATCTGTCCTCAGCCACAGGGCCTTGGGCCCTGTGGAGGATAAGTTTACTATACCTGAAAAAAGGGTGACACCCAGGACTCAAAATAAGACTTTCCTCCATATGTCAGGAGGCGGTCTCAGGTAGCTTCACAAGGGCAGTCAGGTGTCAACAGCAAGCCCAACAGATGACTGATAATGAGAGCTCCCACCTGAGGTCAAGGCAGTGACTAAAAGTCCCACCAAAAGGGGCAAGCTGGCCAGCAGAAGCCAGGGCTCTGCTGTTGAACTCAAGTAAAACAGGCCCTAGGGGGGCAGCCATGCACTCACTCGGCTGGCAGAGGGACAGGCTCAGCCAGAACTCTGGACTCCAACTCTGCAATCAGGTTCAGCTTCCACTTCCGACGCTGGACCTACAGTGACAGAGCATAAGGCCAAGCAGATGGCAGCAAGGTCAAGGGCCCAGAGTTACGCACACCAGATGCCGGTCTTTACCTGCCATGTCCCCAAGCCAAAGGCAGTCACAGGGATGAGGAGCAGGACCCACTGAAGAAAGGAGTCATCTTCCGCTTTTGTGGCAGATGCTTCTGCTGCAGAACTGCCACATCTGCTTGGCCTCCAGGCCACCCCTGGAGAGTTTCACAACACTGACATGGAGCCAGAAGCCCTCGAACACAGACCTGGAGCAGCCCGTTCCAAGACAGACTCCAGTACTGCCAATCAAAACCTGCTGCCTAGAGCCAACTAGCAGCACCTGTATCCAGCCCAGCTCCTAACCCGGTGCCCAGAACAAGGCACACACAGTACGTCTGCCAAGTGAGTAAGTGGGATCTAGGGCTCAGTGCCGGTTTGACCACCAACCACGACCCTGAGTAACTCATGCCTTTTTACTCAAGAATCTAGATGTATTCCACTGCACTAAGATGCACCATTCATCCATTCAAAATGCATTTAATAAGCAGCTACAGTTGGCCGGGCACGGTGGCTCACGCCTGTAATCCCAGCACTTTGGGAGGCCAAGGCGGGCGGATCACGAGATCAGGAGTTCGAGACCAGCCTGACCAACATGCAGAAACCCCATCTCTACAAAAAAATGCAAAAATTAGCTGAGCACGATGGTGCTTCTGTAATCCCAGCTACTCGGGAGGCTGAGGCAGGAGAATCGCTTGAACCTGGGAGGAGGTGGTTGCTGTAAGCCGAGATTGCGCCACTGCACTCCAGCCTGGGCAACAAGAGCGAAACTGTCTCAAAAAATAAAAAATAAGCAGCTACAGTTACTAAGTAGCTTAGTCAGGCACTAGTGGTTGTTGTGTTATGTAGAAAAATATATCAATTCAGTAATGGCTCACAGAGCTCTCTTAACAGCTTTCCATTTTTACAACTCATCGTAAATGTAAAGAGGGAAGAATGTACACAGAAAGTGCCTTTAAGCTCTCAGAGGATGAGTTCCATCCGCTGAAAAGCACCAGGGGCCTTGCGGATACTATTTTTTTTTTTTTTTTTATAAAAAGGCAGGCCTGGGGCAGGCTTGCACAGCACTCTACACACGGCAAAACAGCCCTGTGCTGCACACTGAGAGGAACACGTAAGCCGCGGTGGTTAGATACGCTTTACTTTCAGAGCCCTGGGCTTTCAGCCTGGGCTGGCCACCCATTAGCTGGATGGGACGTTCGGAAGTAACTCTCGAGCCTTCTCTGTAACAGGGGAACGACCAAGGAGCTACCTCTCGCGTTGTGAGGACAAAGCGCTCGCTACATGCCCGGCACACGACCACAATTCCACTGAAAGCATTTTAATACGGAACTTGTCACTCCCAGGGAGCCTCCGCTCAGCCGGCAGTTGGTTCATTTCAATCCCCACGACAACCCTTCAAAGTGCAGGGCAGACAGCAGGTGGCTCTGCCCAGGCGCCTGGATCACAGCCCGGCCTGCAGCCCTCACCTGGGCGCGGGGAGACCCTGAGGACGCTCCTCCAGGCGGCGCTGGCCGGGGCCTGCGGACACGGACGGGCGGGCTGAGCTCCGGGACCCCTCCCCGCGCCCCGCACCCCGCACCCCGCACCCGGCGCTCACCCGTCCCAGCCCCGCCGCCCGCAGCCCCAGCTGCAACGCAGCCACCGCCGCCATCGCACCCGGCCCCGCGGGCGCTTCCGGGACGCAGGAAGCATCTGCATCCGGGGCGCCGCTGAGTCCCGCCCAGAGCCCCGCCCCCGGCTCCAGGTTCTGCGAGCGGCTTCCGCCGGGCTGCTCCGCGGGCGCGTCGGCCATGAGCGAGTTGCCGGGCGACGTGCGGGCGTTTCTGCGGGAGCACCCGAGCCTGCGGCTCCAGACGGACGCCCGCAAGGTTCGCAGCGCGGGAGGGGAACGGAGTGGCGGAGAAGGGCGCAGTTGGGATGAGGGGCTGAGGGGAGGGCAGGGGAGAGGAGAGGGCAGGGGAGAGGGGAGAGGGGAGAGCAGGAGAGAGGGGAGGGCAGGGGAGAGGGCGCGGCGGGATCAGGGGAGGAGAGGGAAGGGGGCGCGGCAGGAGGGGGCACCAGGGAGCGGAGCCCTGGCCCTCCTGACGTCCTGCCCGCCCACGCGTCCGCAGGTGAGGTGCATCCTGACAGGTCACGAGCTGCCCTGCCGCCTGCCGGAGCTCCAGGTCTACACCCGCGGCAAAAAGTACCAGCGGCTGGTCCGCGCCTCCCCGGCCTTCGACTATGCAGAGTTCGAGCCGCACATCGTGCCCAGCACCAAGAACCCGTAGGTGGTCCGCGGCGGCGCGGGGAGGCCCAGGGCAATTAGGACAGCCCCTCCGCTGGACTCCGCCAGTGCTGCAGCCCCTACTCTTTCAGAGTTGGGAGCCCTGGGACCCAGGTGGGCGCCCGGGTGCTGGAATCACCTGCGGTCCCAGCGGCGAGGCCTCTTGGTGAGCTCGTTTGCTCACCTGAGGTTTGTCCTGTGGGGTGTGGCTGCTTCCCAGATGAGTAGAGGCTTGTGATTTGTCACCTGAGGTTGTGAACAGCGTTGGGTTCTTCCCTTAACCCCAGAAGGGGTCTTTGATTTAGCTGGGAGCTAGGCTTTGTAATAATCGTCAAAACAGAGATAGGATGTTTCCATTCATTGAGCCCTTGCTCCAGGTGGAGCCATCCTCTTGCATGAACTCATCCTGGAGCAGTCAGTGAGGCTGCCATGCGTGCTTTTCCGGTAAACATTAAGAGGCTGCAGTCGGCCTGGGTCAGACGGTTCCCCACCCAGCTTCAGAGTGGAATTGCTCCGGGAGCCTTTAAAAGCCCGATGTCCAAGCCGCATGGTAGACTGTCCAGGGATGAGTCCAAGACACAGCCACCAGTCTGAATCCTTGCTGTGAACTGTCCCTACAAATTTGGTCTCTCTGCTCTGTAGGCACCAGTTGTTCTGCAAACTCACCCTGCGGCACATCAACAAGTGCCCAGAACACGTGCTGAGGCACACCCAGGGCCGGCGGTACCAGCGAGCTCTGTGTAAATGTAAGTCCCAGTGGACCCCCATCAGTGCATCGCCATCTGAGTGCATGCCCGCCTTGCCCCAGATGGAGCGTGCTTGAAGGCAGGTCGTCCTTCAGCGATCCGTGTTGATGCATCAGGCCTGTTTTTTGGCACAGTGAAGAGAGGGATGATGGCCCCTGACCCCACAGCTTTTAGTGCAGGCAGGCACAGAGCCAGAAGCAGGCTCGGGAGTGAGTGAGTGTGCGTGGCAATGCGAGGTGTGAAAGAAACTGGGCGAGGGATGTGGGGTGGGCTTGCGGAGACAGGAGGGCTGGGGAGACTCGCTGAGGGATTCGCTCGAGGCTGAGGCTGGAGGGATGTGGTGGCAGTGGGGTCGGGGGAACAGCACCCCAGGGAGAAGCCAGGGTCCATGGAAGTCTGAGGCAAAAATGTGTTGGCTGAGGTAGGCTCCAAAGGACTGGCTGGGCTAGTGTGCACAGCCCGGATGACCCAGAGACCAGGCCAGGAGCACTGCAGTGGGTGTGTGGAGAGGGTTGGGTGGGGGCTGCATGGACAGTGTGCATGGTTGAGAAGGGAGGACTCCTTGACTGCGGTCATCCAGGAAAAGACGGTGGGTTTTGGGGGGAGAATTCAGAGTCCCTTTGAAGGTTTTAAGCTTGAGCTGTATTAGGAAAGGTGTGTATTAGGGAAGTATCGGGCTTTTGAAACAGGGACACCCGTGCTGGATGAAGGAGATGGTTGCACCGTGGATCTGGGTGAGCACCCGGCGAGAGTTTAGAGAAGGGAGAGAGGCCTGGTCCTGAGCCCCAGGAAGAGGCTGGAAGTCCTCCCGTGGTACTGAAGGGAAGATGAGGACAGAAAAATGATAGATTTGATAACACAGAGGCCCCTGGCAACCTTGGTGAGGCACCTGAAGCTTGGCAGGGACACCTGGCTAGAGTGGAGCGTAGGCTGCAGCCCATGAGGGCAGTGTCCGGCCTTAGGCAGGTGCTGGGTCACCAGAAAGCCTTTCTGGAGTCCAGCTAAGGAGGGAAATGGACAGAGGCTGGAGCGGACAGATTCAGGTTGGTTTGCGGATGGGAAGATGCGTCTACGGGCTTCTGATGAGTGCGGAGAGGCAGTCCAGCCCTCCCGAAGCATGAGTGTGGATTGAGAAGGCAGGACCAGGGTTTCTCAAGTAGAAGGCGGGCACCTTGCAGAGGCCTTGCAGGCACAAGGGCTGCCAGCCTGAGGCTTGGACTTTTTCCAGCCAGTGTGTTAGCTGCTCAGGGGTGGGCAGGAAGGCTCTAAGTGCAGGGGGCCACGGGGTTCCCATGAAGAATGGTTATGATGGTGGACTGTGGAGCTGAGATGGGACTGGGGCGCCGAGGTCACTGCAAGGCAGTGGTCCAGGGAAGTCCAAACGTGGCTGTAAGGGGGCTCTGCCTTCACGTTCTGGTGGTGACAAGGCTGCTGCATGGCCATGGGGGTGGGTGGCAGAGACAAGGAGGGAAACAGCCCTGGAGATGGGCCGCCACATCAATGGCCAGGGCCCAGCAGGGCTCATGCAGCCCATGAGGGATGATGATGGTAGCTGCGCTGGGCTGGAGGGCAAGCCCCAGCAGACCCTCCAATATACAAGGGGACAACGGTGGTGACTCCAGTGAGGTCTTTCCATGGAAGCCTTGTCCCAACTCCCTTCTCACCCACTAAGGGGCAGCAAAGGCCAGGCAGCCAACCTCCACTGAGCCCCGCCCTCCGGGACGGGGTCTCCCATGTGCTGAGGGAGGACTTCAGGCTGCTGGGGAGAGGGTGGCATCACTGCCAGCCCGAGTTGCCTTTGAGAGGCCATGCCAAGCTCACTGGGGCACAGTTGGCCTTGGGCCTGGTCAGTGCCCTCCTAGCCGTGGCTTCCTAGGCCTGGCTAGATCGGGGATGAGTGGTAAAGGCCCCGTAGACCTCTACCATCTTCTTGCCTCCTGGCTGCAGCCCTGGCCCACCACCCTCCCTGCACACCTGGTAGGAACAGAGCTGAGGCACCCAGCAGCTGCTCTGGTTTTTGTCCAGGGCGGTGGGGCTGTGGGGCCCTGGCCGAGTGCAGTCCTCATAAGTTAGCTGTGGCCCAGAGGACCGTGGGGGGTGTGGAGGTACCCAGCACGTGCTGGCTTATCTCCCAGATGAAGAATGTCAGAAGCAAGGGGTGGAGTACGTGCCTGCCTGCCTGGTGCACCGGAGGAGGAGGAGGGAGGACCAGATGGACGGTGACGGGCCTCGCCCGCGGGAAGCCTTCTGGGAGCCCACATCCAGTGATGAGGGGGGAGCTGCAAGTGATGACAGCATGACAGACCTGTACCCACGTAAGCAGAACAGGCCCTGCTTCTCCCTGACCCTCTACTGTCAGCAGGGAGCAGACTGTGGTGCTGCCTCCCCTGCAAAGGTGGCAGCGAACTCAGCCTAAAATAACTGTCAGCCAATCCCTGTGTTCCTCCCAGCTGAGCTATTCACCAGAAAGGACCTTGGAAGCACGGAGGATGGGGATGGCACTGATGACTTTTTGACAGACAAAGAGGATGAGAAGGCAAAGCCCCCAAGAGAGAAGGCCACTGATGAGGGCAGGAGAGAGACGACCGTGTACCGAGGGCTGGTCCAGAAGCGCGGGAAGGTGAGCTGTCACCTCCTCTGTTAGTGTGGCAGTGGCTTCCCCTAGTGATGGTTTTCCATTTGTTTAAAAAAAGAAAACTGAACCTTTTTCACAAGTGAAATCCCAAGCCAACAACACACAAGAACCATAGAAGCCGAGGCCGCTGGCTGGCGGAAGGCCGTGAGTGCCTACCATTGCTTCCCAGCCAGCCCCTTGTGGAAGCCAGGCTCTGTGGACCACGGTCAAGACCACTGGTTTGTGAGGACACCCTCCTACCTCAGACTATGAGCTGTGGCGTGTTTGTCCTTACCCCTGGGCACAGGGACCTGATTACTAGCCACCACCTTTGCCTTTGCCATCAGGGCAGGAGTGGAGACTTCCCCGCCTTTGGTAGATAAGCAGGACCAAGGCCAAAAGAGGACAAGGTCCTAATGAGTGTGTGGCATTGCACTGTACTCCTCTGAGGCCCTGCTGAGCGGGGTCTAATCCTGCAGCTGTTAAGGAAACGGGGGTGGAGAAAGCCTCTGTGGGTATTTGACCGACACCTCTGAGGCTGTGTGGGTGGGGAGAGCCCTGCACTCCAGGGCCCCTTCTCCATGGGATCAGAAAGGCTCAGTAATCAGAATTTTGTTTATCCCACAGAAGCAGTTGGGCTCGTTGAAAAAGAAGTTCAAGAGTCATCACCGCAAACCCAAGAGCTTCAGCTCCTGTAAACAGCCAGGTTAATAAAAGCACATGCCGTGAAGTTTCGAGAAAGCCTTCAGATATTTCCCCCGCTCCTGATCAAACCGTGTGTCCTCTGAATGATCGGCTGTCCCCAGTGTCTTCTCTACCCACTTATCCTTGTCTCATGACATCTGCTGCCCTCTAAGGCAGGGCTGAGGGAGTCTGTCCCCCACACCCAGGAAGCAGCAGGGACTCTGAGGGACTAATTCTCTCTGGACATGGCTTCTGAGTGGTCTTCAGAGAAGCCTAGAGAAGTAACCTCGCTCACTGGCATCCTGAGGGGAGCCCCATTCAGGCTGGGCAACGCTATAGGATCACACTGCATACAACAAACGCCATTATTTATTTTGATGTGTTTCCAAAAATCAAAACGTTTTCAAACACAACTAAGATATAAAATACAGCATAAAATGAGATTTAGATCTGTTTCCCACATAAAGCAAAAAAATCTTAGAAATTGTTTTGCCAGAATCAATTGGTAGATCCCACTTATCCTCCCCTCCCTGCAAAGGCATCTTCCCGAATCAGGCCCTAGCCCACCCAGGGCCAGGAGAAACAGGAACACCCACTAGGACGGAGGCGCTGCTGGTGCAGAACTGGTGCTGACTGCTCACGTGGCCTCCTTTGGTCCACCCTACTTTCCACCAATCAGCCAACCAACCTTGACCACAGAGAAACCGTGACTTGGCCAAGGTCATTTGATGGGGGCTGTCATACGGCACTAACAGGGAGCGAGGTGTGGACCAAGAGACAGCCCTGGTGAGGTTGAAACACTGAGACAAGCCAGTCTTCATGCAGTGAGCACTTGAATGATCACAGGAGAAGAGAACCCATGTCCTGAAGCCATTGCTCGATCTTACCAATATTCGGGGGTAAGGAAGTAGGCTACCAGGGGAATATTTGCAAACGCGTTGGGACTAGTTCGGCTGTGTTAAAAAGGTAGGTGACTTCCAAAAGCACTTATGAGCAGAAACCTGCCTCACCCCTGCCCTGCAGAGCCAATGGATGAGAGGCCAAGAGGGAGGCAGGCTCGGGGCTGGGCCGCAGCAGCCCTGGAGACAGGCTGAGCCAGCCTGTCCCCAGATAGGTCTAGGGGCCAGAGAGGTGTTCGACTACCCTTGTGGCATTTACTATGGTGCAGACGACAGGGAGCAACAAGCAGTTAAGCTCCCCCAAAAAGAGAAACACAGTATAAGGCAGTGTTAGAAAACTTTAAATACAGGATTAAGATCAAATCGGTAAGGCATCACAAATTGTAAAAAGGAATTTTGGCTGCATTCGGCATAGCAAACGGACAATCTGAGTGAGCGACAGCCTCAGGAAAGTGGTGTGTCGGGGCTGTCCACAGGGCGAGTGCAGCTGGGAAAGGGCGGTGCTGCTCAGCCAGGGCGGCCTGCGCTTTCGAGACCTTGCTCAGAAAAGGCCCCATGTGAGGTAACTGGGTTGAGTCCGTGGGTCTCCAGTGCTGGGAGCTCCTGCCACACCCCCTGCCCACAGCGGCTGCGGCTCTGCAAGCTGGTCTGAGCAGCTGGCCAGGCTGGCTTGCAGGGTGCTGCTGCTGGGGCTACCCCTGTGTGGTCTCACTAGCCCTTCCCACTGCCAGCTTGGAGGCCAGCAGCACCCAGACCAGCAGCTTCCCCAAGGACTTCTTGCCCCTCCACCTTGCCTCAAGCTACTAAAACTCCCAGGGTGTTACCCAATAAAACACTTGGCACCAATCCAAGCTGATTTTCTGACCGATGACTTTTATCATAAACAGCAGCTTCTACCACCCCTTTAATACTGCATCATTCTTTGGGTGTCCCTAAATGTTTTCACTATTCCTATAAAATACAATGCGGGGCAGAAACAACATCAAAGCCACTGGTGTGATTTTAAACCAGGGAGATTAACTGTTTTGAGGTTTGGCTGAACCACCCAAAATAATTTAGTAGTTTCCGCTAAAAATGTAAACTTACAAATAAGAGGGAGACTGCTTTGAATGATAATACCAATGCGTCTGCTCACAGTACAGCTTGAAGGCCCCCTCCTGTACCCCCACAAAAAAACTCAAAAATAGGACTGAGATGCCACAGCCAAGCGGGCTGTTCACTCCAAAGCCTCGGCGTGGGGGAGGCTTCCAGCTGCCAGGCTGGCCTGCACTGAAGGGTCAGACGCCAGACTGTGGCTCCAGAGCAGACTGAGCCATCGATTCTCAGGTGTCTCTGCAAATAAAGTTCTCAAAACATCTGTGCCTTTACCAAGGGAGGGGAAGGGAAGAGGATACATAAAAGCTGGCAGTTTTGTTGAATCCACCCCGAACCAGTCCTTGACGGCCACGGGTCTTAGCCAGGCAGGTAGGGATCTGTGACTGTTACCACTCCTTCTTCTTCTCATCCATGGAGACACCCCCAGGGCCCAGGGCCACCACCAGGAGCAAGCCCCCAATCACCGACATGGTCTGGAAGAAGTCGTATTTCAGGAAGTCATGCATGGGCTTGTAGACTGGAATGGTCCAGAAGGCGTTGAAATATACGTTGATGGCAAAGAGCCACACAACAAGAGTCAAAGCAGCCAGCTTGGTTTTAAAACCAATGGCCACTAAAATCATCAGAGCTGTGCCCACGATGTTCTGGACAATCTGCATAGGTTGAAACGTAAGAAATTCAAAATAAATGTGAGGAAAAGAGATGCTTTATAAACAAAAGTTCCAGCTGCTGCACGTCATGAAGTCTCTATCCATCAGGCTGATGTAGCTACTGCTGAGACGGCTGCTGGTGCAAGTAGGGAGATAAAAGCCAAAGGGAGGCAGGAGGCAATAAAGCACCAGCTTTGAAATGTGGAAGGTTTGGGGAAGACTGAAGTTCCCAACTAGTAACAGGCTGTGATTTACCAAGATGAATCTCTAATCCATAACTAAATTCCCAAGTGCTTCTTGGCCCACCCAGCCATCCAGGCCAGAAACATCCTCTCTCCTCTCTCCATGGCGCCAGGAGCTCTTCCTGGACACTACCCGGCCAGGGCTCTCAGTCAGCTCCGGAGGTGTGCTCTGGAAGCTCCTGGAGGCCTGCCCCTGACACCTGACACACAGGAATTACTTGAGAAAGATACGAACAGTGAGGAAAGAAAGAAGAGTAAGGGGAGCCCGGGTGGAGAGCCTTGGCCAACCAAGGGCCAAGCACACTCCACCAAGGTCAGAGGTTCTGGCCTTCATTTGCTGGAAAGAAGGCTTGACACACAAGAGATTGACGATGTTTTGGTCTGTTTTAATGGGATCAAAAAGTTTGCTCCGCCGAGCACGGTGGCTCACGCCTGTAATCCCAGCAATTTGGGAGGCTGAGACAGGCAGATCACGAGGGGTCAGGAGATCGAGACCATCCTGGCTAACACGGTGAAACCCTGTCTCTACTAAAAATACAAAAAATTAGCCAGGCGTGTTGGCAGGCGCCTGTAGTCCCAGCTGCTCGGGAGGCTGAGGCAGGAGAATGGCGTGAACCCGGGAGGCGGAACTTGCGGTGAGCCGAGATCACGCACTGCACTCCAGCCTGGGGGACAGAGCGAGACTCCGTCTCAAAAAAAAAAAAAAAAAAGTTTGCTCCATTTCAGCAGCTCCCCCAGGCTGTGGTTAATACCCAACCAGGGAGGGGTGAGCAGGGAGGGGGTGGGGGAGGGACAGCATTCACAGGAAACCAGACCGGTTCAGGCAAGTAGGAATACTTACAGAAAAGAAGCTGGCGTCAAAGTGAAGGAGGGTCATGAACATCAGAACCAGCAAGACCCTGCCTCCGAGCTGCATGTACTGTTTGGGGGAGCTCTCACGCATGGTGGGGACGCCCGCAAACATGCTCTTCCCTTCAGAACGGGATTCTGCTAGGAGCAGCAACAGGCCTCCTCCCAGGGCCAGGTTCCTGAGGAACAGATATGTGGGCTGGAAGCTAAGCCTCACCAGGATCTGGCCTGTCTGTGAGACCAGGTGCAGGGAGACCTTGCTGCCAGTATAAGAAGGCCCTTACTTCCCTTTCTCCAAACCCAGTGATCTGCCAAGCAGGACCAGGCAGGCATGCGCACAGGACCTCAGACTCGAGTTACACCCATGTAAAACCTTACATAGCTCAGGAGACAGAGGTATCTTTACAACTCGACAGTGACAGGCTACCTGAACACACACACAACCGAGTCCTAGTCACAGCTTCAGTGTTGACCAGCTGGGTCCCCGTGGTCAGGTCTGTCCTCCACTCAGACCCGGAGTCCCCACACCCGTGAAATAAGGGTCAGAAGAGACGGCTTCAGTCTCTACTATTCTAGGGGCTCTGCAACATCCTCTTCAGAACCTGTTTCTAAGAGGCACAATTTAGACAGGGGGGTCCAATCTTTTGGCTTCCCTGGGCTACCCTGGAAGAACTGTCTTGGCCACACATAAAATACACTAATGCTAATGATAGGTGATGAGCTAAAAAATAAAACTTAAAAATCACAAAAAAAACTCTCAATGTTTTAAGAAAGTTTTTGAGTTTGTGTTGGGCCATGTTCACCCCGTGGACCACAGGCTGGACAAGCTTGGTTTAGACCCAGAGAAGTCTACTCAAACCAATAGTTAACTGAGTTTAGAAATACAGATTGAGTATCCCTAACCTGAAATGCTTAGGACCCAAAGTGTTTCAGATTTTGGTATATTTGCATTATATACTTATTGGCTGAGCATCCCAAATCTGAAAATCCAAAACCTGAAATGCTCCAATGAGCACTTCCTTTGAGCGTCATGTTGGTGCCCAAGATTTTTCCCATTTTGGAGCATTTCAGACTTTGGATTTGCAATGCTCAACCTGTAGAAGGAGCGTATACTAAAACCAACCAGAATGCACATACCTCATCAAAAACTTCAAGTCCCATAAAATGCTGTAGGCAATCGTCTGAGGGGAAAGAAGAGAGAGATACTTGAGTCTCAGCCTTTCCAAAGGCATTTCCACAGACTTCATAATACATTAGGCCGTCTCTCCAATGTCAGCTGGAGTCTAAAACACACAAAACCATTGTAGGAGACCGAGGACAGATCTAAGCTCAAAAATGTGGTTCTGTATTTCTCAAGAAATGTGCTATGATGTTCCAGAGAACAAAGTGATTCTGAGACCACTGATGTGGATTCAGATATTCTGTTCCCAGCATTTCATTCTGAATAACCAAGTATTCTTCTTTATGAAGCAACGTGATAACAAGACAGCATCCTGGCTGCAGCCAAGCTCGAGACTTCCCTTGTCACGGTAATCATAGAAATGGGACAAAAGATGGCCCAGTACCGAATGACCTGCCTCTACAGCCCTGCTTGGGCTCACGACTTCCCCAGAAGAGAAAGGAGCTCCAGGCAGTCAGAGACATGCAGGGGGCTGAAGGGGGAGTGACACTGAACCCTCAAGGATGTCTTTTCAGAAGCTCTGCTCCACCAGAGCAAAGAGAAGGGAGCCCCGACCACGCGGCCCGTGTACCTGCAGAGCTATGATTCCAAAGAGCCCGAAGCAGGCGTACTGCACGAAGTTCCTGCTCAACACCAGGACGCAGCCAGCTGGAGAGAAGGACAAGGGTTAGGGGGCCTGAGGGTGGGTGCCGGCGGGGAGCACTGTCTTGATACACTGCTACCTCACCTGGCCCTTAGGTCCAGAGGCAGCCAAACCACCTACCCAAGCAAAAGACAACTTCTGGAAGAATTAATGATAGGCAAGGACCACACATGGTAAGCTGACTAGACTTATCACAAACACCAGAAAGTGGAGCCCTTGCCGTCATAAAGAATGGGCTGTTTCCCACAATCAGCTCCCAAGTCAGCCACCCACCTGAGGTAGGCAATTAACTGCTCTACTGTGGACTGCCAGCCAGACTCCAGCATCTCCTGCTTTGGGTCCCTGACAGGGACCATGTCCTATTTCCTTAGCAAGCTCTAAAGCAGTGAGCTCAGGGCTAGAGACTAAGCGTCCCCACCAAGGCTTGCAGAACCGGACTCCTGGCCTGGCACAGCTGAGCTGGAGAAGAGGGGAATGGAGGGGGGACAGCAGTCCAGGAGACCCCCGAGTTCACACACAGCCTCCCAACTGCTAACGATCATGGAACAAGACGCCCAGTGAATCCTGACCACCCGCAGAGCCACTCACTCAGCTGTCCCAGCAAGTTGAGGAAGACGAAGGACGAGGCCAGCAGGTAGCCGCAGTTCCAGGTGGTGTCGATGTAGTCGCGCTGCTCGCTCCACTGGAACCACATACGGATGCCGTCCTCCAGGAAGGTGCTGATCAGACAGAGGCGCGCCACGTGGGGCAGGTACTGCTTTGTGACACGGAGGAACTGCAGGGCCACAGAAACCCAAGGGTGAGGTGGCTGCGGCGGGGAGCACCAGGCCGCTGCCAGGCACGTCCTTGGGCGGGGTGTGTGAGGAACAGACGCTGTGGAAGGCAAGAGCTCTTGTCAGCCCCGGTGCCTTCCCAGGGCAGACTAGGGGGCTCTCAGTGCTTGCTCCTGAGCGCTACCCTGTGAGTCTGGACACATGCAACAATCCAAGGATCAGTCCCGGAGATGCATGACTTGACGTTAGGCCCTCTGGGGCAGATCCTATAGGGCAGCAGCCCTAACACTCTGCTACCGTGATTTCCCCCAGTGCCTCGGCAGGCAACTACAGTCTTCCAAGGTGGCACTGCCACAAGACACAGAGCTGCTCTTTTCGGTCAAAGGCATTTACAAGTTGGAATCACAGAATGACATCTGAAAAGGCACTTAGAGGTCATCTATCCAACGTTTCTGCACCTCAGCACTACTGGCATCTGAGGCCAGGCCACTCTTTGCCGTGGGTCATCCTGGGTGCTGCAGGCTATGACGCACGACATGTCTGCCCACGACATGCCAGCAGCAGCCTCCCTCCTGAGGCACCGCTGCACTTTGCCAGGCATCTCCGCTGCTCTGGTCCAACCCCTCACCTTACAAATGGCTATATTAAACCCAGCGGGAAGGGGTTCCCCTAGGCTTCGCAGACCTGATGGTGCAATGCCAAGACTTGACCCCAGCCTGCAGGTCACACATGGCTGAGGTGCCAAGGGCCTGGACCTCCCAGCCTGCCCAGTGACGCCCAGAGTACCCTGACAGAACAAGGGTTGGCTTAGGTGACAGCCAGGGTGCCACACCTAGAGGGCCACATGGTTGACTGAATAGTAAGATCACGTTTACAGTTATCCGAAAATCTCCAGAGCAGCAGGAGGAGGCCCCAGGCTCTGGACAGCGCATGTGTGCTGTTGCAAACCAGGGCTGGCGCTTCCCAGCCCGACGGAGCTCTCCCCTGCAAGCTCAGGATCTGACGTGGGGACTGTGTGTGCAGCAACCGTCAGCGCAGCATGAAGCTGGTACCGCTAATGGCTAGAAAGCGCTGGGATTTTGTCAAAGCCTGCATAATCTCGAGCAAATTAAAACACACTAACAAATGGGATGGACAGCTGTTTCAACAGCAATGAAACGCAAGTGTGTGAAATCACTGTCAAATGTCAAAGGGAAAGAAAACATTTATGACTTCCTGCTGTGCTGTGAGTCAGGTCATTTATGACGGCTGGGTTAGGTAGCCAACATGCACTATCGGATGCCAGGTACAAATGTCACGCAGGTTCACCCCATGCACTTTTCTCTTATCACCCATGCAAAACTGAGATATAAAGTGAAAGAAATACTGTAACACAGCAAGTCCTTCGGAGAAAGATCAGGGGACCCATCCACCAACGCATGTTGGGAAGCCAGAGTCTAAAGAGCACCCGAGAGGCTGACCCCCACGGGAGGCGAGCGAACGTCAGCTGCACAGGCCTCCTAGGGCTGACTAAACCTACTGTTGGAACAAAGGAAGATATGCGTGTTTCTTATTTTTCAGCATTTTTAAAAGTTGCTTCAAAGTCCTAGACACTGCTGAAGCTGCCCATCTCAGTTACCACGCCCCTGGGTGTTCAGGTCACCCTCCAGCCTGTCAGGTGGGGCCCTGACTAGGTCAGCACTGCAGATTGGCTCCCATGTGGCAGAGAACGGAGGCAGAGATTACAAAGCCAGGTGGCCATTCTCCCCAAACCCACTGCGCCCTGCAGTGTCAGTTCTGCACACATTTACTCAGCCTTTGACTCCACGGAAGTGATGGGAGAAATCACAGTGACCGACAGATACCCAGAGAATCACCAAGTGGGTTTGGGAGATGAAGTGCAGGTGGAGGTTCTGAGGCCCTGTGATCTCATCCTGCCCTGGTACCATCCAGCCAGCACACCGTGTGACCTGGACACGCCCAGTTACTTTTTTGAGAGTGTCTCTACTATCCTGCAGTAGAGTGAGGCCACCTGAACTAATGGTTGGTAAGATGCTTTCCAACTTTACTAGGAGGAAGACCTTGTTTCACTTTTTATTTTTAAAAAGGCCCCAAATACTCCCCTGTGAATTTTAGGGCCAATGCAGAGAACCAGCACAAGATGCCCATGTGCACAGTGTGACGCAACCTGCATCACACTGGGTGGTGGGAAAGGTGACGCCACACACCCTCCCCAGGTTCTGCCTCATGGCCCCGTTGCTCTCTAAATGCCCAGCAACAGTGTAATCACCCATATTCCATGGAAGAGAGAAAGCACACCACCGTGGCACACGATGTGCCACTGCTCTCAAGGAATGGCCTCACATCGTGGCCCAGCTGGGAAGCCCCAGCAAGGACACAAGCCTTTATCTCATCTGAACCTGGGGAAAAGCAACCACTGGGAAGGAAGAGCTCAACAGGAGGCTGTCCAGACCTCTGAGATGAGACGGAGCCGTGGTGGGACTCCCAGGGCAGGGTGTGGGTGTGGGGCGTGGACCCCAACAGCAGCAGAGAGGTAGACTGCAATCCATACCCAAGACAGACACCAGAGGTGTTCTGACTTGCTTCTAAAATGAGAGCTGTGAGCCACTCACTGGCCTGAGATGAGCAAACCAGCCCAGCCATGGGCTGCGGTCTAAGCCTCCCCCAGTTGCAGGACCTGCATTTAACATGCTCATCTACGTGCACAGCCCACGAGATTGAGGCAGTGTTTAAAAGTCTCTTTGAATGAGTCTGCGACTCTTAATTTGAGTGTCTGGGTCAAGAGGATTAAAGAGCAAAAAAGAGAGAGAAGGTGGGACAGGCAATTCACACCTCCTTCCCTGCGCAAACATGGTGACGAAACAGACACAGCTCTTGGCTTTGGGGAAAAATATGCAAAAATCTAGGTACTGCCTTCTGAACTGAGCACACCTACTGCTTGGCTGTCCTGGTTTTCAAAGGCAAGCCTGGTCCACACTGAAGGCTGAAGTCAGGCTGATGCAGTCTCCTCTAAACTGGCCACCATTTAATGAGCATCTGTTTGGACTGAACACTGAAAAAGCCACGTTTAAAGACAAGGCCCAACATTAACCTTATTTCCTACATGCATGTTGGTCACAACTACTTCAACTTGGCCACTGGAACCATGTCATGCCACTCTAGAACACGTCCCAGAGCCAGTGTCCCCTCAGCACAGCAGAGAAGAGCCCTCAACACAGGCAGGACACACAGCACCCCAGGACAGACAAGAGCAGCCGCACTGCAGGCACTAAGGCCATTGCTGGTAGCCAGCACACAGGTGACCTGTGTAAACACGGCGAGCACATAAAACTTGTGACAGTCCCCCTCCCCCCCATTAGAGAACTGCGACAGCAGAGCCAGAGGTGGCTGTTGACCTGGCAGGCTGCAGGAAGAAGATGACAGTTAGCTCACCTCTGTGGCCAAGCTTCTCATTAAGTCTCTCCGAGAACCGCGCCATCAAGCAGGATATGGTTCATAAGCAGTGACAGCATCTGAGGGGCTTAACAGGAAGACTGATATTTCTCTCAAAGGGGTGGTTATTTTAGACGACTGAAGGGGATTTTAGAAACGTAATTAATTATATCCACCCTGAGATGACTTCCTGGGCATCCAGTGATCACTGTCACAGCCACCTGCAGCTCCCACGCCACACAGAAAACTCCACTTTCTCTTCACACTCAGGACAGAAAGAAATTGAGGAAAGCAGCTTGCAAATTCGTGGTGAATGTGAACATCGACGAAAAAGGCAGGTCAGATTTCCTTGATCACCAAGGACTGGGGCTGCCTTGTTCAAAGCCCAACTCAGGTCCCACACATCCTAGAAACAAGCACCTGCGGCCCAGCGGCTTCCCTCACATCAGCCTGTCAGAGCTGGCTCGAGCTCACTGGCTCACTGCAGCTCCAGAACTTCCCCGAGCCCCGCTCCCATGCTGCTCTATAGGTTCACACTGCACCCTGCAGGGCCAGAAAGGATGTCGCCAGCCCAATGTGGGAGATGATGGCCTGGCTTTACTAAAAAACTGTGTGATCAAAATCCCAACTATAGGAAAGACGTAACTGAGAACGACTGGGCCCCATGTTCTGGGAGGAGCCCCGCTAACCACAACCTCCTCTGCTCCTCGCCCGCACTCCCCTGAAGAGTGAGTTTTAACCTCCCGTTAAGATCATCACACAAAGAAAAGTGAGTCAGCTCCTCTTTGCCTTCTCTCCCCACTCCTTCATGATATAGGGCAGGGTATGACAGAGCCTGCCACTGTCACCAGGACTTTGCCACACCAGTCACCAGCATGGTGTTCATCGGGACCCTCACAGTGCCTGTGCCACCTGCAAGTTCAGGGGTCCTCAGGCCTATCCTTGCTTCCCCAGCACTTCAACTAGGGCCGAGGCCAGCTCCTAGGGCCCAGGACTAGCTCTGCCACTCTTGAGGACAGGTTAAAAACACCAAAGGTCACACTGGAGAGGAAGGCCCCATGCAGCTTTTCTGTCACCTTGGTGATGAGCCACCAGGCAGAACCCATTAAGTGCTAATATTGCTGTTTATGGGTATAAACTGCTTAGAAGCTACATTTTACAGAGTGTCTAATAGGCAATGAGGAGCAGCTGCAGGCATGGACATTAGTTTGGATTGCTGAGTTCATTAGTTTCTGGACCCTTCCCATGGCTTCCAAATGCCAAGCTCCTGCATAGAGCACGTCTCAGCAGTTTCTACAGAGCATGGCTCCTGGGAGCAAGAGGACACTGTCCCTGGCTGCCAGAGCAAGCAGCTTGATGCCAGAGGCAGAGAGACAAGAGATGCAACTGTGGGGAGCCTGCCAGCAGAAACTAACCAGACTGCTCGTCCCCGTGGACCAGCCTCTGCAGGCCAGAAGGAAAGATCAGTCAACCAAGCAGTGAGGAACCCAGCCTTTGGGGTAACAGGATGCGGACTCAGTCTCCAGGCCACCACAAGCCAGTGCGGCCAGCCAACCTCCCTCTGCCCATCTGAAGATGGTGACGCTCTGGCCAACCTCCTACAGTCAAGAAGTTCACAAAAGGAATGTCTATCATGGACCCGGCCCAGTGAAAGACTTAATGTCATTGTCATAATACTGGAAGACACTGGGCCTGGGAAACTAAGCTTACTTAGGTCTTGCTTTCAGCAGCCCACACTTTCTGGTCAAATCTTGTCACTTCAGTTTTGCTCTTGTTTTCTGAAGATGTGAAAAAATGGATGTGTCACTTTATCTGATCAGTGACTTCCATGGTAATCCTCTATCGGCTTCAAATTAGGTCATTTTCATGTAAAAGCCTGGTCTGGCAGCTTTAAGTACTATGTGAATAAAGAGAAACAAAGCCCCACCTGGGCTTGGTCAGATTCTGTCCACAAGAAGCCATATTTTGACTTCGAACCCTGTTTACTTGCCTGCATCTGTCTGATTGGGGTTTGGGCGAGTACAAGTAGCTGCCCTCCCAAGCTGCCCACAAAAGGGCATGGAAGCTCCCACAGCCATGCTCTGCCACCACCTAGACGGACTCTTAAGGAGATCATCTGACGGCGGCAGCCTGCGCTGCCTTACAGATATGGTGCCTTACAGATATGGTCCTAACCCACTTGGGTTTTGTATGTGAGCAGCCCCTTCACCCGCTAGTGCTCTTCCCTTGACTTGTGCCAGAAGAGCAACACCAGGGGCTGGGGGCGCTGGGGACCAAGACCCGGCTTTTCTTGGTCTTGGTCACAGGCAAGTCTAGGAGCCTGAGCAGGTTTGGCCTCCCCTCAGTAACCTGGGAGAGGTCGACTCTGTGCCCCCTCAAGAGCCTTTCCAGTTCCAAGCTACTGCTTCTTTCATTTAAAACATAACAGAATACATGATGAAGGCTGGGCGCGGTGGCTCAGGCATGTAATCCCAGAACTTTAGGAGGCCAAGGCGGATCACCTAAGGTCAGGTGTTTGAGACCAGCCTGGACAACATGACAACATGGCAAAATGCTGTCTCTACTAAAAACACAAAAATTAGCGGGGCGTGGTGGCGTGGGCCTGTCATCTCAGCTACTGAGGAGGCTGAGGCAGGAGAATAGCTTGAACCCGGGAGGCGGAGGTTGCAGTGAGATGAGATTGCGCCACTGCACTCCAGCCTGGGTGACAAAGTAAGACTCTGTCTCCAAAAAAAACATAATAACAAAACATGAAGAAAAGGCAGGGCAGGGTGGCTCACGCCTGTAATCCCAGCACTTTGGGAGGCTAAGGCAGGCGGACCACCTGAGGTCGGGAGTTCGAAACCAGCCTGGCCAACATGGGGAAACCCCGTCTCAACTAAAAATACAAAAAAATTAGCTGGGCGTGGTGGCAGGCGCCTGTAATCCCAGCTACTTCGGGCTGAGGCAGGAGAATTGCTTGAATCCGGGAGGCGGGGGTTGCAGTGAGCCGAGATCGCACCATTACACTCCAGCCTGAGCGAAATTCTGTCTCAAAAAAAAAAAAAAAAAAAAAAAAAAGAAGAAGAAAACAGTATGTGAAGACACTGGGAACTTTTTTTTGTCAATAGGGGAGTCTGTCATTTGCTAGTGGGCAGCAGCTTGACTGGAGACATTTGATCTAGATTTGGTTATGAAATTCACTTGCAAATCCAGGTTTTCCAGGACAAAGAGCGAGTGTATGTAGCTCTCATCCTTCCCTCAGCTATGAGGAGCCATCTTCTTAGGGAGCTGCGACTTGGAGAAATATAAATGGGTCACTATAAATTATGTCAATGAAAACTGACAAACCTAAAAGGTCTACCTGGTTCTTGAGAGCTTTTGATATGAATTGTTTTTAAAATTGTGTCTTTAAAGGCTGGGTGCCGTGGCTCACGCCTGTAATCCCAGCACTTTGGGAGGCTGAGGTGGGCAGACCACCTGAGGTCGGGAGTTCGAGACCAGCCTGACCAACATGGAGAAACCCTGTTTCTACTAAAAAAAAAAAAAATACAAAATTGGCTGGGTGTGACGGTGCATGCCTGTAATCCCAGCTACTCGGGAGGCTGAGGCAGGAGAATCGCTTGAACCCAGGAGTTGGAGGTTGTGGTGTGCTGAGATCACACCATTGCACTCCAGCCTGGGCAACAAGGTCAAAACACCATCTCAAAGAAAAAATAAATAAATAAAAATAAATAAACAAATAAAATTGTGTCTTTAAGCACAAAATCAGAATCTTAGGGAAAAAATGCTTCGTCAAGTTGATTACTTTTTCCCTCCAAATTTAAAATATTGGCTCACAGAAAGTGTTGCAATGAGAACCGATGGTGAGGTCACACTAGAAAGAGATCACCCCCCAGGAGGAACGGAAGAGTTCAATAGCTGATCAGAAAACGGTCACTTACTCTTTTCTTTTTTTTTTAAACCACACATATACAAGCCTTCCGATAAGTCTAGGCCTCAGAGTTTGATGACTCACTACCACCTCCAGAAAAATTTAAAAATTTAACCATCACTACTTAAAACTCTAGCAAAGCCACACGAACACATTAAGTAAACCGAGGAAAAAACGGCAAGTGGGCCACACAAGGCTCTCCCTGCGGGGATAAGGCTGTTAATTTGTCGACATAACGGGATTCTTTTAGAAGTAAAAGGCATAAATCTGCGTAACCACCACCACCTTTTGTTTTTGTTTTTTTGTTCTGTCAAGCTTAATCAAGAAAGAGGGAAGGGAGTTGTGTCCCTTCACTTTGTAGGATCGGATCCTGTCCACCCAGTTCCCGAATGCTCTCAACAGTTACCCAACCGCCTGTTTCAAAGGCTTCCCTGTTGCTCAGAATGCCACCTGGACACTTCTGGAAGGAGACTATCAGGGAGATAGGCTTCCCCTCCTCCCAGGCTGTGTACAGGTCCCCACTCAATCCAGCCCAGGGCAGAGTCCAAACGGGGAGGGAGACGCAGACAGGGTCAAAGGGACCCCAAGAGTCCAGCACATCTGGGAAAGAGAAAAGGAAAAGGTGCTGTGGCTTCCTGTAGCTGGGGCGCACGCCAGCGCGCCCCCTTTCCTCTGGGAGGACCCCCGGCCCCCGTTCGTCCCCGAGCTCCCAGCCCGCCTCCGGGAGCCCCAGTGAGAGGAAAAACGTGCGGGGACCCCCCAGCAGCTCCAAACGCCGAGGCGCTCCCCGCGAGCCTCAGACCCGACCCAACGCCAGGACTCGCGCCGCCGGCCCGGGAAGAAACCCCCACAGCCCGCGCCCCGGGCTGGCTGGAGGGTGGGGGCGGCTAGCCAGGCAGGGCGCCGAGGCCCGGGCTCCGGGAGCGGCCCAGCGGGCAGGGGAGACTGGGCCCGGAGGCCGGGTTTGGGGCTGTCCAGCCGGGACAGAGGGCCCGGGCGGGGGGGTCCCCCTGTGGGAACAAGGAGTCAGGGGGCGGCCCGGGCCTGGCGCCCTGCGCTGGGAGGCCGACTCCGGAGCGGCCCGGGCGGCCTGGGTCGGGACCGGGGCCGGGGGAGGAGCCCGCAGGCCGCACCTGGTCGGCGAAGTCCTCGGCCGTGCCCATCAGGTCGTTCTGGCCCATGGCGACGGCGGGAGGCTCGGCTCGGCTCGCTCGCTCGCTCGCTGGCTCTCGCCCGTCGGCGCCCGCACCCGCTGCGGCCTCCACAGGAAGTGCCCGGCGGCCGGCCTCGCTCCGCGTCGGCTGCGGCTCCAGCGGCTGCCACGTAGGCCAAGCCTTAAAGGGGCCGCGCGCCGCCCGGGCCCGCCCCGGTGCGTCTTAAAGGGGCCACGCGCCATCCCCAGCCTCCCGACCCATCCGCTCGAAGCCACGCCCGCCGCGCTCGACGCCACGCCTCTCACGCTGGAGGCCCCGCCCGCCGCGCGCAGGCCCTGCGGTCCCTCCCGGCCCGGCGGAACGCGTCCCTTTTAAGGGGGCGGGGACCTGGGGGTCTGGGGCCAGCGCGCGGGAGGGACGCCTGAGTGCCTCGAGGGCGCCGTTCGGGCGGGGAGGATCCCGCGGGTCCCACTGACCCACGCGGGGTGGGGCCAGGGGTGGACGCTCGCCCGTACGCGGTCGCTACTGATCATGCTTGGGCCAGGGTCCAATCGCAGGCGCCCCACGCAGGGGGAGCGAGGCCCAGGGTCCCCCGGAGAGCCCATGGAGAAGTACCAGGTGCCGAGTGTTCCCTGCGGGGAGGCGGGAGCTCCGTGGGGTAACGGTCGCAACCCTGGAGCTACGGCCGGCGGTTCCGACCGAGGGCGGCGAGGGGCCCGCGCCCTGGCCAGTGTCGGCCTGCAGCTCCTAGGTTGAACCCGGGGGGCCTCCAACGGTGACCTCCTGGGTGCCCTTTGCCACTCAGTTTCCCCCTTTGTGAATTGACTAAGGATTCTCCAGCCCTGGCTGAGTATTTGAGGGCGTGGGGCAGCTCCTCTATCCTTCGTGCCTGGGGTCTGTGCGCTTGGGTCCACCGAGGCAGGACCCCCGGGAACATCCCGAGTACATAATTGGGAGCCCCCAGTCCCCTAAAAACACCCCTGCAGCGTGGGTCTGTGAAAATGTTTGAGACCTAAAAAATTCACAAAACACAAAAGGAAAGCTGCAAAATAAAAGTAAATGTTTAATTAAATGCTTCTATACATGATATATACACTTTATTAAATGTTAGATTCAGCATTTGTGAAAAATGCATTCGCTTGGAAACAGTTTGCGGGTTAGATTTTTGTCACTTTGGAAGAATTGTCTTTGTGTGAGAGGACTATAGGGCGTTGCCAGAGGTGAAGCAGATGAGCTTCTGGTGGCCAGATAATTTTTAAAGTAAAGTTGTTTTTCAGATTAAAAAAAAATAGACGTTTCAGGAATATACCTGCTTTTGGAAAAAAAAATAGACTTGATTCGAGATACGGCTCCATTTTACTGTTTAATTTGCTGCCTAAGCTTGAACGCTCTCACACCAGCTCTGCCCTCAGCCCGCTGTGGCTTAGAACAGCAGTCCCTGGCCGGGCTCGGTGGCTCACGCCTGTAATCCCCAACACTTTGGGAGGCCAAGGCGGGCGGATCACCTGAGATCGGGAGTTCAAGACCAGCCTGACCAACATGGAGAAACTGTCTCTACTAAAAATACAAAATTAGCCAGGTGTGGTGGCGCATGCCTGTAATCACAGCTACTCGGGAGGCTGAGGCTGGAGAATCGCTTGAACCCAGGAGGCAGAGGTTGTGGTGAGCCAAGATAGCGCCATTGGACTCCAGCCTGGGCAACAAGAGCAAAACTCTGTCTCAGAAAGAAAAAAAAAAATAGCAGTCCCCAACCTTTTTGGCACAAGGGACCAGTTTTGTGGAAGACAATTTTTCCACAGATGGAGGCGGGAGGATGGTTTTGGGATGATTCAAGCACATTACACTTAGTGTGCAGTTCATTTCTATTATTATGTTGTAATACATAATGAAATAATTACACAACTCACCATAATGTAGAATCAGTGGGAGCCCTGAGCTTGTTTTCTTGCAACTAGACCATCCTCTCGGGATGATGGGAGACAGTGACGGATCATCAGGCATTTGTTTCTCATAAGGAGCATGCAACCTGGATCCCTCACATGCACTGTTCACAATAGGGTTCACACTCCCATGAGAATCTAATGCTGCTGCTGAGCTGACAGGAGGTGGAGCTTGGGTGGTAATGCGAGCCATGGGGAGCGGCTGTAAATACAGATGAAGCTTTGCTCCACTGCCTGCTGCTCACCTCCTGCTGTGCAGCCTGGTTCCTAACAGGCCACGGACTAGGTTGGGGACCCCTGGCTTAGAATATCCAGTGTCATGAGCAGGCTGCTCACAAGGCTGGATTACAGACTCCTAAGACTTTTATGGGCTCCGAGAGTCCCTAGGCTCAGGCTTCCATCCTCATATCTCCTCCTCTGGGTCCTGCCCTCCCTCCCCCAATCCTCTGATGAATGTCAGCCTCCAGCAATCCCCGGCCCAGCCCCCTGCCCCATAGCACTTGGTCTCTGCACAGAGTTCTGGCTTGGTGGCCATCTCTCCAGATTTGGCTCAAATCACAGGCTCTAAGATCAGACCCCCAGAGTTACCCCAGGCAGTGTCCTGCTTTCTAGTGACATAGCCTCAGGCAAGGACCTAGCTCCTTGTGCCTCAGTTTTCCCCAATGTAAACACAGAGGTAGCAATGGTGTCAACTGCAAAGGGTGGCTGTGAAGTGCTTGGCACCATGCCAGGCACACAATGGCTTCCTGATTGTACCAGTCACAAGATTGGTTACTTTCTTGTTGGAAACCAGTTGGGAGGTGGATGCTGGAAGTTGAGGTCACAGAGGTCTATAGAGAGTGAATAAGCCCTTTTTCTCTGGGAGGTTCTTGCACTTGAGTGCCCAGCTGGTCCTCATTGCAGGTTGGGGGAGGGATACAGGGTTGTAGAAGAGCTCCAGAATCGGCCCCAAATAGGTGAGATCAGAGTTCTGCCATTGAAAGGCTTCTTGCCCTCCTTGGGCCATTTCCTCTATTGCAAGATGGGGTGGAGCCACTTGCTCTGCCAGCCTGACAGGGGAGTTAGCAGGGCCAGAAAAGGAGTTGGAGCTGGGCTTTTGGAAAGGGAAAAGTTGTGTGCATTTCCTGAAAGCTTCTCTCTTCCTTGCTGATAGGTTTTGTACCAGCTGAATCCTGGGGCCTTGGGGGTGAACCTGGTGGTGGAGGAAATGGAAACCAAAGTCAAGCATGTGATAAAGCAGGTAAGAGGCCAAGCCTGTGCATCCCATGCCGGGTGGTTCTGTGACTGTGATTTTCCCCAATACAAGCTCTTCCCATGTTGGAGAAGCTTCCTGATGCGGCAGCTGGATTCCTCGCTGCTGACACTTGCGGAGACTAATCTGGTTGGGGTAGATGTGGGGGTGCGTGAAGCTCTGTCACCTTGATGGGGAAGCAATGCTAATTTTTACTCCAACACCACCACCTCCCACCATTTACGCATCACGTGCTGTATGCCAGGCACTGACTCACTTCATCTCCCGTCAACCCTGTAAAGCAGAAACAATGACCCTGTTTATAGCCAAAGACAGTGAGGCTCAATGCAGCGCCAGACTAGGCAAGGTCACACAATTTCCAAGAGGATTTGAATTCAGGCCACCTCACTGGGGGACACCGTGCTACCCAGTGCTGGGTCACCAGTTTTACCAAAAGGGAGCCAGGCCCAGAGAGGATGGGGACTGGCTCAAGGTCACACAGGGCTAAGGTCACACACCAGGCCCTGAGCCCTTCCACCACACTCCTCACCAGGGCTAGCAGGGCATGGGGAGGTGTAGGCCTGCAGGAAGACAGCCCTTTGTGTGTCCGAGACAGGGAGGTCCAGATCAACAGAGGGACTAGGGTGAGAAAGCTGCTGCAAGAGTCCCTGGCATGCCCTCCTCTCTGTGGTGGTGGCAGGGACCCAGCAGGTTCAGGGCTGGCCATACAGCGGGAGGAGCCTTGTCAGCAGCTGCTACTGGGCCAGGCCTCAGTCCGTACAGCTCCGCAGTCTCACCCTGTATGGCTGGGCCTGGAGTCCTTGCCCCTGCCCTGCTCCCTTGCTGGCTGGCTGTGGGGTTGGCCCCCTTGTCTCACAAGCCACTGGGGCAGTGTGGCTGACTGCCCTCTGAGCAGTTAAGGAGCTTTTTTTTTTGTTTGGAGATGGAGTCTTGCTCTGTCGCCAAGGCTAGAGTGCAGTGGTGTGATCTCAGCTCACTGCAACCTCTGCCTCCTGGGTTCAAGCAATTTTCCTGCCTCAGCCTCCCAAGTAGCTGGGACTACAGGCACACGCTGCCACGCCCGGCTAATTTTTTGTATTTTAGTAGAGACAGGGTTTCACCGTGTTGCCCAGGCTGGTCTCGAACTCCTGGAACTCCTGAGCTCAGGCAGTCCGCCCGCCTCGGCCTCCCAAAGTGCTGGGATTACAGGCATGAGCCACCGCGTCCGGCCTGAGGAGCTTTTAAAAATGTCAGCCATGACTAGGCATGGTGGCTCATCCCTGTAATCGCAGCATTTTGGGAGGCCGAGGCAGGCAGATCCCTTGAGGTCAGAAGTTTGAGAGCAGCCTGGCCAACATGGTGAAACCCCATCTCTACTAAAAATACAAAAATTAGCTGAGCATGGTGGTGGGTGCCTATAGTCCCAGCTACTTGGGAGCTGACGCGGGAGAATTGCTTGAACCCGGGCGGCGGAGGTTGCAGTGAGTCGAGATTGCGCCACTGCACTCCAGCCTGGGTGACACAGCGAGACTCTGTCTAAATTAATTAATTAATTAATTAAATTAAAAATAAAAATATCACCCAATTATTTCTAAATAAAAATTGGGGAAAGAGAGTGTAGGTAGGAGTTTATGGGTTCTTCCAGTCTTTTTTCCTAAGCGTTTGTAAACTTTTTTGGATTCAGGAGAATGGTATCGTTAAAGTTGATAGCATCCTTTTTATATTGCAAACATAGTTTCATGTCATTCCCACAGCCTCCTCCTCTCTTGGCTCTGGCAACTGTGTGGCCTCCCGTCTTGCTTGATGTGCTGTAACTAACCCAAGCCATCCCTATCACATGGGCTGAGCATTGAGCTTGTTCTCAATTTTTCACTTTGTGTAAACAGCTCTGATAAAGATGCTTATGGCATTATGGTTTTGTTTGTTTTTTTGTTTTGTTTTGTTTTGTTTTGTTTAGCATCCATGATTTCCTTAGGAAAAATTCCTAGGAGTGAGATTTCTGGGTCATACGATGTAACTTTTTTTTTTTTTTTTTTTTTTTTGAGATGGAGTTTTGCTCTTGTTGCCCAGGCTGGAGTACAGTGGTGTGATCTCAGCTCACTGTAACCTCTGCCTCCCGGATTCAAGCGATTTTCCTGCCTCAGCCTTCCTGAGTGGCTGGGATTACAGGCACGTGCCACCACATCCAGCTAATTTTGTATTTTTAGTAGACGGGGTTTCTCCATCAACATGGAGAGGATGGTCAGGCTGGTCTCGAACTCCCGACCTCAGATGATCCGCCTGCCTCGGCCTCCCAAAGTGCTGGGATTACAGGCGTGAGCCACCCCACCCAGCCGCTTTTTTTTTTTTTTTTTGAGACGGAGTCTCACTCTTGTTGCCCAGGCTGGAGTACAATGGCGTGATCTCGGCACACTGCAACCCCCTTCTCCCAGGTTCAAGTGATTCTCCTGCCTCAGCCTCCGAAGTAGCTGGGATTACAGGCATGTGCCACCACGCCCGGCTAATTTTGTATTTTTAGTAGAGACAGGGTTTCTCCATATTGGTCAGGCTGGTCTCGAACTCCCAACCTCAGGTGATCCGCCTGCCTCGGCCTCCCTAAGTGCTGGGATTTCAGGCGTGAGCCACTGTGCCCGGCCACAATGTAACATTTTCAAGTCTTTCCATGTTTTGGCCAACTTCACCTCCTCATATGCCCCCTAGGACAGGAGGAAAGGAAGACAGGAAGGCTCACTCAGTGTCTTTGCCCTGGATTCCACGGGACAGTGCCACTGGCATCTCAGGTCTCTCCATAGATCTGGGAACAATTCACTAACTTTACATGATGGTCTGCATTCACCCCATTATAAGAGTACTTCATTCATAAGTCTTTTGAGCAAAATTCTGGGTGAGGATCTGGTATTAGAGCCAGTGGTAGTATATACCTAGGGCCTGTGCCACCAAGCGTGCTGCAGACTCAAAGCTCCGTGCTGCCCTTGCCACCACCCTTCCCTTTCCATGCCCTCCCCACCTCCACCCGGAGAGGGCACAGGAGAGAAGAGCACTGTACATTCCATGCGTGGAGACAACCTTCCCCATGTGGGTAAGGAATGAAGTGGTGAGATTGATGCTTTCCCAACCAGAACAAGATGTTCCTGTTTAAAGACGGTCTGAAAATGGATCCTTTACTGAGTTCTTGGAGCGTATATTATGCTGTCCTAAACTTATCTTTGCAAAAGGAGCAAAGATGTTCTCATTGCTCTAAGTATTTTTAGATCTCTGCCTTAGGAATATCTTCCATTTGTGCCATATGGTGGGGGCAGGAATGGTGGGAGCCTGTCACTCCTGCTAAATAGTGATGATGGTGGTGATGATGGAGGTGGCAATGATGGTGGTAGTGGTGGTGATGGTGGTGGCAGTGATGATGGTGATGATGATGGTGATGATAATGGTGATGGTGGTGATGGTGTGATGATGGTGATGGTGGTCATGGTGATGGTGTGATGATGGTGATGGTGGTCATGGTGATTATGGTCGTGGTGATGATGTGATGATGGTGGTGGTGGTGTGATGGTGATGATAGTAATGGTGATGGTGGTGATGGTGATGATAATAGTGGGGATGGTGACAGTGGTGTTGATGGTGTGATGGTGGTAATGATGATGGTAATGATGGTGATGATGGTGGTGATGATGGTAATGATGGTGATGATAGTGACGATGGTGACAGTGGCATTGATGGTTTGATGGTGGTGATGGTGTGATGATGGTGGTGGTGTGATGGTGATGGTGGTAATGATGGTGATGATGTTGGTGATGGTGGTGATGATGGGGATAATAGTGGTGGTGGTGACAGTGGTGTTGATGGTGTGATGGTGGTGATGGTGTGATGATGATGGTGGTCGTGGTGTGATGGTGATGGTGGTAATGATGGTGATGAGGTTGGTGATGATGGGGATAATAGTGGTGATGGTGACGGTGGTGTTGATGGTGTGATGGTGGTAATGATAGTGGTGGTGGTGGTGATGGTGTGATGATGGTTAAGGTGGTGATGGTAATGATTTTGATGATGGTGATGATTGTGTGATGATGGTGATGATGGTGTGATGGTGATTTTGGTAATGATGGTGGTGATGGTGATGATAGTGATGATGGTGATGGTGGTGGTGTTGGAGTGATGGTGGTAATGGTGGTGGTGTGATGATGTGATGGTGGTAATGGTGGTGGTGTGATGATGGTGGTGATGGTGATGGTGATGATGGTAATGATGGTGATGGCAGTGATGATGGTAATGATGGTAATGATGGTGATGATATATGATGATGATGGTAATGATGGTGATGATAGTGGTGATGGTGGTGGTGATGGAGTGATGGTGGTAATGGTGGTGGTGTGATGGTGATGATGGTGGTGATGGTGATGATGGTGATGATGGCAGTGATGGTGATGGTGGTGATGAAGGTGGTAATGATGATGTTAATGATGGTGATGATAGTGTTGATGGTGGTGGTGATGGAGTGATGGTGGTAATGGTAGTGGTGGTGGTGTGATGATGGTGATGATGGCAGTGATGGTGATGATGGTGATGGTGATGATGGTGACAGTGATGGTGGTGTTGGTTGTGGTTGTGGTAATGATGGTGATGGTTGTGGTGGAGGTGGTGGCTGTGCAGATGATGGTAATGGTCGTTGTGGTGGTGGTGATGGCGGTGATAACGGAGATGATTTGCTACATGTTTATTAAGCTCATGCTCTTGTGCCCTTGCAGGTGGAATGCATGGATGACCATTACGCCAGTCAGGCCCTGGAGGAGGTAACTCTCAGGGTAGTTTTCCCTCTGGAAGAGCTCAATGGAGCATACACAGACTGTGTTCTGTACCTTCTTGTTGAGTGCCTGGATGAAGAGAAGGCTGGAGGGAGGGATAGAGCATCAGCACCAGTTTTGCCTCAGCTGTGAAGCCAGCAGCCCCAGGTCATGAAGGGAGTCCATGCCCCAAACACTCACTGCTAAATGCAGGTGCCGACAACTTAGAACATATGTTCCCAGAGAACATAAAATTTAAATATTGGGCTGGGCACGGTGGCTCACATTTGTAATCCCACCACTTTGGGAGGCCGAGGCGGGTGGATCACTTGAGGTCAGGAGTTCAAGACCAGCCTAGCCAACATGGGGAAACCCTGTCTCAACCAAAAATACAAAAAAATTAGCTGGGCATGGTGGTGGGCACCTGTAATCCCAGCTACTTCGAGAGGTTGAGGCGGGAGAATCACTTGAACCTGGGAGGCGGAGATTGCAATGAGCCGAGATTGCACCATTGCATTCCACCCTGGGTGACAGAGCAAAACTTTGTCTCAAAAATAAATAAATATTGGCCGGGTCCCTAGGTTAATCTACCAATAACTTCTTTAAATATTTTTTCTTCAATATAAAATTATTAATTACAGCAGAAAATTTTAAAAATACAGAATTGGGTTTTCTTTTGTTTTTACCTTTTTTTTTTTTTCTTTAATAGCAATGGGGTCTCACCATTTTGCCCAGGCTAGTCTGAATTTCTGGGCTCAAGCAATCGTCCCACCTCGGCCTCCAAAGTGCTGGGGTACAGGCATGTACCACCACACCCATACCAGAACTGTTTAACAAAACAAATATAAATTACCCTTAATTCTACCATTGAGAGCTGCCCAGCAGTAACATACTCGTTTACAATAATAGCGATAACAGCTGCACTTCGGTTTGATTGGCAAAGCCTCCGAGTAGCCTTTCTTTGTGTTTCTTGAATTTCCCACGAGCTTGAAGGTGTCCCCTCTTATCTCATGGTCACTTGTTTGTCTTCTGGAATTGCTGGCTCTGGAGCTTGGCCAGCAAACATTATTGGGTGTATAGTGTGACCGAAGCACAGTGGTGGGCCCAGGCTACTCGGTAACAAATGGGAAGAAAGAGCATGGGGCCTGCCCAGAGCCGCACGCCGCCGTGGCTTTTCACGTTGCCGATTCCCATCCACAGCCCACTAGGTAGGCCACCTGCTTTCATGCCCAACCTTCCACCCCAAGCAGTTGTCTGTCTGGCTCCATGTCTCTAAGGCAGCCCTATCTGCTCCTGTTTGGGCATGTTTCAAAGCACTTTCCGCCAGGGCAGGGGCACCGGGACCTCTCCGTGTGCCCACCTCCCGGTGTCTGCACCACCTCCTCCAGCCAGCCCTGGCTGTGGCTGATCCCCACCTTCCTGGCACTGCCTGCCACAGCTCACTCACCCCCCATGGTATCCCTGTGAGGCAGATTCCACTAGGACCCCCATTTTCAGATGACTATATGAGGCCCAGTCACCCAGCACAGCCAGCTCATGCTGGAGACAGGACCCACATCGGACTGCCTGGCTCCCAACCACCGTGCAGCTTCCCTGAGCCCACTCCCTGGCCCAGCTCAGAGCCCGAGGCTTGCATGTTTGTTGGGATGTGTGACAGAGAAGCCCGAGCTGAGAAAGGCGTGGAGAGGCACTGACTTCTCCGTTTCCTCTGCTCTATCCTGGCAGCTGATGCCACTGCTGAAGCTGCGGCACGCCCACATCTCTGTGTACCAGGAGCTGTTCATCACGTGGAATGGGGAGGTGGGTCAGAGCTGACACCTACGGGCTCAGCCGCCACGCAGTGGGCTGCAGGACCAAGCAGACTGAGCCCAGAGCACGCCCACCCCCCACTGTCAGAATAGCTCGTGTGGCAATGGCAGTGACTGTAAACGTGGCCACCCCTGACCTAACACTCACTGGGGCCAGGTACCATGCTGGGGGCTTTCGGTGCATAGTCTCATAGGAGCCCCAAAAACCTCATCGTCAGGAGAGTTTTTTTTTTTTTTGGACAAAGTCTCGCTCTTGTCCCCCAGGCTGGAGTGTAATGGTGTGATCTTGGCTCACTGCAACCTCTGCCTCCCGGGTTCAAGAGATTTTCTTGCCTCAGCCTCCCGAGTAGCCAGGATTACAGGCGCGTGCCATGATGCCCGGCTAATTTTTGTATTTTTAGTAGAGACGGGGTTTCACCATGTTGGCTGGGCTGGTGTTGAACTCCTGACCTTAAGTGATCCGCCCGCCTCGGCCTCCCAAAGTGCTGGGATTAGAGGCGTGAGCCACCACGCCTGACCAGGAGGGGTTCTTAACCCATTTGACAGAAGAAGAAACAGAGGCTAACAGAAACAAGTTGCTCCAGGTTACCCAGCTAGTACGTGGCCAAGCCAGAGGGCCAGGCCAGATGGGCCTGACTCCCGGGCTCTGCACGCAGCCAACGAGCTTGTCCTGGTGAGCCTGTGCCTCTGATGACAGAGTTTTTACTTTCATGGAAGGAGCTAGTTGACCTCCGTCTCCACAGCCACCCGACACCGGTGCCGTCCTGGGCCTGTGCGCCCCTTACTCCTGCAGCCCCTGTGCAGCTTACTGACCAGCACCACATCCGTCATCACGTGCCAGGAGGGCTGCAGGGCAGGAAGTACTGTCCCTGTGCTCCTGATGGGGCCTAGGGCTCCGGTTCAGGAGCTCTCCAAGGCCACACAGCTAGTAAACAGCTGACTGGGGACGGAGACTCAGGTCCAGCAGCCGGGTCCTGTAGGCTGGATGACTTCTTGTCTTTACAAGGAGCCAGGAGCTTTCCAGTCACTTCTGATGGGACTGAGGCAGACAGCGGGAGGCTGAGCAGGCACAAGGGGTGCTGGAGGTAAAGAGAGGCTGAGAAGCCTTCTGCCAGGCGCCAGCCTGCATGAGATGTCCACACTGGTGTTCCCACCTGGGGCCAACAATCCCGGGTCCGAGCAGGAAAGGCCCCTCACACGCTCCCTCTGCTCCAGCGGGTCTTGGGGAGGGGACCTCACTGCATGCACTCCCAAAGATTTTCTGAGCACCCCCTAATGCTCTCAAGGAGGGTGCAGAGAAGCCAAGAGGACATTTCCCTATGGGAGGGAGCACAGAATTGGGGGCCCTGACCTGGTCTGCTGGGGCTCTGGCCAGGGCAGGGTCCTCAGAGGAAATGGGTCTGAGCTGAGCCCTAAAGGGTGCATAGTTATCCCTATGAAGGGGGTGGGTAGTGGTCCAAGCAGAGGGGTCCATGTGTGCAGTGGCCAGGGGACAAGTGCAGCTTTTGGGAAAGTCCAAGTAGCTTGGTGTGGATGGAGTGTGGAGTGGAGGTGGAGCCTGGGAATGGGGAGAGGAGAGAGAGGAAGCTGAAGGTGGGGCAGGAGGGGCTTGTAGCCCCCTCCAGTGGGCAGTGCTCCCACGGCCACTGCAAATGGCAGCTGAGCGCAGGGAGGCCCTGGAGCAGGTGAGCCTGCAGAAGCACCGGGGCCTGGGCGTCCTTTGGCTAAGGGCCTCCTGTCCCAGCAGATCTCTTCTCTGTACCTCTGCCTGGTGATGGAGTTCAATGAGCTCAGCTTCCAGGAGGTCATTGAGGATAAGAGGAAGGCAAAGAAAATCATTGACTCTGAGGTGAGGTCCTTTGGGGCACCAGGCCTGGGGGCCACCTAGACCTGTGACACAGGCCCTGCGGTGCAGGGCAAAGTAACAGCGGGAGGGCAGGCACCATGGAGTCCAGCCTTGTTTTTTTCTTAAATGTGTGCCTCGAGGCATTGCACTCTAGGTAATGTGTGCAGATCTTAAGTGCACAGTTTGATGCACTCACACAACTTCCACCCAGATCAAGACAGAAGGCGTTCCTAACACTAGAAGGTTCCCAGTCGGTGACCATGATTCCAGATTGTTCTGCCGGTCCCTGAAGTTCCTGTAAATGGACTCGTCCGGCATGCTGCCACTCCTGTCTGGTCTCCTTCCCTCAGCCTGCTGTTGTGAGCCCCGCGGTGCTGCTGCATGCACCAGCAAATCATGTGTTCATTGCTTGCTGCCACTCTGCTGCCTGATTGCGCTGCAGGCTGTTTACCTAGTCTCATTTGGGCTGCTTCCAGTTTGGGGCTATTGTGAATAAGGCTGCTATGAGCATTGCTGGAAGACACTCACTTTTCTGGGATGAATACCTAGGAGTGGAATTATTGGGTCGTAGAGTACATGTGTGTAGCTTCAGTGGATGCTCCAAACAGATTTCCGACTTGGTTTGGTTGGCCCCATGTTTACTCTCACAAGTTGTGAGCATTCCCGATCCACATGGAGGCCAGCACTTCATTGTGTCAGTCTTGTTGTTGTTGTTGTTGTTGAGATGGAGTCTCACTCTGTCGCCCAGGCTGGAGTGCAGTGGCACGACCTTGGCTCACTGCAACCTTCGCCTCCCTGTTCAAGCGATTCTCCTGCCTCAGCCTCCCAAGTAGCTGGGACTACAGGTGCCCACCACCACACCCACTAATTTTTGTATTATTAATAGAGACAAGGTTTTGCTATGTTGCCCAGGCTGGTCTCGAACTCCTGACCTCAAGTGATCCACCCGCCTCGGCCTCCCAGAGTGCTGGGATTACAGATGTGAGCCGCCGCGCCTAGCCAGTTCACTTTCTTAATGATGTCTTTTGATGATGGAAAGTCCTAACTGTAATGGAGTTCGCTTTCCCAATGCTGACTCTTATGGTTAGTGCCTTTGGAGTTTAAGAAGCATTTCCTGCTCCAAGATCATGAAGATACTCTCCTCTGTCTTATGGAAGCTTGGTTATTTTTGCCTTCACATTTAGATCTTTCATCTACCCCAGATGAATGCTACCTGCTTTTACCCTGAGAACTGTGTTTGGGGGGACCATGTACCCCTGAGGGGCTCTTCGGGGCACACAGCTCTTCTCTTACCATGGGCCTCAGAGGCAGGCCCGGAGTGAGTTTCAGACTTTGTGAGTGAAGCCCTTCAAAACACGAAATATTCCCAGAAACCCAGTAAGTGCAGCAGACCTACTCTAACTGGGGGCAGTGGGAGGACGCCCACATCCTGCCCCCTCAGCCCCTCTCTGACACCCCAGGGTGGCCCTGAATCCAGGGGCCCTAGGAGCCCAGCTTTAGAATCACCGCGCTGGGTACTCGATGGAGCTTGTCTCTGATGCAGAACACTCCTAGCATTCTCTCTCAGGGCTCTTTTCATTTGAATGACCTAGAGGATTGAGCTCATGTAGGCACTGAAGGCTTCCACCTCTCCCATACCCGCAAGGCCGATCTGCCTTCAGCTCCCAGCAAGTGTGGGGCAGCGCGGGCCACAGAGTAGGGTGCAGGGATGGGGCCCCTGCAGCACCCAGGGTCTCTGGTATGGAGACAGCAGTGTGGAGTCTGGAAACTCAGAGTCCTTCTGGCTGCCGCCGCGGCTTTACCATCTGGAGAGCCACCACGCTGAAGCCTCCTCCACCCTGAGCGCTTGGCTGGCTTCAGGCCTGTCTCAAGATGCAAGGAGAGGATACACCACCATCCTGCTGGCTGCTCTGAGTGTCACCCCCCTGAAAGCAGCACAGGGTGCCCCTCCCATCCTGGCACCCCCTACTTCTCCCCCAGTGGATGCAGAATGTGCTGGGCCAGGTGCTGGACGCGCTGGAATACCTGCACCATTTGGACATCATCCACAGGTAAGTGGGGCCCCTGACCTCTGCGGACTGGCTGGCTGCTTCGGGAGAAAAGGCACTGAGGCCACTCGGGTGCCAGTGCCCGTGGGCAGGATCTGGGGAGAAAGGTGCACCGGGCCAGTGCAGCCAGGATAGGATGGGACCTTACAGAGCTCCTCCCGGGCTTGAAAGAGGCTCTTCCAAGTGGTCTCAAGCCATGTGCACACGCACAGCTGCATGGGGTGTGCGCTAGCCAGGCGGGCTGCTCTAGAGTTCGTGGAAAGGAAGGAGGCAAAAGCCCTGCCAAGAAGAGAGACCGGGTTGCCTGCCGTGGGGCCAGTGTGGGCTGAGTGGGCCCTGCTGAGCCTTTGACCCCCAGCGGCACAACTTTCAGGCTGGAGAATCCATGGTCTGAAGGGGCTGGGAGATGGCTCCAATTCTGAACACCAATATCTTATTTAAAGAGGAAGAGGGAAACTATGCAGCTGGGCGTGGTGGTGCACGCCTGTGGTCCTAGCAACATGGAGGCTGAGATGGGAGGATTGCTTGAAGCCAGGAGCTTGAGGCTGCAGTGAGCTATGATCGTGCCACTGCACTTCAGCCTGGGCAACCCTGACTTAAAACACACACACACACACACACACACACACACACACACACACACACACACACACACACACCACGCAGACCATACGTACAAAGGGAATGCTCACATTCCACATCCAGTGTTCATGTCACTAGACGTCGCACAATGGCCAAAAATCAATCCCCAGGCAAACGTGTAGCTGAGATATCTAAGGAGGTGAATGTGTCAATTAAGGGGCCTCTTCGGAGTGCTGGGTGTGTTCCTACTTGTGGTTGAGGATTTTTCCCCCGATTTAAAATAATTGAGTATATTTCTGTACATAGGAAACAACTGCTTAAAAAGTAGGCTGAGATGGGGCATTTTGTGGAGGAGAGGAGGATGTGGGCTGCTGCTGCAGAACCAGGTGGGGCAGGGAGCAGAGAGTCAGGCTCAGCACACACACTGGTCCCACCTGGGGTTGTGGGTGGTGGCTGCCCAGGTGGCCCCTTGGCATCCAGAGGCAAACCCACCTCTTGGTTTCAGGAATCTCAAACCCTCCAACATCATCCTCATCAGCAGTGACCACTGCAAACTGCAGGACCTGAGTTCCAATGTGCTAATGACAGACAAAGCCAAATGGAATATTCGTGCGGAGGAAGGTGGCAGGGGCTCCCCCAGGTTGTGGGAGAGGGGGTTGGCGCCTAGAATCCAGGCGGCGTTGGCCACTCTGGGTGCTGGAGTGAGGCAACATCAAACAGCTGTTTGCTCAGAAGGTCCCCACAAAGCCCTGGCCTTGTGTAAACTCCAAAGAGACCTCCTTTGGGTTGCAACTGAGCAGGCGTGCCACCACCAGGGCAGAGGCAGGGCCCCACAGACACCCAACATTTGAGAGAAACAAAGTCGTGGTTGTTTGTGGTACCCCAGAAAATGTTGCCTCTCATGGAGGGAAAAGAAAGTGTCAGAAGGAAGGATATGAAAATGCCCAGGACGGAGGGAGGTGGGGGGGGTCAGCCCCCCGCCCGGCCAGCCGCCCCGTCCGGGAGGGAGGTGGGGGGCTCAGCCCCCCCGCCCAGACAGCCGCCCTGTCCGGGAGGGAGGTGGGGGGGTCAGCCCCCCGCCCGGCCAGCCGCCCCGTCAGGGAGGGAGGTGAGGGGCGCCTCTGCCCGGCCGCCCCTACTGGGAAGTGAGGAGCCCCTCTGCCCGGCCGCCACCCCGTCTGGGAGGTGTGCCCAGCAGCTCATTGAGAACGGGCCATGATGGCAATGGCGGTTTTGTGGAATAGAAAAGGGGGAAAGGTGGGGAAAAGATTGAGAAATCGGATGGTTGCTGTGTCTGTGTAGAAAGAAGTAGACATGGGAGACTTTTCATTTTGTTCTGTACTAAGAAAAATTCTTCTGCCTTGGGATCCTGTTGATCTATGACCTTACCCCCAACCCTGTGCTCTCTGAAACATGTGCTGTGTCCACTCAGGGTTAAATGGATTAGGGCGGTGCAAGATGTGCTTTGTTTAACAGATGCTTGAAGGCAGCATGCTCGTTAAGAGTCATCACCACTCCCTAATCTCAAGTACCCAGGGACACAAACACTCTGCCTAGGAAAACCAGAGACCTTTGTTCACTTGTTTATCTGCTGACCTTCCCTCTACTATTGTCCTATGACCCTGCCAAATCCCCCTCTGCGAGAAACACCCAAGAATGATCAATTAAAAAAAAAAAAAAGAAAGAAAATGCCCAGGACGGAGGGTCTGTGGGTGCCAGGCACTGGCTGCGTGTACATCACTGAGTCCTACAACAACCCAGGAGATGAAGGGGTGGGTGGCAAGGGGAGACGAGTTCTCGTTCCTTTGAAAAGATGGCCAGAGAAAGGGGGCTGGAGAGATCAACCACAGAGGAGGAGTCCAGAGTCCCAGGATGGCAGTTGCTGGTTGCACTCTGTCCTTTTTTTTTTTTTTTTTTTTGAGGCGGAGTCTCGCTCTGTCGCCCAGGCTGGAATGCAGTAGCGCAATCTCGGCTCACTGCAAGCTCCGCCTACCGGGTTCACGCCATTCTCCTGCCTCAGCCTCCCGAGTAGCTGGGACTACAGGCGCCTGCCACTGGGCCCAGCTAATTTTTTGTATTTTTTTTAGTAGAGACCGGGTTTCACCATGGTCTCGATCTCCTGACCTCATGATCTGCCCACCTTGGCCTCCCAAAGTGCTGGGATTACAGGCGTGAACCACCGCACCCGGCCACACTCAGTCCTTGGTAGACAGAAGATGAATGAGTAGATGGGTGGGTGTGTGGTTTGGTGGGTGGTAGGATGGATAGGTGGGTGGGTAAGTGGATGGATGATGGGTGGGTGAGTGGATGGATGGATAGGTGGGTGGATAGATGGATGAATAGGTGGGTGGGTGGGTGAGTGGATGGATGGATGGATGAGTGGATGGATGAATGGATGGATGGATGAGTGGATGGATGGATGGATGGGTGGATGGATGGATGGATGGATGGATGGATGGATGGATAGGTGGGTGGGTGAGTGGATGGGTGGGTGGGTGAGTGGATGGGTGAGTAGGTGAGTGGATGAGTGGATGGATGGATGAGTGGATGGATGGATGGATGGATGGATGGATAGGAGGGTGGGTGAGTGGATGGGTGGGTGGGCAGGTGGGTGGGTGAGTGGATGGATGGATGGATGAGTGGATGGATGGATGGATAGGAGGGTGGGTGAGTGGATGGGTGGGTGGGCAGGTGGGTGGGTTAGTGGATTGGATGGATGGATAGGTGGGTGGGTGGGTGGGTCAGTGGATGGATGGATGGATGGATAGATGGGTGGATGAGTGGATGGGTGGGTAGGTGAGTAGATGGATGGATGGGTGGATGGGTGTGTGGTTGCATGGGTGGGTGTATGGGCAGATGGGTGAGTGCATGGGTTGTAGATGGATGGGTGGGTGGGTAGATGGGTGGGTGGGTGCATGTGTGGATGGATGTGTGGGTGGGTGGGCATATGGATGGGTGGGTGGATGAATGAGTGAATGAGTGGGTAGGTGGGTGAGTGGATGGATTGGATGAGTGCATGGATGGATGGATGGATGGATGGATGGATGGATGGTTGGACGGATGGATGAATGGGAGGGTAGGTAAGTGGATGGGTGGGCGGGTGGATGGATAGGTGGGTGGGTCAGTGGATGGATAGATGGGTGGGTGAGTGGATGGATAGGTGGGTGGGTGGGTGGGTCAGTGGATATATGGATGGATAGATGGGTAGGTGAGTAGATGGATGGATGGGTGTGTGGTTAGAGGGATGGGTGTGTGGGTGGATGGGTGAGTGCATGGGTTGTGGATGGATGGTTGGGTGGGTAGATGGATGGGTGGGTGGGTGCATGTGGATGGATGTGTGGGTGGGTAGGTGTATGGATGAATGGATGGATGGGTGAGTGTGTGGGTAGATGGGTGGGTATGTGGATGGATGGGTGGGTGAGTGAGTGAATGGGTGAGTGAGTGAATGAGTGTGTAGGTGGGTGAGTGGATGGGTGGGTGGGTGGATGGATGGATGGATGGGGTGTGCGTGGATGGATGGGTGGACAGACGGGCAGATGGTTGGTTCTATTGGAGGTGTAGATGGCATGCGTCCTTGGAGTCCAGCCCTTTACTGTTGGGCTGGGGAATGGAGGTCCAGAGAAGGAGGGGCTGCCTGAAGCCAACCAGGGACTGATGGACTCAGAGGAGTCTGCTCTTTTGCCTCCCTGTCTGGGGTTCCAGTTGAGAAAGTAGGGCAGAGCAACTGTAACTTTGCCCCCAAGGTCCTGACATTTAGAAGGGGCAAGAAGTTTAGAGGGGTGCACAGTTTCTTGGCACGTGCCTCTTCCAACTCCTTCTACAGCCATCCAGGGCACACAGACACACCACCTATATGGGCCAGCCTGGTGGGCACCCACCAAGATGGACAGCTTCAGTGGCTCCAGATCAACACAAAGCTCCCGCTGATTGGGGCCTCTTCCTCCCCACAGTTAATATTCTCCACCTCTTCTGAGAAGAGGACCTGCAGGGCTTGTGTTTCAAGCTGCTTGCGGGGGGCCACCAAAGGGGATACAGTGCTGGGCAGGGTGACTCTGTCAAGCCCCTGCCCCCAGGGAGCAAAGGACTCAGGGATCCCACCTTGCTTTTACCAACAGACCCCTTTCGTAAGTCCTGGATGGCCCCTGAAGCCCTCAACTTCTCCTTCAGCCAGAAATCAGACATCTGGTCCCTGGGCTGCATCATTCTGGACATGACCAGCTGCTCCTTCATGGATGTGAGCCGCCCTCCCTCCCCCACACCCCACATGCTGTTCCCCACGCGCCCAGGCCTGGGGAAAAGGCTTGGCCTCACCCTGCCTCCCCTCTGCATCCCTTCCCCTGGCTCTCTGCAGGCTGCACAGAGCCCTCTTCTCCACCTGCGAGGGGCCTGCCCTCCTCAGAACCCCTCAGCTTGCAGCACCTGCTGGGCTCTAGCAGGATAATGACAGCAGTGGTAATATTCAGACCATCCCACGCGACCCTCGCAGCAGCCCTCCAGGTGGTGTCACTGACTCTTGATGGAGAAAAGCCAAGTTCAGGTGCCCTTGTGAGCATGAAGGCTGCACGGAGTTGCAAGCAACGGGAACCCAGTGTGGGCCTGAACACACCTGGCTGTCTCATGCACAAGCCCCAGGCTGGTGTGGAGGTGCCTTCTCTCCTCCTGCACATCCTTAGCATGCAGCTCTTTCTCTCATCCCTGCTGGGGCCCCTGCACCATGGCCACAGCCTGTGGGCAGGAAGGAGGGGAGGCAGAGGGCCCCACTGGCCCCGCGAGCACTCCAAGGTCACTCTGGCTGCAGGGAGGCAGGGAAGTCCAGCCTGTCGCTTCCTATCCTCTATATGCAGAAGAGAAAAGTGGGGAAGGCCTGCCATGCCCAAAACAAGGAAGCTCCCCTTCTCCGCAGCACCACCTGCAGGCACCGAGGTCCCCAGAAAGGACAGACACCTGGCTGGACCCAGGTTCCCCATGGTCTCCCAGACCCCCAGACTCCACCTCTGAGAAGCACCTTGCCACTCCCTTCCTTTGAAAGACTCCCAGGGAAATGAGAGCCTTCCCACTTCGGAGGCTGTGTGACATCCTGGAAATTAGCCTGAGCTCCAGCCCCAGCCCAGGCAGTGTGACCCTGGGCATGCTCACACTCTGTGAAATGGGCATGCTGTCTTACTGGCTGGGTCTAGATCAGGGGGCTTTCTTGGCAGGACTCCACCCCGGGAGACAACCCGCTGGCTTCTCTGAAACTCCATTTCTTCTTATGGAAGAGCTTGGGGCCCCTGGGGTCTCTGGGCATTCTTGTAGACGGTGGCCACACCTGGCTCTCCCTGGTCTCCTCCTGGATTTCTTGGTCCCTGGTCGTCCCCTGCCCATGCTGGGACCTAGTTTTCATTTACTTAAGGGAATACACAGAGCTGTCCTCTCTCCGTGCAGGGCACAGAAGCCATGCATCTGCGGAAGTCCCTCCGCCAGAGCCCAGGCAGCCTGAAGGCCGTCCTGAAGACAATGGAGGAGAAGCAGATCCCGGATGTGGAAACCTTCAGGAATCTTCTGCCCTTGATGCTCCAGATCGACCCCTCGGATCGAATAACGATAAAGTGAGCTCAGGGTCGGGGTTTATTTTAACCTGTGGATTTATCTTTCAACATCTCTCCACCCTAATACAAGCACAGCTAGTTGGCTTTGTAACGCCTCAAAGAACTCCATCACAGATGCCCTGATTATCCCTGCACAGCTGGGCTTTGCCCAGTTCTGGCTCTCCCAAACCGTGCTGCGGCGAGTAATCCCGAATGTACGGTGGAGTGAGCAGACTGACCCCCAGGAGGCACAGGAGGCGTAGCCCCCAGGACCCACGACACTTTTAGGGTTCCAGAAAAAAGTTTTCATTCTACATAAAAAAAAAAATTCCTAAAGACAATGGTCACCTTTAAATTTTTCATTCTAACTTACTTTAAAATCAGAAGACAAAAGTAAATACATAACACTGGCCGGGGCGGTGGCTCATGCCTATAATCCCAGCACTTTGGGGGGCTGAGGCGGGTAGATCACTTGAGCTCAGGAGTTCTAGTCTAGCCTGGGTAACATGGCGAAACCCCTGTCTCTACGAAAAATACAAAAAATTAGCTGGGTGTAGTGGTGCATGCCTGTGTTCCCAGCTACTGGGGAGGCTGAGGCAGGAGGATCGCTCGAGCCCGGGAGGCAGAGGTTGTTGCAGTGAGCTGAGATCTCGCCACTGCACTTCAGCCTGGGTGACAGAGTGAGACCCTGTCTCAAAAACAAAACAAAAACATATAACAAAGAATCCAGGCCGGACACGGTGGTTCACACCTGTAATCCCAGCAGTTTGGGAGGCTGAGGTGGGTGGATCACTTGAAGTCAGGTGTTCGAGACCAGCCTGGCCAACAGAGCGAAACCCCGTCTCTACTAAAAATAGAAAAAAAATTAGCTGGGCATGGTGGGGTGCGCCTGTAGTCCCAGCTACTCAGGAGGCTGAGACAGAAGAAATGCTGGAACCCGGGAGGTGGAGGTTGCAGTGAGCCGAGATTGTGCCACTGCACTCCAGCCTAGGTGACAAGAGTGAAACTCCATCTAAAAAAAAACCCAAACAAAACAAAACAAAAAACCCAACATATAGCAAGGAATCCAGCCTGGGTCATATTCATCTTTATACCAACGCAGTTGTAAAATCTGGGTTTTCATGTTTCTATGGAGGCAGGGGACAAGAGCAAAAGTGCCAGGGCCCCGGACTGTCCCCCAGCTCTGTGAGCTGAGGCCCTGCCTCCATGGAGTACGTCCCTGGGTGTGGAATTGCTGGGGTGCTTGCCGGACACACTGGGGACACTATGAGAGACCCTGCCAAATGAATCCCAAAACAGGGAGTTCAGTGTCCAGTGTCCGCACCAATGGGCAGCCCGGAGCCAGAGGCAGAGGGAGAGCCCCACGGGGAGGTGGCAGGGGGCGCTGCTGGGTTACTCAGCCCTCTCTGCTCCTCTGCTAGGGACGTGGTGCACATCACCTTCTTGAGAGGCTCCTTCAAGTCCTCGTGCGTCTCTCTGACCCTGCACCGGCAGATGGTGCCTGCGTCCATCACCGACATGCTGTTAGAAGGCAACGTGGCCAGCATTTTAGGTGATGCTGGGGACACAAAGGGGGAGCGTGCCCTGAAGCTCCTGTCCATGGCCTTGGCATCCTATTGTTTAGTTCCAGAGGGTTCATTATTTATGCCCCTGGCCTTGCTCCACATGCACGACCAGTGGGTAGGAACAGTTTCCCTCCATCCATCCCTACACACTGCCCAGGACACCGCTCTGCTCAAATATCCTCCATAGCTCCCAACTACCTATAACACAAAGTTCCTCTCCATAGCCTGGCCCCCACCTGTTTTCCCTCCGCTCCTGCTACACAAATCCTCTATGTAGCTCAATGGCCTAGTCACTGCCCACGCCTCCCACAACCCTCTGCTTTTGCTTCCACAGCCTGGGTGGCACACAGTGGTCCCAGGACATCTTCCTCACACAGCACCACTTCCTTCCTGCGTGCTTCTATGTGCCCAGGATGAGCAGAAGTGCGCTCCATCATCTGTGTGCTCCAAGACAGAGACTTGGGTTCTATTAAGGAAAAGTTGCTTGGTCTCAGTGGCCTCATCTGTAAAGTGGGGATGGTAACAGCCCCTCCCTCTCATCCTGAACCTGTGGATCTGAGGAGGGGATGCACACACAGCAGCCAGCCCAGTGTGGTGCCGAGAAACAGAGCCCCGAGGCCCTGGTCCTCAGAAAGGTCCCTCCCCTGCCTTCCTGTCCCTGCAGAGGTCATGCAGAAATTCTCTGGCTGGCCCGAAGTCCAGCTCAGGGCCATGAAGAGGCTTCTGAAAATGCCTGCAGATCAGCTAGGTAGGCCCCACCCTGCACCCCTTTCCCAGCTGCTCCCCTAGGGGCAGAAGCTATGGTCCGGCCTGTGGGGAGCTGAGGCTGGCCCTCACCCCGGGCTCTCCTCGCCAGTGCTTTATTGCAGCGTGGAGGCGTGCATGTGTCCCCAGAAGAGTCCCGTGTCTCTGCTATCTGCCTGGGGAAGACAGCAGAGAAGGGGAATGGGTGGTGTGGCAGCCCTCACATGATTTTAATGGAGCCACAGACATCCCATCTTCCCCACTGTCCCTATGAGGGGTATCTGAGTTGTTTCTCAGTTTCCACTATTATGAATGATACTAGAACGGACACCCTGGTGTGTATGTATCTGTGCACTTGTTTCCGTAGCACAGATTCCTAGATGTTCAAGAGTGTGAATACTTTAACTTTTCACAGATACAACTTGCCCACCTATTAAGAATGCATGGCCTGGCGCAGTAGCTCACGCCTGTAATCCTAGCACCTTGAGAAGCCAAGGCGGGAGGACTGCTTGAGCCCAGGGATTTGAGACCAGCCTGGGCAACAAAGGGAGAGCCCATTTCTACAAAAAATAAAAAAATTAGCCAGGTGTGGTGACACATGTCTGTTATCCTAGCTACTCAGGAGGCTGAGGCAGGAGGATTGCTTGAGCCCAGGGAATTGAGGCTATAGTGAGCTACGCTTGCACCACCGCACTCCAGCCTAGAAGACCCTGTCTCAGAAAACAAAACCAAACCCAAAAAGATTGTTACTGCTCATTCATGGAGAGTGTTGGGAAAAGCAGTTTTTTTTTGTTTTTGTTTGTTTGTTTGTTTGTTTTTGAGACAGGGTCTCGCTCTGTCCCCCAGGCTGGAGTGCAGTGGTGCGATCTTGGCTCACTGCAACCTCCGCCTCCTGGGTTCAAGTGATTCTCCTGCTTCAGCCTCCCAAGTAGCTGGGACTACAGGTGTGTGCCACCACACCCAGCTAATTTTTCGTATTTTTATTAGAGAGGGGGTTTCACCATGTTGGCCAGGCTGGTCTCAAACGCCTGATCTCAAGTGATCTGCCTGTCTTGGCTTTCCAAAGTGTTGGGATTACAGGCGTGAGACACCGTGCTCGGCCAATTTTTAAAACATTTGTGCCAAAACATGCTTTCATAAAATCTTTCCATTCAACCTTTTTCACCTGCCTGAACATTACCTTCACATATCCATCCATCCACCCATCCACCCATCCATCCGTCTGTCTATCCATCAGACCTGGATTAGGAATCCACTGAGGTTTGTTGCAGTGGCTCGGGCCTCAGAGGTGACAAGGCCCAGCCCTGGCCTTTGAGTAGGTAGCAGAGGCCTCATATGGGCCTAATTTACCATTCCCTCCCTCCCCTCCTCCTCTTCGACCCCTTTTGTAGCTCAGCTGTGACCAGGACAGAGTCCCTGGGAAGAGAGACTTTGCCTCCCTGGGGAAACTAGGGAAGCTGTTGGGCCCCATCCCAAAGGGTAGGTCTTTCCCACCACCCGGAGCCACACCTCCCTCCACGCCTTGCTTAGAAATGGGCTTGCAGCCCAGCGCAGTGGCTCATGCCTGTAATCCCAGCACTTTGGGAGGGGCTGAGGTGGGCAGATCACTTGAGATCAGGAGTTCAAGACCAGCCTGGCCAGACATGGTGAAACCCTGTCTCTACTAAAAATACAAAAATTAGCCAGACGTGGTGGCGCATGCCTGTAATCTCAGCTACGCAGGAGGCTGAGGCAGGAGAATCGCTTGAACCCAGGAGGCGGAGGTTGCAGTGAGCTGAGATGATGCCACTGCACAACGGCCTAGGCGACAGAGTGAGACTCTGTTTCAAAAAAAAAAAAAAAAGAGGGGGGGGTCTTGCTTCGCTCCACACTCCAGGTGCCAGGACTTCATCCTTGTTGCTCTCATGAGCCTAGAGTGGAGGGATGGCTGCCTGGCCACTGCCCCTCACCCAGTCCCCAGCCCACAACAGTTTCTGGCACAGTGGCAGGGTGGATGGAGCCCACCCACCCATGTCCACCCTCAGGGCAGTTGCAGCCAAGGGCTCTGGAATAGACTGGCTAGGTTCAAACTGCTGAAGAGCAGGTGCTTTCATCCTGCTGACCCCAGGTTCCTCATCTGCATATGGAGGGCAGCCTTGGGAGGGGCCACTTCACAGGGCTGTGGGCAGCACAGAGCAGGACACCCGTGGCAGACATGGCATGCACTCCATGGACCTAGCGCTAATCCTCATTGTCCTTCCCCCTTCTATTCACCCACCTAGGGCCCTGCAGGCTCCTACCAGCCTCTGGGGGCCCTGGTCGGGTCTATATGCCCCCGATCTGGCCCAAAATGAGTCTCCCCTGTGCCGCCCGCCCTGCCAGGTCTGCCGTGGCCCCCGGAGCTGGTGGAGGTGGTGGTCACGACCATGGAGCTACATGACAGGGTCCTCGATGTCCAGCTGTGTGCCTGCTCCCTGCTGCTGCACCTCCTGGGCCAAGGTGGGTGCCAAACCAGGCCAGATGGGGTCGGGGAGGCTGTGCGCTGCTTCCTGCAGCTGTGCCTCCTGGGCCAAGGTGGGCACCGGGCCGGGTGGGTTAGGGGAAGCCATGCCCTGCTCCCTGCTGCTGCACCTTCTAGGCCATCTTCTAGGCCAAGGTGGATGCCAGGGCCAGGCCAGGAGACACTCCTGGTGGCCTAGCTCTGCCCCCACCACCTGGTTGGCATCTAACCACTGGAGAGTCCATGCCATCCTGTGCCCATCAGACCCCATCCTGGATGGCAGAGAGGGCACAGGCCAGGAGCTTGGAGACGCGGATCCCACCCAGGCCTGCCTTTTGCCTGCTCCGTGGCCCTGGACAAGTTCCTGATGATCCTGCCAGTTTTCCCAGCTATGAAGCGAGGAGCTGGACACGAGGTCCTCTGGAGTGACCCTCAGGGAGGATGGGTTGTGTCCTCTGAAGAGGGCTGGTAGGAGGGCAGTGCTGAGTTCATTTCACTGTCCTGATGGAAGAGGTTGGAGCTGAGAGATTGAGCCTCCTATGAGAGACATGGGTTGTTAAAAGAGTTGAATTAGCTTTGATGATTTTTTTTGAAACAAAAAGTATTTAGTTACTTTTTTTTTTTTTTTTGAGATGGAGTTTTGCTCGTCACCCAGGCGAGTGCAGTGGCGCACTCTCGGCTCAATGCAACCTCCACCTCCCAGGTTCAAGCGATTCTCCTGCCTCAGCCTCCTGAATAGCTGGGACTACAGGCACCCACCACCACGCCTGGCTAATTTTTGTATTTTTAGTAGAGACGGGTTTCACCATGTTAGTCAGGCTGGTCTTGAACTCCTGACATCGTGATCCACCCGCCTCAGCCTCCCAAAGTGCTGGGATTATAGGCATGAGCCACCGCGCGCGGCCACCTTTCTAGTTTCACTGTTGGAAGTTTGGAGTTCCATGCAATGTTGAAATTGTGTTCAGTGCTGCCTGACTGGCTCCCAGGGACCAGGATGCGTGGCCTGGCCGGGCAGGGCTCCCTTCCGGTCCTTCACTCCATTAGGCCACAGGGATTCATGGAGGCCTGCTCTGGGTCAGAACAAGGCAGACCTCGGTTTCCTTCATGCAAAGTGGAGATGCTATCCCCCAGCCTGTGAGCCTTGTGTGTCTGGCCCCATGCCTGAGCTGTGGGGCTAACCCCAGGCGTCTTCCTCTGGCTTGAGCAGCGCTGGTGCACCACCCGGAAGCCAAGGCTCCCTGCAACCAAGCCATCACCTCCACCCTGCTGAGTGCTCTTCAGAGCCACCCCGAGGAGGAGCCACTTCTTGTCATGGTCTACAGCCTGCTAGCCATCACCACAACCCAGGGTGTGTCTGCCAGCCACCTCCTGCCCCACCCACGCTCCAGGACAGCCCTTCCCAGGGGTCTTGGAAGGGTTGGTTTGGGGTATAGGTGGGTTGGACAGGACAGTGCTGGGCCTCCTCCTGAGATACATGGTGGCATTTGGCCGTCTTCATTTGGCCACCCCAAATGCTGGTCGCATCCTTTTCCATCTTGATGACAAGCTTCCACTCTTGAAGTCACTGGTTCCCTCTACAGACATGCTAGGCGCAGCTGTGGGCTTCACACCAATGACATCTCTTTCCCACACTTCCTGCCCCTTCTGGGAGGCTGGGGCTCAAATGCCCTGTGTGTCTCCATTCCATAGGGCCCAGTGGGCTTCCGAAGCCTCCAGCCAGGACTGTGGGAAGGAGAGGGCCATACAGAGCGCTCACACCTTCACCCACAAATCGGGTGGGCACTGTTCTCCCCAACAGGAAGCTGGGCCTCGAGAGAGCCTAAGGACAGTTGCCAGGAGTCCATGCAGCAGGGTTCAGGGCTGGGGTCTGGGCCCCAGCACCCTCTTTACTGCACAGACTGGATAACTGATGATACATGGCTGATCTCACTTTGGGGAGTGAAAGGAGGCACTAGGAATAGATGTCAACTGGAACCCTCAGGCAAAATGGATGTCAGTTCATCCTACCGGGATAGGGCCCCGTCATGGTTCCATCCTGGAAGGCACAGGCTGGCTCTGTGAGCCCAGGAGGCAGGGTCAGGCCCCCTGGATGGGAAGCTACAGAGGTCAGACCCAGCCTGGTAGTGGGATGGCAGCTATTGGGACTGGTGGCCCACGAGATGGACAGACTCCTCTGGGGCCAGTCCCACATCCTCCTGTTCAGGGCTCCATTGAGTGCACACGACTTGGCCCAGAGCAGGCACCTAGGATTGCAGGTCAAATGGGACTGCAGTGCCCAAGGACAACAGAGGCAGGAAGGCTTCCTGGAGGGAGGGGCCCTGGGGCCCTCATTCTGGCTCACCCACAGAGTCAGAGTCACTGTCAGAGGAGCTGCAGAATGCTGGGCTGCTGGAGCACATCCTGGAGCACCTCAACAGCTCCCTCGAAAGCAGGGACGTCTGCGCCAGCGGCCTGGGCCTGCTCTGGGCCCTCCTGCTGGACGGTGAGGGGCCCTCCTCCTGCTGTCCCACCGGGGCTGGCAGCCCTCCCCCAGCCCCTCCCTAACTGCCCCTGAGAGCCTTCGAGGACCTCCATGTCCTGTCCCTAAAACACAACAGCCATAGTCCGGGAAAGGCTCTTCTGAGAGCTTCCAACTCCAACAGAAGAAAATCAAGGAGCAGAGAGAGAAAAGGCAGGGGAGAAAGGCCTTCTGGCAGAGGCCGGGTTTCAGGACTTCTTGCCCAGTGGGCAGACCCCTCAGTTTTAAGTGCCTCCTGCCCAGGGAAATGTCCTGGGATTTTCCGGGCAGTCCTGGTTCCAGAGGGCAGCGGTGGTGTGGTGCTGGATGCCCTGTTTGTTTTGATTTTTGATTCACAGTAGGGGGCCCCCTGGCCTGTGCTGCTTCCTCTCCTCTAGACCCCATCTTGGCACTCCAGCGCCCCAGGAAAAAGAGAGCTCCAAACCACGGAAAGCCCGGGAAACCCAAGAACCCTGCCAGCACCCAAAGTGTGGGATTCTCCAAGCCTCTCCTGGGCTAACCCCTGCACCCGTCTCTGAGGACAGTTGACCTTTCCCACCCCATTTCTGCTGTTGTCGTTAGCTGGAGGAAGGCAGCAGATGGGGGATGGGAAGGCCCCCCTGCACACACCCAAGGCCTGGGTGTCCCCTTCCATCCCTGTCCTCGTTCCAGGTATCATTGTGAACAAGGCCCCCTTGGAGAAGGTCCCGGACCTCATCAGCCAGGTGTTGGCCACCTACCCTGCGGATGGGGAAATGGCAGAAGCCAGCTGCGGAGTCTTCTGGCTGCTGTCCCTGCTGGGTGAGCTGGGTGGGCGCCCTGGGCCCCTGGGGCTGGGAGGGGTGGGCCTCATGGCACAGCAGGCACAAGGCAGCCCGGCCCCTTTCTGCAGGCTGCATCAAGGAGCAGCAGTTTGAACAAGTGGTGGCGCTGCTCCTGCAAAGCATCCGGCTGTGCCAGGACAGAGCCCTGCTGGTGAACAATGCCTACCGGGGACTGGCCAGCCTGGTGAAGGTGTCAGGTGAGCCTGGGGACAGGACGAGGCTGCCACCTAGAGGTGGGGGCAAGAATCAGCCCCCATCAGTTACATCTGCCAGGTGCCACAAACCAAAAAACAGAAGCAACAAATCAAAAAGGAAAAGAAATTAAAAACGATCTGAAGTCCAGTCATCCAGAAATCACCATCAAGACTTTCACGCACACTTGATAAACTCTTGTCTCTGCGTTATGCTACCCTGTGACCCTCTCTCTGTCCATAAACACATCACATCTGCACAGGTTTCCTAACATGCAGGCACACCGTGACTGATCAAAACAGCTCTGCAAACAGTGTCTCCAATTCCCCACAACACAAACCCTGCCTGTTACTCAGCTAGACAGGCTGGGCCCAGCGCTGAGCACAGCACAACCGACGCTCGGCCCACAGCACAGTCCTTCAGAGAGCATCCTGGGCCTGGCCAAGACACTAGCTGGTGCCTGGCAACTCCGGGCTCATGGTCTTGACCTCTGTACTACCTAATCTTCCCCAGAGTGACAACGACCCCTTTGGCTCTGGGGGGGCTGCCTCCTCTGTTCTTGCATGGTCCTGTTCAGGTCATGCCAGCCTACTGGTCCGCCCAAGCTGATGGGGCCTCCTGGGTCCCGTCTCTTGTCCTGTCCCAGGCCCCTGTGTGAGCTCTGGGGTCCCATCCCGTCCTGGGCAGAAGGCTCTTCCCTTTCAGGGGAAAGCAGGGAATGAACCCACTCCCACCCATCCCCCAGAGCTGGCGGCCTTCAAGGTGGTGGTGCAGGAGGAGGGCGGCAGTGGCCTCAGCCTCATCAAGGAGACCTACCAGCTCCACAGGGACGACCCGGAGGTGGTGGAGAACGTGGGCATGCTGCTGGTCCACCTGGCTTCCTATGGTGAGAACCCCTTCTCACCTCACACTCCCTAGAGCCCAGCGGTCAGGGGTGCCCCGCTCCCCCTATAACTGACAGGGAAGGAGCACATGGAAGGTGGGCTCAACCCCACTTCTCGGCCCACTTAAACTTCCCACTCATTTGGCATCTTCTGAGCACCAGGGGTTGTCCTGGCTGAGGGTGACGCTTGGGGCTCCGGAACTGCAAGGTGGCTCTGTGCATGCCAAGCCCAAGGGGGAATGTGACCCACTCTCATCCTTCTGGGGCTTCTGGCAAGGGGCACAGGAAGGACTCTGGCCTCAGGACCTTCCTGCTCCACCTGCAGAGGAGATCCTGCCGGAGCTGGTGTCCAGTAGTATGAAGGCCCTGCTCCAGGAGATCAAGGAGCGCTTCACCTCCAGCCTGGTGAGTGACAGCAGCGCCTTCAGCAAACCAGGCCTCCCTCCAGGTGGAAGCCCCCAGCTGGGGTGCACCACGTCTGGGGGACTGGAATAGATGTTTGTATGGAACTGACCTTGATCTCCACGTGTATAGTTTTCAAGACTGCTCTCCTGCCTGCCTATTATCCCATCTCTATGACTGGGCCAAAATCAATCTTAAACGGGAGGGGTAATCAGACCTCTCCAAAGAGTTTCCTGTCCATGACTGCTGGATTGAGTCACATGAGTAACTGCTCCTGGACCCGGGGACTGTCCACGAAAACTGACTTGCCTGCTTCCTCCTTCCAGGAACTGGTTTCTTGCGCGGAAAAAGTGCTCTTGAGGCTGGAGGCAGCCACCTCTCCCAGCCCACTGGGTGGGGAAGCAGCTCAGCCCTGATGCGGGGGAGAAGACAGATACCCCACAGGCCCCTCCCTCCACGTGTGCCCTCTCCCTGTCCTTCCTTTCCATGGGCCACTGTTTCCCTTGGGGTGGGGGGAAGGGTCATCCAGCACCAGAATGCGCATCTCACACTCCTCTTAGGTGACTAATAAAGAGGCCCAAGGCCAGTTTCTGCCTTAATCATTTCTGGCAAGAGGCTGTGACTGGCCAGTGGGATACTTAATTCTGCAGTCTCTATAGACCTCGCCCCTGGACAGAGCAGTCCTTCCAGACCATTCTAGATGAGAGTCAACACTGAGCCTCCACAGGCTCCATTCCAAGTAAACATCTGCATTTATTTTAAATCGCATCCTCGGTGTGTCTGCCCCTTTTCTGTCCAGCTGTCAGGTGGCCCAATAACGCCTTGGACTCCGTCCCCTTGTCAGTGCCACTGGCTGTTCCTGGCTCTAGTTCCCAGGGGAGCCTCAAACTGGGGCCTAGCCCAGAAAGCCACCGGCTAGCATCACATAGCTTCTCCAGCTCAAATAGCCCAAGGTTGGCATGTCTGCCGACCTCCAGGAATAACCGCAGTCACCGTGCCCAGGCAACACATCCTCGTGCTATGGGGAGAAGCCTCTGCTGGGTGACCCACCAGCCAACCCTGGGCCAATTTAATTTAGATAAATGCTCAAAGTTCAAACGGCCACAGGAAACCCCTGATGTAACACCTGTTGTGCCGGCCAGCTGTGTCTCAGGAGCTGACTGCAGACACCTGGTCTGGGTCCCTCAAGCCCAGCAGAGCTTGTTATGTCCCCTAACACAAAGGAGGAAAATGTGGCTCCTCGAGAGGAAGGTGCTGAGCACCTCACCCCAGGGTGTCACCGAAGATGGGCAGTGACAGCACCGTATGGACTGGCGGCCCACAGGCCCCAACCTCACCTGGCCCAGGGGGTCAGCAGTCGGTAAAGCGTGGCCAGGCGTGCCCATGGCCGTCCCTGCTCCCCACCCTGACCATCCGGGCCCAAACACACATGGACAGTAAGACCAGGTTTCAGACCACAAAGTCAAGAGGAAGGAGGACCTTCTCAGTAGCACCACGCCACGCCCCTCTGCCATGATTCTGAAAAGGTTTCACCAGAGTTGCCACTCTGGGGAGATGTGATCTGTCCCTGTGACTGGTCACATTGCCTCTGTAGCGGGGCGGCAGCAGCAGCAGGGCAGGACTGCTAGGCGTCGTCACTGCAGTGGTCTGGAGCAGTCAGCAGGGGGCGCCTGTCTCGGGCCATGCTCTCCCACTCCTTCTTCACCATGACGTACAGCCTCATTGCTGCCTGGGCATCCTGAATCTAGACGACATGAAACATCCCAGCAGGTGACGAGGCATAGCCGCAGCCCACAGTCAACCCCACAATGACTGAGCCCTCCCACTAGCCACTCTGCTACAGATGTACTGAGTGAGACATGGACCTGGCCACGAGATGTCACCAGGACGGGGAGGGAGGACACAAGAGAAGCAGAGGGAGCAACGACCTGATGGTCCCCACACTTCTGTGACTCAGACACCCCTCCCAGGAGAAGAAAGGGAAACCCAAAGAGGAGAAGCAACAAACACGCTGCCTTTTTAGGTCTCTGAGTGCAGGGTGATGGCAGGTTGGGTGCTGGGCACAGGGGCACAAGGACCAAGCAGATGGGCAAAAAGGGCCCAAAGCACTGAGGCCACGTTGGCAGGGGGTGACTGCTCCACAGAGGCAGAGCCAGCTGCTCAGCAGGGCCGGGCAGGGCAGGGCTGGAGGGCTGCGGGGGTGGGGGGACCCTTTGTAATTATTTGGCAACTTTTTCTCCAAATAACGAGAATGCAGTACTTTTGTGTTAAGTGTTAAATTCGTTAAATGTGCATATTTAGAATTTAACCAAAATTCCGTAACTCCGCTCTACCATTTTTTTTTTTTGACCAATAGCCTCGTAGGATAAGTAGGTGCCCAAGCCCCACCTCCCCCATGTCTGTGTCAGGTGACTCATGTCTGGTTCCAGGTGGGAAACCGCCCCAAACCCCATGAACTACCCCACAGGACACACTTACTGAACAGTGCTCCGCCTGCTGGACCTGGAGCCCAAGGATCTTCTCTGAAAGTAGTCTCAGAGACGGCCTTCCACTCTGCAAAGGGGGAAGAGGCGGGTGGGGGCCTCTGCAGGCTCGGCCCAAAGAGGGTCACCCCACCAAGCAGGGAGCGGTTGGCTACTGAACCTCACCCAAGCGACCTACAGTTTGCCTCTCAGTGGAGAGGTGCTCATGGCACTTAGGGTGGTAGCCACCAGCTGCCATTTATAGCATGATGGGCTGGTGATACACCCCTATCAGCCAATAAAAGGAGAGGGCCAGGGGAGGAGTCAGCATCCCCATCTCCCATCTTGAGGCCTCCCTGCTTATTTCAAGAGGGACAGCTCTGGCCAGGCATGGTGGTTCACACCTGTAATCTCAGCACTTAGGAGGCCAACGAGGGCAGATCACTTGAACCCAGGAGTTTGAGAATAGCCAGGGCAACACAGCAAGACCCTATCTCTAAAAAAATAAAAATAAAAAAATTAGCCAGGGGTGGTGGCATATGCCTGCAGTCCCAGCTACTTCAGAGGCTAAGGTGGAAGGATTGCCTGAGCCTGGGAGGTGGCAGTTACAGTGAGCCAAGATTATGCCATTGCACTCCAGCCTGGGTGACAGAGCAAGACCCTGTCTAAAAAAAAAAAAAAGGATGAAGAACGGCTCTGCCCTTGGCACCCTCTAGAGCAGATACGACAGTGGTACCAGGCCCTTAGTCAGTGACCCTGTTTCAGAGGTTAGAGTGGAAATAACTTGCCCTCCGTTGCAATCATTTTTAAGGTCAGCAATTAGCAGAACTCTATTTTTAAACATTCCTTCTAGTTTTAAAGGTTAAAAGAAAAAACAAAAACCCTTTAACCAACAAGTCAGCCACCAGTGACCAGAAACAATGAAGTGACCAGCAAAACAGAAATACAGTATCTTGAGTCACACTCATTCTAAGTACCTTTACTTGACTCTTGAAAGGTTTATATTTCTGTGTGTCCCGAATCTTCTTTTTTGGATGATCAAGAAATAGTACCTAGAAAAATAAAATATAATGATAATCATTTTCATTTTTGGTTTGTAGTAGCAGAACCCCCTCCCCCCGCCACCTTTTGCAAGTAACATCTTTGTGTGTGTGTGTGTGTGTGTGTGTGTGTGTGTGTGTGTGTGTGTGTGTGTGACGGAGTCTTGCTCTGTCACCCAGGCTGGAATGCAGTGGCTCAATCTTTGCTGACTGCAACCTCCGACCCCAGGTTTCAAGTGATTCTCCTGCCTCAGCCTCCCGAGTAGCTGGGATTACAAGTGCCCGCCACCATGCCTGGCTAATTTTTGTATTTTTTAGTAGAGACAGGGTTTTGCCATGTTGGCCAGGCTGGTCTCGAACTCCTGACCTCAGGTGATCCACCCGCCTCGGCCTCCCAAAGTGCTGGGATTACAGGTGTGAGCCAACGCGGCTGCCCTGCAAGTAACATCTTGTAGGGAATCCAAGTGTGTCACACACACATGGAAACAAGGCACTGATATGAATTTCAACTCCAGAAGGAAATTTATTGCACTGACTTAAGCTGATGCCCAACAGTCAGAGACAATAAAAACAAAATCTTGAAATCAAGGAAGTAGGAGAAAAACAGTCAACAGTTAACCAGCAACCAACTTATTCCTATATTATACTTGTATTTTGAGTTGGTTCTACACATCAGGAAGTTGCAAATAACACATTTTAACAGCTCATCTTGCAATCTTAGCATGCAATTTTTTGTTTTGTTTTGTTTTTTGATAGGATCTCACTCTGTCACCTGGGCTGCAGTGCTATAGGGTAATCATGGCTCACTGCAGCCTTAACCTCCTGGGCTCAACTGATCCTCCTACCCCAGTCTCCTGAGTAGCTGGGACAACAGGCACACGCCACCACACCTGGCTAATTTTAAAATTTTTTATAGAGATGGGGTCTCCCCTATGTTACTCAGGCTGGTCTCTAACTCCCGGCCTCAAGCAATCCTCCAGCCTCAGCCTCCCAAAAAGCTGCGATTACAGGCATAAGCCACTGTGTCTGGTCCTTAGCATCATCTTCAAGAAAGACTTGAACATGTGCTGCGCAAGGTGCCAGGGATGGAGTCAGAGTCAGGAGGGAAGGACGAGTCCCCACGGCAGCAGTCTCTGAGGGGGTACAGCAGGAGCACACAGAAGACCTTTCTGTGAGGACACTGCCCGGGGGGTTCTCACCTCAGTTTCACCCTCTGTAAACAAGCATGAACACCTCCAGCATCTTCAATGGATTCAAGGGATCTCTACAGTGCCGTCACGGGAGCACCATAGCAAAGGCTGCTGCCTGAACATTAGCATCTCTGTCACTTCCTTCTGAACGGCTTCAAGTTCCTCACCACACCCAAGTGCTTCAAGCCGGTGGGCAGAGGTGACAACTTAAGTGTCTCTCCCATCTAGCAGACTGGCCTCCCCGCTGTTCCCACTGTGTCCTTTAAACCAACATCCAGGCATTTGCCCATAAACTCAAAGTGACCCCCACCCTGTTCTCCTGTAAATACACACGTACTCGCTCTGCCTGACTCTTCATTCCTGCCTCGGGTGACCAGGAGATGGCAGGCTGCCCTCCCCACCCATGACGCCTTCCCTGCCCAGGGTCTGTATATGTCTTTGAACTTGTTTCCCACGGTGGTGGTGTCTGAATTTGCACTTTCCATCTGAAGAACCAGGGGCTGCCCCAGGCGGGATTTTCCTCGGGACGCCAGAAAGAAGGCAAAGGCAAGCTCCCAGGGCCAGGGTGATGGTTAGGCAAGCGTAACCTGAACATGGGCCACAGGGCATCTGCCAGGATAAACTTGTTTCCTGTGGAGGGACCCTGGTCACGGATGGGACAACTGGACATTAGGCCTTCCTCCAGGTAAAAGGGGTATCAGCACCTTCATTTCTCATTAGGGCGGGGTTGCCAGCTGCTCTGGTATGGGTACCCCAGTTTCGCTGGGGGCTCTCAAAACAAGAGCCTGGCATGGCTCCTAAAACACAGTAAGAACTCAGCACGCGGTATCTGATATTATTACCAAAGTATTCCCAACATAGAGCACAAACCCACACATTGTTAAAACTCCCCAACACAGCAAGGGCGTGAGTGTAACACCCACGGAGCAGGGGCAGGCTGAGTCCCCAGGAGAGAGCCCAGTACCTTTAGGTCATTATGCAGAGCGTGCCCCACTAGAATTCTGCCCTTCAGCATCTCTGCCACTTCCTTCTGAACAACTTCAAGCTCTTCTCCTGGAAAATCAACACAAAGAAGCGGTTTTTTGCAACACACACATCACCATCATTCTGTGAGGAGGCAGCCCCGCTCCTACCCCTGGTCAGACCTAAGACAAATGGTCAGGCCTGCAATGCCACTACGGAGGGTGACTCGAAGCCACCACATCCACCCACCCCCCTGGGAGAAGTGCCTTGTGGGCCCCTGGCAGGGGTGGCTGCGAGAACCACCTCTGAGGAGAGGAATAAAGTGCTCCACACAGTCTGCAAAGTCGGCTCATGGCTGGAGGAGAGCATATGTTGAGTGTAGGCACTGAGAAACTTTTAGAGCCGCCTGGCAGCGTGGTTCTGCCTATTCAACCTCATGATTTACTTGACAATTTCCCAAATGGAAATAAAAACAAAACTGCCCCCACAAAAATGGGTAGAGATGTGTTGCCCTAGGCCCTGGGCTCCAGAGGCAGCCTTGCCTGCTTCTGGGGACCACCCCACCACCAACCCCACTTGTACCCCCCGAACAGGGGTGATTAGACCAAGGGTGGCCCGAGCCAAGTGGGACCAGCTAATTTTTTAAAAATATTTTTTAGAAGGCCAGGTGCAGTGGGTCATGCCTGTAATTCCAGCACTTTGGGAGGCGGAGGCAGGCGGATCACCTGAGTTCGGGAGTTCAAGACCAGCCTGACCAATGTGGAGAAACCCTGTCTCTACTTAAAATACAAAATTAGTCGGGTGTGGTGGCATATGCCTGTAATCCCAGCTACTCGGGAGGCTGAGGCAGGAGAATCGCTTGAACCCAGGAGGCGGAGGTTGCAGTGAGCCCAGATTGTGCCATTGCACTTCAGCCTGGGCAACAAGAGCAAAACTCCATCTCAAAAAAAAATAATAATTTTTTTTAGAAATGAGGTCTCGCTATGTTGTCCAGGCTGGACTTGAACTCCTGGGTTCAAGCAATCCTCCCTCCTCAGCCTCCTGAGTAGCTGGGACTACAGGCATGAGCCACCGTGCCCAGCTACTGGCCTGGTCTTGAAGTCAGCGGACAGGAGGCAATGAAGTGCAAGGCATAAATGGGTGTAAAGCCGTCTAAGGATGCCTTTTGTATTTTAAAACCCATCGCCCCAAAAGGAGACAAGACGCATCAAAACCAGCTGCAGTGAGTGGTCTCAGACAGAAAAGGGAACAAAAGGGAGAAAACGAATCCAGTTACTACTTTCCCTTCTAAGTTCCTGAGCTGTGGATGACATACCCTGCTTGAGGTTCTCAGGCCGAATCCCACTGACCGCTGTCCTATAGTCCGTCACGGGCTCGGTTGGTTTGACGTACTTGTCATAAACGCACTTCCCATACTGGTTCACGATGGACACACGGGCGGCCATGCTCTCCTCCCCCTTAGGGCCCACGCCCACCATCTCACAGTCCAAGGCTAAGGCTCTTGTCAGGCTGAAGGGTAACCAAAGGCTGTAGTTTAATAAACACGGCAGGCCACAGGGCTCCAGGTCAGAGCCCCAGGGATCCATGGACTAAGTGTCAGCAGAGAAAAGCTCTCTGCCCCTCACTCATTTGCACCCACGTGACAAGCTCTGTGTGGTCCTGGTTCTTAGCAGGACCCTGGGAGGTGCTTGCCTCATTCACCTCAGGGAGAGGAAAGCATCCTCTTCCTTGAAGAAGCCCCGCCCTCCACGGCTAAGCATCCCCAGCAGACCCCACTCCCTGAGACCAGCGTACCCGCCGAAGGCCTGCTCTTTCACGAGGCTGAGGCTGACGCTGCCCTCGCTCTGACCCAACTGTTTCCTCGCTATCTTGGCCGCCTCTGGACCTATGGCAGCTTCGATATCCGCTGGGTCCACGTCGTCAAACCAGATGTCTTCCCTAAAAGGCAAAGATAACAGGCTGATCACCAGAAGACCCTAGTGCAACTGGTGGGGTGGGGCTGTGGGGCTGACTGTGCAGGTGAGTGGAGCGATGGCACAGCCTGCCTCTCCCACAGGCTGGCCCCAGACACCCCGACTGCTGGCCCTGCTGCTTCTGCTATTTTGATCATCTTGGCATTTTCCTTTTTTTTTTGAGATGGAGTCTCACTGGGTCACCCAACCTGGAGTGCAGTGGCATGATCTTGGCTCACTGCAACCTTTGCCTCCCAGGTTCAAGTGATTCTCTTGTCTCAGCCTCCCTAGTAGCTGGGATTTTACAGGCGCCCACTGCCACGCCTGGCTAATTTTTTGTATTTTCAGTAGATACGGGGTTTCGTCATGTTGGCCAGGCTGGTCTTGAACTCCTGACCTCAAGTGATCCACCTGCCTCGGCCTCCCAAAGAGCTGGGATTACAGGTGTGAGTCACAGCACCTGGCCTCATCTCTTTTCTTTTTAATTAGAAAATACACTCATTATTCAAGATTTAGGAACACAGACAAACACAAAGAATATAAAACAGAAACACATAACCCACCACCCAAGTGTAATGAGTGCTAACATTTTAATTATGAAGGTAACACGTTCATTATTGAACACTTAGGAAACAGACAGACAGAATGCCTGTAAGATGGAAACACAGAACCCCTTGCCCTCCGTACTAGGAAGCTCACACAGGCACGTAACACCTGCCTGGGGAATCTGTCTCTTGGGCTAAGGTTAAATGTCATTTCCTTAGAAAAGCCATTCCTGGCCCCACTGAATGGACACGTCCCTCTTGTTCCAGGCGCCCAATACCTTCTCCTCACTAGATTTATCCTGACCACACTTAATCAACAGCTGCAGTTTACAGTCTGTCTACTGCACTTGACAATAAGCCTCAAGAGGGAGGAGCAGGCCCACCTCACTGAACTCTATCCCAGACAGCCTGCCTAGCACAACACAGGGAGGCCCCCAAATGGCTCATTCCTCAGCCATCAGCGACTGTGTCCTGAACACCCAGGCAACATGAAGCCAGCTGTAACTTATGAACACGTCACCTCCAGCTGAACCATTCAGAGAAGGCCACTGACTCCCGGTCCACCCCACGTGGGTGGCCAGCACAGGGTTTATTCTTTTCACTTGTTTTTTTGAGAGTCTTGCTCCGTCACCCAGGCTGGAGGCAGTAGTGCAATCACAGCTCACTGCAGCCTCAACCTCCTGGGATCAAGTGATCCTCCCACCTTGGCCTCCCAAGGAGCTGGGATCACAGGCAACAGCCACCACACCTGGCTCCATCACAGGGTTGAAGTAATCACCAGGCACTGAGCCAAGAGTGCCAACCTCACAATCTCCTTATGATGCCACCATGACTACCACAAGGCACAGAGGACGTCAGAAACTTGCCCCAAACCACCCAACTGGCGAGAAGCAGGGACAGGCCTCATACTTGGGTCTTTCTGGCTTCAGCACGCTTTCCTTCCACACACGTGTACTGGCACCCACTAAATGCTGAGCTCTGCTCAACGCTCGGAAGAAGCAGGCCCTGCCTTATCATGCGCACACTCTAGGGGAAAACAAGTAACAGCGAGTAAACAAAGGAACAGACGACATCAGGGTAAAGTGATGGAGAGACTGCGGTGAGGCCACCAGCCTCCATAAGGAGACAGGCCTTGGTGAAGTCGCTGTGCCTCGGTTCTCAGTGGTGAGGTGGCCCATACTTACTCGGTGGGTGGGGCTGGGGCTGCCTCCTTAGCTTTCCGCTTCTTATGCTCGATGTCCCCTCGTTCTGGAACAATATCACCATTTGTCCTTTCCTTGGTTCCTTTCTTATTGTGCTCTGTTCCACTGGCCTTGGTGCGAGGTACTGGCGCCCTCCTGTCCATCTTGGAACCTGAAGGAACAGAGCCCCTGCTGGCCTCCTGGTCTTTTCCTGCCGGCATCTCCTCTCCCTTCACTTGAGGCGAGGTCTCTTTTTTGTTTTGCTGGATAATTTTGGGCTTCTTTTTGGAACCCATCTGAGAGATGACAAGAGGCTTTTCTGGGGCCTGAGATTTTTGTTTCAGCAGCCACTGGGACCCAAAATAAAATACATGCTGCATTTGAATTTGGAAATTACACACAGCAGATTGAAAAAACTTACGTGTGTATGTATATACACACATATACACCAAACACATCTATACAATTCCCATCCGCATCACTGAAATTCATTTTCAAACGGTTTGGAAAAAGCTCTTTTTCATTCTCATGGGTCACTTGTGGTGAAATGCTGTTTCTTTGCTTATCTTATTATAATGCATTTTGCACCTGCTCCTTCATGCATACAAAATGTCAAACTCATTCTACACCTTGGGTACCTGTTGAGTGGCTGGACACCACAGACCACTTCCCTTTTCAGCTTATCTAGAAAGAATTTTGGAGTTAACTTCCCTCACAGCTTGGGCCAACATCCTGCTACACAGAAATCGCTTTTTTTTTTTTTACAAGATTCCCTGGTTTGCTACTGCTGTGAAGATCTCAGGAAGGTGGGGGGTGTCATAAATGAAAAGAAAAGCTTCTGTCAAACTGGAGTGGCTGAAGAACTGCTAGCAGCCACACACCTTGGCTGTCACCCAAGCAGAGGCTCCTGTAGTCTTAGAGCCCAGCTTCCTCCCTGTGTTCAAATCCCCAGTGGGAGTGGGCGCCACCACAGTGCGATGATGAGGCGGGTGCTACTTACCTGTTCTGTGATAGGTAAAGAACTGAAGGGCTGACTTTCTTGGATGAATTAGAAAACACTCCAAAGTTTCCCTATAGCACACATCCCTTCCATTCACTTATTTTGCTTTTCTTTCTTGGGAGAAGGAAGAAGAGTTGGTGTTCAAGAAATCCCACAGAACCCTGGGGCTGCCCACGGGAATTTGACTGGTCCTGTGTGTTAAGACAGGAATGTCTGCACTGAGATACTGTGCAGAGTATTAGGAGGTTCAAGAAGCGCTCGGGGAGGCTGAGGTGGGAGGATTGCTTGAGGTCAGGAGTTGAAGACCAGCCTGGGCAACAAAGTGAAACCCCATCTGTATTAGTTCATTGTGCACTGCTATAAAGGAATACCTGTGTTTGGTAATTTATAAAGAAAAAACGTTTATGTAGCTCATGGTTTTGCAGGTTGTACAAGAAGCATGGTGCCAGCATCTGCTTCTGGTGAGGCCGAAGGAAGCTTCCCATCATGGTGTAAGGTGAAGGGGGAGCAGGTGTGTTGCGTGGTGAGAGAGCAAGCAAAAAAGGTGCTAGGCTCTTTTTAAACAACCAGCTCTCAAATGAACCAGCAGAGTGAGAACTTACTCGTTACTGAGGGGAGGGCACCAAGTCATTCATGAGGGATCTACCCCCATGACCCAATACCTCCTATGGGCCCCATCTCCACCACTGGGGATCACATTTCTTTTTTAAAAAAACTACTTTTTACTTTTATTTAGAGATGGAATCTCACCATGTTGCCCAGGCTGGACTTGAACTCCTGAGCTCAAGTGATCCTCCTGCCTGGGCCTCCCAAAGTGCTGGGATTACACGTGTGGGCTACTCGGGAGGCTGAGGCAGGAGAATCACTGGAGCCCAGGCAGCAGTGAGCTATGATCCTAACAGGAGGTAGCTCCAAGGGAGCTCCAAGGGATGTGGTAAGAATGTATGAGTGACGCACGTGGAAGAGTGTCTAGGAGAGAGCAGGCAACCTCTACAGAAGTGCAGGTCACTAGGGAGACAGCAGGTACAACACAGCCTTAAAAGCATGGACTCCAGAGTCAGCCACCTGGTTCCCAGCCGCAATCTTAGATGATCTATTTAAACTTTTCCAGCCTATTTCCTCATCTGTACAATAGCGATGATGGAAGTGTCCACCTCACAGTCTTATTGTGGGGATTGCAACACGCATGGCATAGAGCACATGGCAGAGTGCACATTTTTAGGAGCTCAATTAGTATTTACTTCAAGACCGTAAGTGTCGCTAGAACCCCATCACATGTCTGCTATCTGCTTTTCACTTCTACACAGGAATCTTCTTTCTCCCTGTCTTGCTACACAGACCAGTGTGTTCTTTCGTTGTTGTTGTTTGAGATGGAGTCTCGCTCTGTCGCCCAGGCTGGAGTGCAGTGGCGCGATTTCGGCTTACTACTGCCTCTGCCTCCCGGGTTCAAGCGATTCTTCTGCCTCAGGCTCCCCGAGTAGCTGCGACTACCGGCGCGCGCCATCACGCCCGGCTAATATTTTTTGTACTTTTTTAGTAGACACGGGGTTTCACCATGTTGGCCGGGCTGGTCTTGAACTCTTGACCTCAGGGGATCTGCCCGCCTCGGCCTCCCAAAGTGCTGGGATCACAGGCGTGAGGCCCCGCGCCCGGCCTGGTTTCGGGATTTTAAGCTAAATTTCTCTTTGTAAAATCCATTCTAGTTAGTTCATTATGCAAAAGGTACAAGGGTTTATCTTTGCTTTTTTGTACTTGAAATAATTCTTTCATCAATTTCTTTCAAGCAAACAAGTTCGAGACCTCCCTCAACAGGCCACCTTTCTTGTGAAAAGCTGTTTACAAGATTTCGATTCAAATCTGCCTTTACAGGTCTTTTGGGGCTACCCAAGTCTTTCCCTCCGTCGCGTTCTGCGGGAATGAGCTGCGCAGCGCTCCGCCCGGGCCCCCTCAAGCCTCACCTCTTGCAGCGCCTTCCAGTTTTGAGAAAAGTCTTCTGGTGCCTTTGGAGGTCGCACCACAGCACCGGGGCCGCTTGCTGGCTTCTTGCTTACTTCCCGCGCCTTGCTTTTCCAAAACCTTTTTTTCTTCTTGTTTTTCTTCCGAGTGAGCGTCTTGACAGGACCCGGCTTAGCCACGGGGCTGCTCGGGGCGCGCTTGGAGGCGGGGACCTTCGCCTTCCCCATCCTGCTGCCGTCCAGCGCCTGGGCCGGCGGCCACCCGAGACCCCGGCCTCCCCGGGCCCGGCGCCCTGGCAGCACAAGCGCCTGCCCAGGCCAGGCCGAAACACACCCACCGCAGGGACCCCGTCCAGGAAAAGACTCCGGAAGAGACCCCGCACGCGTTGCGCATACCTCAGCACGCACGCTCCAGTCCCCGGAAGCGCTCGTCTCTCCACAACCGGCTGGAAACCGGATCCCTGCCTCTGGTTCCGCGCAGCCTGGGCGGTTCACCCGCACGGGACTTGGGCCGCCGCCTTAGCCAGCGGCATCCGGGGTCATCGACCTCGAGTTTGACTGGGGCAAGCCGAGGACCTCCCCAAGATCCGGGATGGGGATGAGAGATGCGAACGCCGGAAGGGAACTGGGGGGCCGCTGTGTGTGTAGCACCTGGTAGGGCAGCTGAGCTGGGGGCACTGGGCGGTGGGGCTAGTGAGAGCCGGGCTAGGTCGCTCGCCTGCGTCCTGGACTCTCGAGCCTTTCCCGCCTTGGGCTGCTCCTTGCTCAGCCTCACAGCGGCTCATCTTCCACGTACAGTGGGGAAACTGAGGCCCAGGCACCGGGAGGAGTTCCTGCCAGTTCACTCTGTAGCAGGACGAGCCGCAGACAAGAACCCCTCAGACACCGAATTGTAGAAGGAAAGGGCTTTATTTAGTGGGGAGCATCGGCAGACTCACGTCTCCAAAAACCGAGCTCTCTGAGTGAGCAATTCCTGTCCCTTTTAAGGGCTTACAACCCTAAGGGGGTCTGTGTGAGAGGGTCGTGATCGATTGAGCAAGCAGGGGGTACGTGACTGGGGGCTGCATGCACCGGTAATCAGAACGCAACAGAACAGGACAGGGATTTTCACAATGCTTTTCCATACAATGTCTGAAATCTATAGATAACATAACCGGTTAGGTCAAGGATTGATCTTTAACCAGGCCCAGGGCGCGGCGCCGGGCTGTCTGCCTGTGGATTTTATTTCTGCCTTTTAGTTTTTACTTCTTTATTTGGAAGCAGAAATTGGGCATAAGACAATATGAGGGGTGGTCTCCTCCCTTACTTCTGCCGCCTGGGTTCAAGCGATTCTCCTGCCTCAGCCTCCTGAGTAGCTGGGACTATAGGTGCACGCCACCACTCTCTGCCAATTTTTGTATTTTTAGTAGACCTGGGGTTTCGCCACGTTGGCCAGGCTGTCTTGAACTCCTGACCTCCAGTGATCCATCCGCCTCGGCCTCCCAAAGCGCTGGGATTACAGGTGTGAGCCACCGTGCCCGGCCGGGAGTGGGTAGATTTGATGTGCGTGTGTAACAGGCAGAGGTTGATGGAGTAACAGGGAAGTGAGGCTCCTAGGATTTTGGTCTGAGCAATTGGGTGTGGCCATTTATCATCTCAATAAATGTCTGCGGGGAGCAGGGTGAAGTATGGGGGTGGAGCCATGAGCTCCTTTTCACACTTGCTGAGTTTGAACGGGCCGTCAGTCACCAAGGAGAGACGTCTAATCAGCAGCAGGATATAAGATTCCTAAGCTTAGGGAAGGGTCAGTGCTGGAGATGTAATTTGGAAATCGTCAGCACATAATTAGTGTTGAAACATGAACCTGGGTTAGTTCATCCAAAGAGAGAGTACCAATATAGGGAGTGAAGGGTTAAGACCAGATAGCAGGTGCTGGGGGCTCTCCAGGGGCGAAGCAGCAGAGGAGGCTGAGGGGGAGCAGTCAGTGCAGTGGGAGGAGAAGCGGATGTGAGTGGCATCAGAGAATCCAGGGGGAGAATAAACCACATCAGATGCTGCTGAGAGGCTGAGAAGGACGAGGACAGAGAGATGGGAACCAGATATGGCACTGAGATTGTCAGCAAGTCCACCGAAAAGGGTTTTCTTTTTTTTTGTTTGTTTTGAGACGGAGTCTTGCTCTGCTGCCCAGGCTGGAGTGCAGTGGCGTGATATCGGCTCACCACAATCTCCACCTCCCGGGTTCAAGCGATTCTCCTGCCTCAGCCTCCTGGGTAGCTGGAACTACAGGTGCACGCCACCATGCCCAGCTAATTTTTTTTTTTTTTTTGAGACGAAGTTATGCTCTTGTCGCCCAGGCTGGAGTGCAATGGCGCAATCTCGGCTCACCGCAACCTCCACCTCCCGGGTTCAAGTGATTCTTCTGCCTCAGCCTCCCGAGTAGCTGGGATTACAGGCATGTGCCACCACGCCCGGCTAATTTTGTACTTTTAGTAGAGATGGGGTTTCTCCATGTTGGCCAGGCTGGTATGGATCTCCAGACATCAGGTGATCCTCTCGCCTCAGCCTCCCAAAGTGTTGGGATTACAGGCGTGAGCCACCGCACCTAGCCTAATTTTTGTATTTTTGAAAAGAGACGGGGTTTCACTATGCTGGCCAGGCTGATCTCGAACTCCTGACCTCATGATCCGCGTGCCTCGTGATCCACCTGCCTCGGCCTCCCAAAGTGCTGGGATTAAAGGCGTGAGCCACCACACCTGGCCCAGGTTTTCTTTTTAAAAAAGGAAAAAAACTTTGTTCCAGCAGTTTGTAAACCAGGGCAATGCAGCCTTCTGTACAAAGGTGCATTCCAGGGAACAAAGAGAACAAAGAAAGAGGTCGTCTTTTGTAGAGAACTTCCTGCCCAGGTTCCCACTTTGGTCCACTTATGCAAATGAGGAAGGCACACTTGCTTAGTTCTGATTGGTTAATACTTGCTGAGTTCAGATTGGTCGATGCAGGTCACAGTCGATGGGTTGATTCTGGCGGCATAAACAGGAACAGATAGCTGTGAAACCATCCCAGAGTTAAGTGAGAGTGGGGGCTTTCCAGGAACGCAGAATGTGTGTGTGACCCTAGTCAGCAAATGGCTGCTAGGTCCTACTTTGAATTTAGGCCCAGTTAGTAACTTGGGATCCATCAAGAAGGATTGGCTCTTTCAGGGTTCACAAAGTTATTGGTGACCTTTTAAAGATCAATTTCAATGGTATGTGGGAATTGAAGGCAAGGAAGTGGAGATAGCCACTGAAAATAATGTTTCTAAGTTCTTAAAGACAGCCAGAAACAGGGCTATGGCAGGAGGACAGTGTGGGTCAAGGGAAGGTTGTTGATTGTAATCAAGAGACACCAGAGTGTCTGGGCTTGGTGGCTCATGCCTGTAATCCCAGCACTTTGGGAGGCCGAGGCAGTCAGCTCACCTGAGGTCAGGAGTTTGAGACCAGCTTGGCCAACATGGCGAAACCCCACCTCTACTAAAAATACAAAAACTAGCCAGGCGTGATGGCGGGTGCCTGTAATCCCAGCCACAAGGGAGGCTGAGGCAGGAGAATCACTTGAACCTGGGTGGCGGAGGTTGCAGTGAGCCGAGATCGTGCCACTGCACTCCAGCCTGGGTGACACAGCAAGACTCTGTCTCAAAAAACAAACAAAAACCAAAAAGAGACAGGAGAGTCATTCATGCTGATGGAGTGAGCCAGGTACCAGGATCTCGATATCTAAGCATGCCCCCTTCTCCAACAGCCTCCTTACCTTCCTGCATGAAAGCACACCCTTCCCTCCAGTCCCCCATTCCTTTATTCTGCTGTATTTTTCTCCATAACACTTACCACCTTTGAACATACTACATATACAACATGTGTCTGTCTAGCAACTTTGCTGTCTGGCTCTCTTCCCTAGAATTTAAGCTGTGAGAGGCCGAGGCTGCTGTCTGCCTGGCTTGGGGCTGCTTTCCTGGTGTCTAGCACAGAGCCTGGCCTGTTTCAGGGGCTCAGTGAAACATTTGTTGGCTGAAGGAATGAATGAATGGCTCTAGCAGAGGGGCAGAAACTAACGATGCAGGAGGAGAGAGCTGGGAAGGGATCCAGAGCCAGGGCCTGGCAGGAAGTGTAGGTGTGTCCTCCCTGATCGCAGAGGAGGAGAGAGGCTGCACTTTGAGGGGTGGAAAGACAAGGTGAATCCCCCTGCTGGTCATCAGCTTGTGCGGCTCTGTGGGTGTAAAAGAGTGGTTTGGAGCATGTGAAGTGAGTCTTCCAGGAGATGAAGGGGATTGCCAGGCCGTTTGTGATGATGCTGAGATCTGGTGCCGTGCAGCCTGCTTCTGCGACTCTCCTCATCAGGCGCAGGCACAGAGTAGGTGGAGAGTTGAGCCAGAACCACGATGTCTTTGGCACAGCCTCTCATCTGTCAGATGGGAGCGGGGACCCCGGAGAGGGAGTCAGCCGAGGTCCTGGCATTCCTTGTGAACCCCCGTCTGTGGGTTTCTGGTCCAGTGTCCCTTCTCCAGATTAGATGGCTTAGGCCTCCTCTAAGGGGGTGGGCGTGCACATCCGGAGAGCTGTCTGGTGTGCAGGACTGGGCTGCAGGTTACCCTGAACTGCAACCATCTTAGAGCAAGGCCCAGCTTGCAGCAGGAGGAGCTGCAGGCCGCCCACCCTAGCCACGGCCCCTGCCCTGGCAGGAAGCTTCCAAGAGTAAACACTGCCTAATCGTCCCGCCCAGTAGTGAGCAGGCCTGTCCCATTCCATACTGACCAGATTCCCAGTCACCAAGGCCCCCTCTCACTCCGCTCCACTCCTCGGGCTGGCTCTCCTGAGGATGCACCAGCGTCACCCCCGGGCAAGATGCCCTCCCCTCTGTGTGGCCGGAATCCTTGCCTGTGGCTTTCTCCTGGGCTGCTGGGGACCCTCCCATTTCCAGCAGGTGGGCTCATTTGCAGGAGCGGGGGTATTCTGGGAGCCTCTGGGTGGGGTATTCTGAGCTACCTGGGGCGAGGGGAGTGCCAAATAGCTGACTACATCAGCTTTGGGGTTTGCGCTGGGCAGGGGAGTCTGTACTTGGGGCTTTGGGGGATGAAGTGTGCTCACTGAAGAGGGAGTTGGTGTCTCAGTACGACCTGCTCATTCGGTGAAGCTGAACAGACAGATACTAGTTTGTCCCAAACTGTGTAGGTTGCTCTTCTCTGCCTCTCCCTTCCTCTCCCTGTCTCTGATTTCCCCCTCTCCTTCTTGGTTGGCCTCACCCACCTCCTGCCTCCTGTCTCCCTCTTCATCCATCTCTTTTTGTTCTTTTTTCTTTCTCTCTCTCTCTTTTTTTTTTTTTTTTTTTTTTTAAGACATGGGGTCTTGTTATGTTGCCCCAGCTGGTCTCAAACTCCTGGACTCAAGTGATCCTCCCACCTCGGTCTCCCCAAGTGTTAGGATTACAGGCCAGAGCCACTATGCCCGGCCCCATCCATCTCTTTTTGTCTTGCAGAGTTGTCTTCAGGCTTTGGAGCCACAGGCCGTGTCTTCTTACTTGAGCCCTGGTGCTCCCTTAAAAGGTACTTGTCCTGGTGTCTTCTCTCCCGGGGGGAGTTTCTCAGGACTTTCAAGGGGTATCTCACCACTGAGTCAGTGGTCTGGGATTTTTGGTGGATCTGGAAGGAGAAGGTCAGAGAAGCTGCTGTCAACCCTGTTAATTAACTCTGTTACTTCCTGCCAAGTTGATATAAGCTGGTCTGGGTGTTCCAGCCAGGCCAGGGTTCTCACCCTAGCTTCTGTTAAATATCACAAGGGAACGGTCACCGATTGGCTGGCCCCTCCTGCCCCATGGCCTCTGCTGAGCTGGCTGATTTTCAGGAGCTCTTGTGGTTTCTGACCGTGGATGTAAATATTTATTCCTTCTGTGGGAAACAAGATAGGTACTGGCTCAGGCTACCTCCTAAGGCCATGGATTTCCTTATGATAAAGGCCTGTCCCCATTGCCCACAGGCCCATGTCTGTGACCTTCTCCGGTGCGAGCCCCCTTCCCAGTAGGGCCATTGGCAACTTGACTAATGGCTGATGGGGGCCAGAGGCAGGTGGGCTAGTGGTCAGGGGCAACAGGAGGGCAAGGCCCACTTTGTGACCTGGTTCTTTGTGGTCTAGGCCAGAGGCACACTGACCAGTGCCTGGGGCCACGCTGGGGGCTGGATGCAGCCGACGCTGTCTGGGTATCCCATAGCCTGGGTCCTTCCAGCGCTGCCGCTCCTGAAAGGCTGGGAGATCATTGCCCAGGGTCCCTGACCCTCTAAGGGCTCCCTTGGGAGAGGACAGTGAGGGCTGGCCTGGGCCCCTGCTTCCCAAGAGACCACTGGGCTCCACTCGTGTTCAGTTTCCTGTCGGGGTCCATGATGTTACTTGTGAAACACCTGTGCCCAGAGCAGGGTCCAGGAGGCAGGGCAGGGGCTTTCCCCTTTGGGCAGAGCCACCAGGGCAGTGGGAATCTTGTCTTGATGGGGTGACCCAAAGCACACAATAGCCCAACAGCTCCTCCTGGGCCCTGCCCTTTGCGTGCCTAGTCACTAATGGGGTCTGGCTCTTGGGGTGGGGGTGACACGCAATGTCTTGACTTCGGAAGGCCATCCTTCCAAGACCTGCCAGCCCCTTTCCTGTTAGCTTTCCACTGCTTGCTCTCTAGAACCATCGCCCTCTGCTCTCCCTCTCCCCCTCCAGGCCGCCCTCCTTCCCCTGGCTTCCAGAGGCAGAGGCAGAGGCAGAGGCGGGCTGCAGGCGGCATCCTACACCTGGAGCTGCTGGTGGCCGTGGGCCCCGATGTCTTCCAGGCTCACCAGGAGGACACAGAGCGCTATGTGCTCACCAACCTCAACATCGTGAGTGCCCCACGCTGGACTGTGCAGGTCCCCACGGCCAGGGCTGGTGACCAATGTCTGTGGGCTGGTGTATCTGGTAGTCTGAATACAGTGGGTTAAACTCAGGTAGAATGGCTCGGGGTTCTTCCTCTTCTCCCTCCCTCCCCTGGGTGGAGGTGGGTGAGGTCCCACACCCTCTCTAGGCTCCATGGCACATGCACACCCTGCAGCCTCTCACTACTCAAGTCCCTTCACCTGGGGCCACCCTCAAGCCTGGCCTCTTCCCCAGTATCCATTTGACCCCCACAAAGCTCAGCTAAAGCAACCCTGGCAAATGGGATACGGGCTGCTCACACTGCCCTCTGCACCCCGACCCTGCCCTCTCTCCATTCTCTTGTCCCCCGCTCAGAGTGGCGAGGACAGGTCACCCGTCTGAAGTCTAAACAGAGACTGCTGGCAAAGGAGATGCCCACCTTCATTTCTTGCTAGCACCTGAATCCCTGCAGCCCCCCTTCACTTGAAAGCTGGGGAAGGGCGGGCAGGGAAGCACTCCCCCACTAGCCGCCGTCTCAGAAAGACAAACAAGGCCAGGCGCGGTGGCTCATGCCTATAATCCCAGCACTTTGGGAGGCCAAGGCGGGTGGATCACCCGAAGTCAGGAGTTCAAGACCAGCCTGGCCAACATGGTGAAACCCCGTAGCTACTAAAAATACAAAACTTAGCTGGGCATGGTGGCAGGCGCCTGTAATCTGAGAGGAGCCTGCGATCTGAGAGGAGCAGCGTTTGACCGGAATATCCGACTCGTGACCATCTGTGTGCTCTCATCCCCTTGCTTTGGAGTTTGTTTTCCTTGCGTTAGTTGGCCTTCCTGAGCCATGAGCTGAGGAGCAACAGAGGCACGGCTGACTGTGCAGCACATTTTAGGAGCCCCCCGCCCCGCCCGGTTCCCACACATGCTGGTGGAGTAGCCTCTCCAGCTCTTCACACTCCGGGGGCCCCTGGGAGTCAGCAGCTGCCTGGGGCTGGCAATGCCCACCCGACGGGTTACCTCTCTCATCTGCCCTTGCACAGGGGGCAGAACTGCTTCGGGACCCGTCCCTGGGGGCTCAGTTTCGGGTGCACCTGGTGAAGATGGTCATTCTGACAGAGCCTGAGGTAGGCATGGAGCTGGAACTCAGCACACCATACAGAGCGGGAAGCCCAAGTCATCGCATCTCCATCCTCTTTAACCTCTTGTCCCGGATGCCCCAAGCAGCATGGATCACAGAATGCATTCAGCCAGACAGACCAGCTGCCCTCCCAGCTCTACCCAGCACTCAGCACAGGCTGCCTGACTACTTCTCTGAGCCTCAGTTGTCTCATCCCTAACACGGGCTAGTCATAGGGTTGTTAGGAGGACTAACTGGGAAACAAACCGACCGCAGTCAGCACCGTGCCTGGTTGGGGTGTCCTAAATGCAGGCTTTGCTGTGGGTCCGCAGGGTGCTCCAAATATCACAGCCAACCTCACCTCGTCCCTGCTGAGCGTCTGTGGGTGGAGCCAGACCATCAACCCTGAGGACGACACGGATCCTGGCCATGCTGACCTGGTCCTCTATATCACTAGGTAGCCGAGCTTTCTGATGGGTGCTGGCCAGCCAGCCTGGGAAGGCTGCTCCCTCAGCCTCCTGCCCTCTGCAAAGGTGACCCCAGGGCAGGCACGTGCCTTGGCACCACCCAAGTGACTGTTTTCTCTCACCGAGGTTTGACCTGGAGTTGCCTGATGGTAACCGGCAGGTGCGGGGCGTCACCCAGCTGGGCGGTGCCTGCTCCCCAACCTGGAGCTGCCTCATTACCGAGGACACTGGCTTCGACCTGGGAGTCACCATTGCCCATGAGATTGGGCACAGGTATGTAGCCCCACCAGCTGTCCCCAGGATCTGGCAAGGAGCTGACCTGGGTACCCAGGGTGGAGGTGGTCTTGGCAAGCAGTGGGTCCTTGTAGAGTTTCTCCAGAGGAGCCTGTACCCCTCACCCCGACAGACTCAGGTGTGAGGACAGGGGAACCTGATACTGTTTGATTAAAAGAACTTTTTTTCCAAAAGACGAGCAAGACACCTTTAGCAGGTAGAAAATAACTTCTGTAGAAAATTCAGGTAAAGAAAGAGCAGGCTGTAAAAATTATCTCAAATCCCACCATTTAGAGATAATGTCTCTTCACATTTTGTATTTAATTTCAGTCTTTTCTTTACATACACACACATATTTCTTATTTGCAAAATTGGGATTTAGTTTGGATCCCTGAAAAAAAGGAAAATTGTGATTATGCTGTGCATTGCTTTGTTACCTGCTATTTCTTTTTCTTTTCTTTTCTTTTTTTTTTTTGAGATGAAGTTTCGCTCTTGTTGCCCAGGCTGGAGGGCAATGACGTGATCTCAGCTCATTGCAACCTCCACCTCCTGGGTGCAAGTGATTCTCCCACCTCAGCCTCCCAAGTAGCTGGGATTACAGGCATGTGCCACCACGCCCAGCTAATTTTGTATTTTTAGTAGAGACAGGGTTTCTCCATGTTGGTCAGGCTGGTCTCGAACTCCCAACCTCAGGTGATCCACCTGCCTCGGTCTCCCACAGTGCTGGGATTACAGGCGTGAGCCACTGCATCCAGCCTTTCTTTTTTCTTCCTAGGGTAAGTGCAGGATTTACCTGTTCTTTATGTAATAATATATCCCAAACATTATCCCAGGTATCTTAGAGGTGTGCACCGTAATTTATTTAATCAGTCCCCTCTTCTTGGATGTCTAGGTTGTCTGAACACGTCTTCCTGTTGTGAATGTTATGCATTCTTGTGGGCAAACCTTCACTCTTACCTATAACCATTTACCTAGAGTGATGGGTTTCTTTTCATTTCTTTAGTTTTTTAAGTATGAAAATAATACCCAATTGTTGTAAAAATTCAAACAGTGCAGAGATTTCTAAAGTAAAAAGTGAATTTCCACATTCCTTGCCCACCAACCCCCACCCGACCCCTTTCAACCCCTCTGAGCCTGGGAGGGTTGAGGCAGGGTTCCTGGGTGTGGGACAAGGCAGGGCTCCTTCTCCCTCAGAGGGAGCATAGTTCCCTTCTGCTCCTGTGATGCAGAAGACGTGAGCCCCCAAACTGGGGCTTAGCCTGGGAGGGTTCTTGGCTTCACCGAGGAAAGAATTCAAGAGGGAGCAGGTGGTGTTAGACAGCAACTTTGATTGATGTGGCAGTGGGCAGAGTGTACAGCCCTGTGACTGTATACAGCACAGCATAGCCCCTTTTGAAGCCAGGCTACCCCATAGACACTGTGCCCAAAAGAGCAGCTCAAAGGCAGGGCTGCAGTCCTAGTTAATACCCACTTCTAATTATATGCAAATTAAGGGGCCAGATTATGCAGAAATTTCTAGAAAAAGGGCAGTAACTTCTAGGTTTTCGTCATGGAAAAGGGGCAGTAACTTCTGGGTTTTGCCATGGCAATGGCAAACTGGTATGGCACACTGGTGGGCGTGTCTTATGGAAAGGGGCTTCCCACCCCTCCCTGTTTTAGCTAGTCCTCTGGTCCAGTGTCCAAGCGGGGCCTCCAGAGTGGAGTCCACCTCCTACCTCACCGGTGCCTGGCCTCTCCCACCCCATTAGGAGTCCTCCATCAGTTCCGCTTTGGGTAAAGCAAGCTCTGTTGTGACAGTTTGGAAACGGTTCACCTTCCTGGCCTAGGAATGCAAACAATGGCCAAGGGCAAGCACGTTTTAACTGAACTTTAAAATCGTGCTTTCCTCACAGTAGGTGAATTTCACGCTCAACACATCCATGTAAACAGTCCCCAGAGCAGCCCTTCAAGGCCCCGGCCAGTCCCCACCTCCCCACAGACTCCTAACACCATGATTTAATGTGGCTTGCACATTTTTAAAGGCTTTTGATATTTATTAGCAAAAGATGCGAGAGCCACCCTGCTGGGCTAGCGCTCCCTTCTGGGGGAAACTGAGGCAGGGCGCACGCGACCCTCTCCACTGCGCCCAGTTAGCAGATGGCGGCGTCAGGGGTCGACCCGGGTCGGAAAACTCGCTGGCGCTGCGGCACTAGGGCGCCGGGCCGCTGACTCGCCGACCCCCGTCCCGCCCCCACCCCCGCCCCCGCCCCTGCCGGCCGCCTTAGCGCAACTCCCCGCCCCCCGACCAGCTTCGGCCTGGAGCACGACGGCGCGCCCGGCAGCGGCTGCGGCCCCAGCGGACACGTGATGGCTTCGGACGGCGCCGCGCCCCGCGCCGGCCTCGCCTGGTCCCCCTGCAGCCGCCGGCAGCTGCTGAGCCTGCTCAGGTAGCGGCCGCCCCGTGGGAGGGGCGCGCGAGCCTCCAGCCAGCCCGCTGGGCCGCCAGCGCCACCTCTCTCTACGTCCGTCCCCACTCCGCATTCAGCCCTCCTTCCTGTCCCACCCCTCCGTCCAACCCACCCCTCCGTCCAACCCCGCGCCCACCGCTCCGTCCGTGGAGGGGCGGGCGCGCGAGCCTCCAGCCAGCCCGCTGGGCCGCCCGCGCCACCCCTCCCTACGTCCGTCCCCACCTCTCCCTACGTCCGTCCCCACTCCGCATTCAGCCCTCCTTCCTGTCCTACCTCTCCATCCTGACCCACTCCTCCGTCCAACCCCGCGCCCACAGCTCCGTCCCATCCCGCTGCGCCCACTCCTGCGCCCACCCCTCCGTCCCAACCCCTGCACCCACCCCCCCGTCCCACCCACCTGCCCCACCCCCTGCACCTCCCCCCGTGCTGTCCCACTCTGCGGCCACCCTTCTGTCCAACCCCTGCGCCCACCGCTCCGTTCCACCCCCTCCCTGCGCCCACCCCTGCGTCCTCCCTCGCCCCCTTGCGCCCACACTTTCGTTCCAGCCAATCTGGGCACGCACCCCTCCGTCCATCCCCATCCCGCCCCTTGACTCCACATACACTCCCTGGTTCTCTCCCACTTGCCTACACCCACCCCTGCATCCTACCCTCCTCCATCCACCCCTCCATCTCAGCCCCCTGCACCCACCCCGTTCCTGGGCCCACCCTGTTCCTGCACCCACCCCCTCACTTCACCCCCTTACCCTTCGTCTGCCTCCACCCGCCCCTACCCCTCCGTCCACTCTCCACGCTCCATCAGTCCCACACCCCTATCTCCCCCACCCGCGTACATGTATCCCTGCGTCCCCTTCCCGCCGACCGCACCGCTCCCGGGCCTAACCTGCATCTGCTCCATCCCACTCAGACCCGTCCCTCCGTCGCCGCTCCCTCTGCTGGCCACCCACCTCTGCGCCGGCAGGAGCCTTAGTCTTGGTCCCAGCCAAGAGCCGGCTCCTGGTGGGGGGCGCGGGCCGAGAACTCCTGTTCCCACTCACAAAAGGCCACGCTTCCAAACGCTTCCATCCTCGTGCCCACTCCTCCGTCCCGCCTCCTCCCGGTGTACACCCCGGGACTGAGCCGGGCCTGAGCCGGGCCTTGTCGCAGCGCAGGACGGGCGCGCTGCGTGTGGGACCCGCCGCGGCCTCAACCCGGGTCCGCGGGGCACCCGCCGGATGCGCAGCCTGGCCTCTACTACAGCGCCAACGAGCAGTGCCGCGTGGCCTTCGGCCCCAAGGCTGTCGCCTGCACCTTCGCCAGGGAGCACCTGGTGAGTCTGCCGGCGGTGGCCTGGGATTGGCTGTGAGGTCCCTCCGCATCACCCAGCTCACGTCCCCCAAAACGTGCATGGTGAGAACCTGCTGGGTGCCGTGCTAGGCTGAGGTACTAAGCCAGGGCGGCTTAGTTTAATGCTGTCTGTGCCCTCTAGAAATTATTTAAAATGTTTGAACAAAAGCTCCAACATTTTTGTTTGACTGGGCCCCACAAATTATGTAGCTAGTCCTGGGAGGGCCCCTGTGCCCAAGGACTCCTGGCTGAGTGAGGACACCAATCTTAAACAGTTACCAAGGACTTCCCCATCTATTGTGGCTGGAGTCAGACTGGAGGGCTTCCTGGAGGAAGTGGCCTCTAAACTGAACCCACAGCAGAAGTGGGGCTGGTAGGGGGAGGGGAGATGAAGGAGAGCAGGCACCCCAAAAGACAGACTTCCTCGCAGGATTGCATAGGACATTCATGGGCTCCAGGCACTTTTGCCTTGATGGGCCCCTTCCTCCACAAAAAAATTGAGAATTATGTTTTAATATTCTTATACAATGTATAAAGTTTTATGTGTTACTATAAATACAAGTCTTTTTTTTTCCTATTTTTTTTTTTTTTTGAGACAGAGTCTCCCTCTCTGCTCACTGCAGGCTCCGCCTGCCAGATTCACACCATTCTCCTGCCTCAGCCTCCCGAGTAGCTGGGACTACAGGCGCCCGCCACCACGCCTGGCTAATTTTTTGTATTTTTAGTAGAGACGGGGTTTCACTGTGTTAGCCAGGATGGTCTCGATCTCCTGACCTCGTGATCCGCCCGCCCTGGCCTCACAAAGTGCTGGGATTACAGGCATGAGCCACAGCGCCCCGCCAAGTCTTTTTTTTTAAATTCTTTTGAGACAGGGCCTCGTTCTGTTGCCCAGGGTGGAGTGCAGTAGCACAATCATAGCTCACTGTTGCCTCAACTTCTTGGGCACAAACGATCCTCCCACCTCGGCCTTGGAGTAGCTGGGACTACAGGCACATGCCACAATGCCCAGCTAATTTTTAAATTTTTTGTAGAGATGGGGTCTCCCTTTGTTACCCAGGCTTGTCTAGGACTCCTGGCTTCAAGCCATCCTCCCACCTTGGCGTCCCAAAGCACTGGGATTACAGACATGAGCCACCACCCACGCCTGATCAGCAAATCTATTAATATTATATATTACAACATTAATTTTGACCTGGAAGTTCATTTTTTCATTTTTTTTTTTTTTTGAGACAGAGTCTCACTCTGTCACCCAGGCTGGAGTGCAGTGGCACAATCTTGGCTTACTGCAACCTCCGCCTCCCAGGTTCAAGTGATTCCCGGGCCTACGCCTCCCGAGTAGCTGGGACTACAGGCATGTGCCACCATGCCCAGCTAAGTTTTGTATTTTTTAGTAGAGACAGGGTTTCATCATGTTGGCCGGGCTGGTCTCGAATTCTGACCTCAGGTGATCCGCCCGCCTTGGCCTCCCAAAGTGCTGGGATTACAGGATAAGCCACCACACCCAGCCTAGTTCATTTTTTTCTTCTGATTTTATTTTATTTATTTATTTATTTTGAGACGGAGTCTCGCTCTGTCACCCAGGCTGGAATGCAGTGGCTCAATCTTGGCTCACTGCAAGCTCTGCCTTCAGGGTTCAAGCCATTCTCCTGCATCAGCCTCCCGAATAGCTGGGACTACAGGTGCCTGCCACCACACCCGGCTAATTTTTTGTATTTTTAGTAGAGATGGGGTTTCACTGTGTTAGCCAGGATGGTCTCGCTCTCCTGACCTCGTGATTTGCCCGCCTCGGCCTTCCAAATTGCTGGGATTACAGGCGTGAGCCACAGTGCCCGGCCTTTTTCCTTCTGATTTTAAAAGAAATTAGGCCAGGTGTGGTGGCTCACGCCTGTAATCCCAGCACTTTGGGAAGCCAAGGCAGGCGGATCACCTGAGGTCGGGAGTTTGAGACCAGCCTGACCAACATGGAGAAATGCCATCTGTGCTAAAAATACAAAAAATTAGCCGGGCGTGGTGGCGCATGCCTGTAATCCCAGCTACTCGGAAGGCTGAGGTAGGAGAATTGCTTGAACCCAGGAGGCAGAGGTTGAGGTGAGCCAAGATCGCGCCATTGCCCTCCAGCCTGGGCAACAAGAGCGAAACTGTCTCAAAAAAAAACAAGAAAGAAAAATAAATTAAAACATTTGCCTCTTGAGCTTCAAGTCAGTGACAAGTTAAGAAGGAAAAAAAGAAAAAAGACACAAAAAACACATTTCCATGGGCCCCCAAAAGTGTGACAGGACCTGGTCATGGTCCCGGTTCCCCATCGATGGGTCAGTCATGCCTTGTCCTCTGAGGGCACCAGTGCCCACGGTGCAGAGTGTTGGCTGTGTCAGTGTGTCCTGCAGTCTGGGAGGGACAGTTAAGGTTGGACACTGGCCTGGAAGGCCCTGGTGGCCCCTGAGCTCGCCACCCACCTGTCCACCCTCCTAGGATATGTGCCAGGCCCTCTCCTGCCACACAGACCCGCTGGACCAAAGCAGCTGCAGCCGCCTCCTCGTTCCTCTCCTGGATGGGACAGAATGTGGCGTGGAGAAGGTCAGAGCCAAGAGTGAATGAGTGGGCTCCTGTGAGCACGTGCACGTGGGTGCCTCCAGCCAGGCCGCCCTATTCCTAGGTCAGGAGGCAGGACCAGTATGGGGCAGAGAGTCTTGGAGTTGGCCTTGGGGACTGTCCTTTGGGTTGGTGGTCTGACCTCTTTCCTTTAGCATTTGCTCCCATGCAGAATGGGAATGTGGGCTGCCTGTTGTATGGGGGGTGCCCATGGGTGTGGGGTTCCTTTGGGTGGGGTCCCTGTGTGAAGGTCCTTGTGGATATGGGGTGTCTCGGGGGGGATCCCTGTGTAAGGGGTCCCTGTGAGTGTAGAGTCCCTGTGGGTGGGGTCCTTATGTGTGTGTTGGAGGATCCCTGTGTGTTGAGGGGTCCCTGGGGGGTTCTGTGTGTATGTTGGGGGGTCTCTGGGTGTTGGAGGATCCCTGTGGGTCTGGGGGATCCATGTGGCTGGGGTACCTGTGTGTTGGGGGGTCTCTGTGTGTGTTGGAGATCCCTGTGTGTTGGGGGATCCCTATGGGTGAGTTCCTTGTGTGTGTTTGGGGGTCGCTGTGGGTGGGGTCCCTGTGTGTGTTGGGGATCCCTGAGGATGTTGGGGGACTCTCTGTGTGTGTTGGGAGTCCTGTGGTGGGGTCACTGTGGGATGGGAGATGAAGCCATCCTTGCCTTGCAGTGGTGCTCCAAGGGTCGCTGCCGCTCCCTGGTGGAGCTGACCCCCATAGCAGCAGTGCATGGGCGCTGGTCTAGCTGGGGTCCCCGAAGTCCTTGCTCCCGCTCCTGCGGAGGAGGTGTGGTCACCAGGAGGCGGCAGTGCAACAACCCCAGGTACCGCAGGGAGGGTGCTTTTCTGTCAGGGAGTGTGGCCATACCATAGTCCCTAGTTGAAGGCAGTGGTCACCCTGCTCTCTCACCCTCCTGTCTGCTGGGCATTTTCAGACCTGCCTTTGGGGGGCGTGCATGTGTTGGTGCTGACCTCCAGGCCGAGATGTGCAACACTCAGGTAGGCCTGCTTCCTGGGGTAGGAGGGGGCAGCTGGTGGCACCGGGCCCTGGGGGAGCCAAAGTGACCATCTGTGGTTCACACCAGGACACATTTGAGAAGGACATTGGGGCCAGGTGAGGTGGCTTATGCCTGTAATCCCAGCACTTTGGGAGGCCAAGGCAGGTGGATCACCTGAGGTCAGGGGTTCAAGACCAGCCTGGCCAACATGGTGAAATCTCGTCTCTACAGAAAATACAAAAATTAGCCGGGCGTGGTGGTGGGCGCCTGTAGTCCCAGCTACTCGGGAAGCTGAGGCAGGAGAATCACTTGAACCCAGGAGGTAGAGCTTGCAGTGAGCCGAGATTGGGCCATTGCACTCCAGCCTGGGCGACAGAGTGAGACTCTGTCTCAAAAAAAAAATAAAAATTAAAAAAGAGAGAGAAGGACATTGGGACCCCAGTTCATAAACCAGGCCAGTCCTGCTGATGCCCACAGAGCCCCTGAAGCGTCCCGCCTCCCTCCCTGAGTGCCACTTTGCCCTCCAGAGCGCATCTCTGCAGGGAGAACCTCCCCACTAGGAATACAGTGCGCTGCTGCATGCCTGCAAAGGAATTTTTTAAATATTATTTTTATTTTTTTAGACAGAGTCTCTCCCTGTCACCCAGACTGGAGTGCAGTGGTGCTATCTCAGCTCACTGCAACCTCTGCCTCCCAGGTTCAAGCGATTCTCCTGCCTCAGTCTCCTGAGTAGCTGGGACTACAGGTGCCCGCCACCACGCCCGGCTAATTTTTTGTATTTTTAGTAGAGGAGGGGTTTCACCGTGTTAGCCAGGATGGCCTTGATCTCCTGACCTCGTGATCCGCCTGCCTCGGCCTCCCAAAGTGCTGGGATTACAGGTGTCACTGCGCCTGGCCGAAGGAGTCTTTTATTTATAAATTGAGGTGACATTCATGTAGCATGAAATCAAGCATTTTAAAGTGGCAACTCAGTGGCCTTTAGTACACTCACAAGGTTGGGCAAGTACTGCCTCTGTCTAGTTTCAGAACGTTTCCAGTACTCTGGAGTACTCTGGAGTGAACCCCATATGGTAGGCTGTCACTCCCCATTTCTCCTCCGCCACTCAGCGGCCATTGGTTTCCCTTCTGTCTCTGTGGATTGACCTGTTCTAGACATGCCACGTACCTGAGGCCAGACAACAGGTGTGCTTCCTGCCTGCCTTCCTCCCCCAGCGGCACGTCCCCAAGGCTCACCTGTGTTGTAGCCTGTGTCAGCGCCTCATTCCTCTTTCTGGCTGAATCATATTCCACTGCAGGGATAGACCACATTTTCATCCAGTCGTCTGCTGATGGACATCTGAGGTGTTTTCACCTTTTGGCTCCTGTGAACAGAGCCGCTGCGAATGTGCTTGTACATGTTTGAATCCCTGTTTTCAATTCTTTTGGCAGTATGCTGAAGAGCGGAGTTACTGGATCGTATGGGAATTGTATGTTTGACTTTTTTTTTTCTTTTTTTTTTTTTTGAGACAGAGTCTTGCTCTGTCGCCAGGCTGGAGTGCAGTGGTGCAATCTCAGCTCCCTGCAACCTTCGCCTCCTGGGTTCAAGCGATTCCCCTGCCTCACCTTCCGGAGTAGCTGGGATTACAGGCACGCGCCACCATGCCTGGCTAATTTTTTGTATTTTTAGTAGAGATGGAGTTTCCACCACGTCAGCCAGGATGGTCTGGATCTCCTGACCTCAGGTGATCTGCCCGCCTTGGCCTCCCAAACTGTTGGGATTACAGGCATGAGCCACCGCTCCCGGCCTATGTTTGACTTTTTTTTTTTCTTATTTTTTTCTTTCTTTCTTTATTTTTTTTTTTTTAGAGATGGAGTCTCGCTCTGTCGCCCAAGCTGGAGTGCGGTGGCGCGATCTCGGCTCACTCTAAGCTCCGCCTCCCAGGTTCACCCCATTCTCCTGCCTCAGCTTCCCGAATAGCTGGGACTACAGACGCCCGCCACCACGCCCGGCTAATTTTTTTTTGTATTTTTAGTAGAGGCGGGGTTTCACCATGTTAGCCGGGATGGTCTTGATCTCCTGACCTCGTGATCTGCCTGCCTCGGCCTCCCAAAGGGCTGAGATCACAGGCGTGAGCCACCGCGCCCAGCATGTTTGGCTTTTAAAGAAACTGCCAAACCGTTTTCCACAGTGCCTGAACTGTTTCACATTCCCACCAGCATTGCGCCAGGGTTCCAGTTTCCCCACATCCGCTGCAGCACTTGCTGTTTTCTGTTGTTGTTTTTTCTTTTCTCTTCTTTTTTTTTTTTTTTTTTTTAATAGAGATGGGGTTTTGTCATGTTGGCCAGGCTGGTCTTGAACTCCGACCCCAGGTGATCCGCCCACCTTAGCCTCCCAAAGTGCTGGGATTACACGCGTGAGCCATGGCGCCCGGCCTGTTTTCTGTTTTTTGATTTTGGCCATCTCGGTGGTATGAAATGGTAGAAAGATTCTTTTTACATTGAGTTAAATTCTATCTCCTGCTTCGATGGCCCTGGGTGTGGGTTTGTCCCTGGCTGTATTACAGTTCTGCATGTGGTGAGACCCTCCCTTTCCTCCTTCTCCAAATGGACCACCAAGACCTCCCCAGACCGTGAGGGGAGGGTCTTTGGCTGGAGCACAGGGTGGTGGGATTTCGTGGAGGCAGTGTGGTCAGTGTGGCTGTCCAGGGAGTCAACTCCGGTTATCTTCTGTCAGCCCATAAAAGTCCAAGACGCCTGCCTGAGTGCAGAGGCTTCGGTGGTGAGGTCTTTGCTCCATGCTTTGGTTACCTGCCTCTAGGTGCACTACCTAAAGAATACACATCCCCGTCCCTGTTTTATTGAGTTCAGGCCTTGGAAGCAGAGGCTCTGAGCGTAATGCTCTTTCCTGGCTTTCTTCTTCGTTGCTGCCCTGTGTTCTTTACGGATTCCCCGGGGTTTTCCCATCAATAGAGAGAGGCAGGCACTTTTGTCACCCCAGTTTACAGAGCAGGGAACCGAGGCACGGCCTGGAGCTGAGGCCACACCCACATCTTGATCCTGTACTGTAGGGTGCCATGTAGTCTCCCAGTGACAACACCCGCCCCCCGCCCCACCGCCATCCCCCTCCTCTGCCTCCTCCTGGCCAGGCCTGCGAGAAGACCCAGCTGGAGTTCATGTCGCAACAGTGCGCCAGGACCGACGGCCAGCCGCTGCGCTCCTCCCCTGGCGGCGCCTCCTTCTACCACTGGGGTGCTGCTGTACCACACAGCCAAGGTGGGGCCTGCGGAGTGTGGGGTTGGGGGAGGAGCCAGCCCTGGAGACCCTCGGACAGGGCAGAGTCATAGGGGGGTTGGCCTACTATCCCTCCAGCACTGGGCAAAGTGGTTCAGGCTCTGGCATCCCACAGACCATGGATGACATAGTGGCCAGGCCTCGCTGGTAGATCAGGCACTGACATCCCATCTCTGAGTCTCAATTTCCCATCTGTGAAATGGAGATAATAGCAGTAGGTCCCTCCCTGGGCGCTACAAGGATTCAGGGAGATAATCGGAAAATGCCAAGTGTGTTCCTTGGTTCATGATACTTTTTTTGTGAGACAGAGTCTTGCTCTGTCGCCCAGGCTGGAGTGCAGGGGCGTAATCTCAGCTCACTGTAACCTCCGCCTCTGGGATTCAAGGGATTCTTGCCCCTCAGCCTCTCGAATAGCTGGGACTACAGGCTTGCACTACCATGCCGGCTAATTTTTTTGTATTTTTAGTAGAGATGGGGTTTCGCCATGTTGGCTAGGCTGGTTTCAAACTCCTGACGTCAGGTGATCCGCCTGCCTCGGCTTCCCAAAGTTCTGGGATTACAGGCATGAACCATTGCGCCCAGCCTTGGTTCCTAATTCAATACCATTAATTATTAGATTAGATTAGGATCGTGATTAGGATTATTGCCTTAGGAGGTGGGATGTGGGGAAGATAGAAACCCTTGCCCCAGATGCAAAGGATGAAGCTGGGTGGGGGCTGGGGGACTTGCCCCTCCTGCTCGGTTCAGGACACCCTTTTTCACTCTGCCCTCCCAGGGGATGCTCTGTGCAGACACATGTGCCGGGCCATTGGCGAGAGCTTCATCATGAAGCGTGGAGACAGCTTCCTCGATGGGACCCGGTGTATGCCAAGTGGCCCCCGGGAGGACGGGACCCTGAGCCTGTGTGTGTCGGGCAGCTGCAGGGTAGGCGTGTGTGGACATTGGCGATGGCCCTGGGGCCTACCTGTCCTATCGGAAGGCTCCTGGGGGCAGGTTGGTGGGTGCTGGCCCTGATGGAGCTGCAGTGCCCTCTGCAGGGGAGTGGTGCTGGGGAAAAGGATCTGGACTTGGAGTCAGCCTGGGTTAAGGGCTGCAGTGTGACCTTGGGCAAGTCACTGAGCCCTCTAAGCTTGCTTCCTGTGTAGATGGTGGGGTGCTATAGAAGTGTTGCTGGTTTTGTGGATCCCAGAATCTCAGAGCTGGCAGGGCTGCAGAGTCATTGAGGCCAGCACCCTCCAGTGACACGGGCCCTCTGTCCTTCCCTTTGCATAGACATTTGGCTGTGATGGTAGGATGGACTCCCAGCAGGTATGGGACAGGTGCCAGGTGTGTGGTGGGGACAACAGCACGTGCAGCCCACGGAAGGGCTCTTTCACAGCTGGCAGAGCGAGAGGTAGGCGGCCTCCCTCGGGGCAGAGGCTGGGCTTCCCCCAGCCTCCAAGATGGCCACAGCCCAGAGCGTTGGTGCAGGGGCTGCTCAGGTCACAGGGCCTGCACACTCACTCAGCCCTGGATGCCTCCTGTGGTGTCAGCGTCTCCCTCTTCCACTTCGCCACCCTTCTGTGGCAGGCTCAGGTTTTGGCCTTGATGCTGCTGGGACTGTGGTGCCTCAGTAATGGTCACTCACTGTAGCCGTGCTGCAAAAAAAACACAGACATTGGCCGGGCGCTGTGCTCACGCCTGTACTCCCGGCACTTTGGGAGGCTGAGGCGGGTGGATCACCTGTAGTCGGGAGATCACCTACAGCCTGGCCAGTATGGTGAAACCCCATCTCTACTAAAAATACAAAAATTAGCTGGGCATGATGGCGGGCGCCTGTAGTCCTAGCTACTCAGGAGGCTGAGGCAGGAGAATTGCTTGAACCCAGGAGGCAGAGGTTGCAGTGAGCCGAGATCCCTCTGCACTCCAGCCCGGGCAACAGAGTGAGACACTGTCTCAAAAAAAAAAAAAAAAAAGTATGGACGTTGTGCATTCTGTGGCAGCTACCCTCTTCTCTCCTGCTCAAGAAATCCCACTGAGAGGGACACAAGTGAATGAGAGGGTTGGTAGTTACATTTGGAAAATCTTTGACTTTGGTGTATATATGAGGTCAAAAACCATTTGCAAATGCCAGTGCTTCTATGGAGAGCAGAGACTTGAGCCCTGCCTCCCTCTGGCTTGCCCCACTGTGCTGGAGAACCTTGGACCCGGTCCCTTCTCCCAGCCAGGGCAGAGCCTTGGCAGGTGGTCCTCCAGCCTGCTTTTAATTGCCCCCATGACAGGGGACTCACTGCTGCTGGAGCCAGCCCCATGGCATTGTTCAATTTTTCCCGACCAGCTAAGATCAGCTCCCTTTGTCTGTGGTGTGGTGGCTGTGAGGTCCACGCATCTCTCCTTCTTTTCTTCTTTCTAGAATATGTCACGTTTCTGACAGTTACCCCCAACCTGACCAGTGTCTACATTGCCAACCACAGGCCTCTCTTCACACACTTGGGTGAGTTGACTGGAGGACTCCCACCCAGTTAGCTAGACTGCAAAGGTGCAGAGCACTGTTGCCAAGATGCCCTCACTTCTGACATCACCCGCAAGTTCAGGGGGTTCCCCAAACCACCCTCAGGCTTGATAGTTGACTAGGAAGACTCCCAGAGCTCACTGAGAGCTGTGGCACATGGCTGCGGCTCCTTCCAGAAGAACACAGGTTAGAATTGTCCAAGGGAAGAGATGTAGGCAGAGTCTGGGAGGGTCCAACCAGGAGGCCTGATGTCTCAGGGATGTGACACCCTTCTAGCATTGGAGCGTGGCCATACGCATGGAGTATTGCCCACACAGAAAGCCCACTGAGTGGGAGTTGAGAGTTTTTCCTGGGGTTTGAGTGCAAAGACATGATTGACTAATTGGCCAGGTGGATACTCTCAGTCTCTTGGTGACCCAGCCCCTATCCTAAATCACATAGTTGGTCTTTCTGGTACAGCCAGCCCCTGCCCTAAAGGAGGACACTTCTGCCTGGTGTGACCCGTGTTTCCTCTTGGAAGCCAACAGCAAAAGCTGGACTTCTCTTTGGGCAAGGCCCGCTTCTTTGCTATTGAGGGCCACAGTGGGTCTTTCTGGAGTGTGTCTGCACCTAACCTTTGAAGCCTTGGTTGCCGGCACTTGCCATGGGGTCCCTGAGCCCTGAGCCTGTTGAGTTCTGTGCGTGAGTGCACTTGGTCATAGCACTCACCAGGTTGTGGAAAGAGGCCTAGAGCCTCCGCTGTGGGGAAGCCTCTAGCTCAGATGCCTGTGGCTCCTTAGAGGAGGGCTGGGGACCCCGGGAAGGAGAGTCACTGACATGTGCCTGTGAGGAGGATGGGTGCTCAGCTCCACACAGCTAACAGGGCTGGTTCCCCGACAGCGGTGAGGATCGGAGGGCGCTATGTCGTGGCTGGGAAGATGAGCATCTCCCCTAACACCACCTACCCCTCCCTCCTGGAGGATGGTCGTGTCGAGTACAGAGTGGCCCTCACCGAGGACCGGCTGCCCCGCCTGGAGGAGATCCGCATCTGGGGACCCCTCCAGGAAGATGCTGACATCCAGGTCAGCAGGAGAGCCTGGGGGAGGCCAGTGGGGGCTTCTTCTTGGGGGCTATGGCTGCTTGCTCGTTTGTCTATCCATCCATTCCCTGATTCGTTCATTTATTCATTCAGCGGTCACTTACAGGGGACCCACTATGTGTTGGGCCCTGTGCTAGGCAAAATGTAGCTAGCTCCTCCAGGGGCTTAGGGTCCCACAAATATCCAAATGTGCCTGTGCCCAGAGCCCGTGGGAGAAGGCCCTGCAGTTCTGGGATCAGGTAAGGTTGGAGGGCCCAATGCAGGGGTCCAGGGCTCCCTGGGAAAGAGTGATGGAGCTGAGGTGTCAGATGAGCAGATGTTGCTGGGCCAAGCAGGGAAGGAAGCGTATGGCTGAGGGAACAGTGTCAGTGTGGGAGGGATGAAGGAAGGTCCTACTGTGTGGGTTTGTGGGGAGATGAAGGCATGGACGCAGGTGCAGTGGCATCTGGGGAGTAGGCCTTGGTGCTGAGGAAGCTGAGAACAGATGCTGGCTCTCACTGCTTCTTTGGTGCAGTGTGTGTGGGAACCGGAAGGCCTTGTTCAGGCGTGTCCTCAGTGACGTGTGCTCGCCCATGTATGTCCCCATTGGTGCTTCGCTGAGGAAGGCACGTGGAGGGTGGAGAGACATAAGCGCAGGCTGAAACAGACCTGAGAACCTTGGGAGAGGGGCCCAGTCTCAGCGGCCGGAGCAGCGTCCTCTGCCCCTACAGCAGCCAGAGACAGGAGGGCCTCCCACAGATCAGGCCAGGCCGGGCCAAAGCAAGCCCCTGTGAGCGGCTTATCCCTTCTCTTCCCCTGATATGGTTCCCTTCCTCCCCTCCCCTTGCCTGGGACATTGTATCCAGATGCTAGCTGCCGAGTGGCTCTCCCATCATCCTCTGCAGTGTGTAAAAAAGCAGATTCCCGGGTCCTCTGCATATTCCCTGAATCAGGACTTCCCTGTGTTGGGCCTGAGAAACCGCACCGTAACCAACACAGGCTTGCGGCACTGGCCAGATGTGGGCATCGAGGGGGCAGGTGCGGAATGTCACCTCGCCCTGGGCTCTGGCCTCCAGGCTGGCCTCTTTCTTGGGCTGGTCTTGGGCACAGGACCCAGTTACCCTCCTGAAGAGCCTTAGGCCCAGGAACCTGCTGAAGTTCTTCCTAGTGCTCTCCGGGCCAGTCCCAAGCCAGTAGCTGGCCACAGGTCCCCAGGGATCCAGTTTCTTCCTGCCGACCCTACCACAGGTCCCCAGGGATCCAGTTTCTTCCTGCCGACCCTACGGGCCTCAGCTCTGGCTCCAGAAGCACTTTCTGTGCTGGCCCTGCCCTAGCCCTTCTTGGGCTCCTTAGCCCAGCCTAAGGTGGGCCTGCCTCCTCCACTGCACTTTATCCTCTACCCAGCCAGCTTAGGGAACCTTCTCTGTGCTGCCCAAATACCCTATCATGTAACCCACCAATGACTTGGTAATTACCTCCCCGAGCCCTCTATCCCAACCCACTGAGAGCTCCTTGCAGCTCAGCCAGTGTCCTGTGCACTGTGCTATCCCCAGAGCCTGGTACAGGTCAGTGTTGGTGATTGCTTCCCGTTATTTTTGTCTTTGTTGTTTTTTTAGAGAGGGTCTCACTGTTGGCCAGGCTGGAGTGCTATGTTGCCCAGGCTGCTCTGAAACTCCTGGGCTCAAGTGATCTGCCTGCCTCAGGCTCCCAAAGTTTTGGGTTTACAGGCATGAGCTACCGTGCCTGGCCAGTGATTGCTTGCTGAACGAAAGATTATAGGGATGCAAGAAGAAGTTGGAAGGCTTCCCAGGGGAGGTGGCCATGACAGTGACCCTCAGGGAACCCACTGGACAAGGCCTGAAGCTCTTTGTCTGCAGGTTTACAGGCGGTATGGCGAGGAGTATGGCAACCTCACCCGCCCAGACATCACCTTCACCTACTTCCAGCCTAAGCCACGGCAGGCCTGGGTGTGGGCCGCTGTGCGTGGGCCCTGCTCGGTGAGCTGTGGGGCAGGTGAGACCTGGGGAAGGCTCATCCACAGCACGGCTTGCCCCTGCAGGGAGGCGGCCTAGCCCTCCCTCTTCCCTCCCAGGGCTGCGCTGGGTAAACTACAGCTGCCTGGACCAGGCCAGGAAGGAGTTGGTGGAGACTGTCCAGTGCCAAGGGAGCCAGCAGCCACCAGCGTGGCCAGAGGCCTGCGTGCTCGAACCCTGCCCTCCCTAGTGAGTGTGGTGCTGTCTGCGCAGCTCCAAGGGGGAGAGAGGGTTCCGCTGGGGCTGCTGGGCTCTGTCCCTGGCCTATGGGGCCCATGTGGCAGGGCCGGGCTGAGCTGCTCCTGTGCAGGCTCTCATTACCCCTGCCCACAGCCCTGCAAGGGGGGCTCTGTGAGTGCCCCCATTCTGCAGGTGAGGACACTGAGGCTTGGGGCAGACATGGTGACAATGTCAGCCCAGTGGGACCCACACCTGCTGCCACCTTGTCTGGGCCACCGAGGCCTCTCTTGAGCTCAGGTACTCATGGTGAGATGGAGGTGATTGCCTACCTGGAGGGTTGTAGGGAGACTTGCGGAGCTCCTGGTGCAAAGCCCCTGGCTGTCACCACACCTGACGGGGCACACTGTTAGGGACGAGGCCATTCCTGCTGGGTGCAGGACAGGGCAGCTGCTCACCAGCCTGTGATTCGGTTGTCCTCAGGCTCAGCCGTCTGGCAGCCTGGGAACACCTGGAGAGGCTAGGCTGGCCGTAGTGCCCATTGCTTGTCCCAGACCGGGGGAGTACATCAGCACCTGCCACCCCATCACCCCAGGCCAGCCTGGGACCTGGCCAGGGTCCCGACGCTCTGTCTCCTTCCTCAGCTGGGCGGTGGGAGACTTCGGCCCATGCAGCGCCTCCTGTGGGGGTGGCCTGCGGGAGCGGCCAGTGCGCTGCGTGGAGGCCCAGGGCAGCCTCCTGAAGACATTGCCCCCAGCCCGGTGCAGAGCAGGGGCCCAGCAGCCAGCTGTGGCGCTGGAAACCTGCAACCCCCAGCCCTGCCCTGCCAGGTGAGCCCAGGGCTAGGTGGGGCTGGGAGAGGGCCTTCCTGGCAGAGCTCGTCCCTGCGCTGAGCCCCCATCCTTCTGAGAATCCCCTCCTCCTGAGGCCTCCGGCGGGGCCTCACCATCCAGGGTGATGGGCAGTGTCACCTGGCGGTTGTAAGTGCTGCTGTCAGAGTTCCTTACTACCCAGGAGAGCCTGGGCCCATTGTTTCCCTCTCTGAGCTTCCGAGCCCCTGCTCTGAAATGGGGATGCCGACCTGCCTGGGGAGGGGGGGCTTCGAGGATGAGGTCAAACTGAACGGAGTGGGAGATGTCACTTTCTCATCACCACCATCTCCCCCGTGCCCACGTGGCTGCATCTCATCCCCTCAGTGTCCAAGTTGACAGTGGCTTATCATCCTGCCCTGCCACTAACGAGCTGAGTGACAGGGCAAGTCCCCTCCTCTGTGGGCTTCAGTTTTGCGACCTGTCCGGTGGGAGGGGATTGGTCTGGATTGTTGGTGGCCCACTCATAGCTCTGGACTCCTTTCCCCGCCTCGTCATCCGTGGCAGACAAAACAGTCACCACTCTTCCCCGCTGAGGCCAGATAGGGCCTCAGAATCCTTCTCACACAGCTCTCCAGGCAGCCACTTTAGCGCAGGGCTGACTCACAGCTGAAACCCATTGGCCACCCTTGAACCTGGTGATCCAATTCCATGTGGCACCTGTTTCTCTGCACCTGCTATGGTGCATGGAGTCAGTGATTACCTGGCTGGAGGTCGGCCTCTGCCTCTGGAGAGTAGGAGGGATGGGTTCTCTTTTTTTTTTTTATTAAAAGACAGAGTCTTGTTCTCTCACCCAGGCTGGTATGCAGTGGCATGATCTTGGCTCACTGCAACCTCCTGCCTCAGCAAGTGTGCGCCACCAAGCCCAACTAATTTTTGTATTTTTTGTAGAAACAGGGTTTTGCCATGTTGCCCAGGCTGGTCTCCAACTCCCGGGCTCAAGCAGTCTGCTCACCTCAGCCTCCTAAAGTGCTGAGCTACCGTGCCTGGCCAGGGATAGGTTCTGTCTCTGCACCCTGGGTGCAGGTGGGGTGCCTGACTGTTGAGCAGCGAGTGCTTGTTGAATGGGAACCTGCTGGCTGATGAATGGGGAACCCGGTGCTTCAGGGAGAGACCCTGAGCTTCACTTCTCTGTGGGGCTCCTCTTTGGGCTCCTGGATGTTGGGGAGCAGGTCCCCTTCCTCCCTGCCCCTAGCAGCTGGGCTATACCTTCCCCTGGGTGGCAGAGGCAGGGCCTGATGACTGTCTCATGCCATCCTCAGGTGGGAGGTGTCAGAGCCCAGCTCATGCACATCAGCTGGTGGAGCAGGCCTGGCCTTGGAGAACGAGACCTGTGTGCCAGGGGCAGATGGCCTGGAGGCTCCAGTGACTGAGGGGCCTGGCTCCGTAGATGAGAAGCTGCCTGCCCCTGAGCCCTGTGTCGGGATGTCATGTCCTCCAGGCTGGGGCCATGTGAGTGCCCTGGGCATGAGGGTGGCTGGGGCTGTTGAGTCCTTTACCTGGCTGGGAGAACGAGGAGCACCCATTGCCACCGTCCTCCAGGCCAGAGCAAGAACACCATCCTTCTGTGGGAATGCTGTCTGAGGGCCACCCCTGCTCAGAAAAGAAGCTTAGAAAGAGGGCTCAGGGCCCCTGGGAAGGCTCCCATTCCCCTTGCAAGCCGGGCTGAGGGAAGCATCTGAGGAGAGTGTAATGCAGCTGCTGTGCAGAGAAATGCTGCCAGGCTCCCGCCTGGCGTCCAGGGGCTGGAGGCTGACTGGCCTTGCTCTCTGGCCTGGGTGCTGGCAACCCTCGCCCCTCATGGCTGGGGGGATTGCAGGGCCAGGCATGCTCCCATGTCCCACTCTTGGTCCCCAGCTCTCGGCCAGGCCCACAGTGAGCACTCATGCTGCTGAGGAGCCTGCAAAGGTGGGGTGTGCAGCAAGGATACCCGCTGCGAGACCGGGGAGCCGATCTCGCCAAGGGAGGAGGGGAGGGAGCCCCTGGTGCACACACGCCACTTCCTGGTCTCTCTGCTGCTGCCTGAGAAGATCGAGACGGGGATCGCTGGGTCCTCAGAGGAGGCCCAGACCCACCAGCTTGTTGCTATTCCCCACAGCTGGATGCCACCTCTGCAGGGGAGAAGGCTCCCTCCCCATGGGGCAGCATCAGGACGGGGGCTCAAGCTGCACACGTGTGGACCCCTGCGGCAGGGTCGTGCTCCGTCTCCTGCGGGCGAGGTGAGGGCCCCCGGGATGCTCCTGGGGACCAGCACTCATGGTAACTCTCCTGTCCACTTGCATCTTGCCTCGTTCTGAAAAGCATTTGAGGTGGATTGCAGAAAATCCAGACTATATGGGAACACGTGGTAATACACAAGGAGACTAAGCATAGTAGCTGACAGCCACTTCAAATGTGGGTGTTGATTGGCTGAAAGGTAGGAAAAGACAATAACGCCCGGCAGTGTGGCACGAGAGCCATTCCTTATGGTCCTAGCAGAGCGGCCGGGGGGTCCCCAATTGATGACCCGAGCAGAGAAACCTTAGCTTTAAGATACACAGCGTTCTTCTATTTTCCCAATCTTGTTTTATTGCAGTATAACACAGATATTATAAAATTTACCATCCAAACTGTTTCTCCCTGTGCAGGTCAGTGGCATAAAAGCACAGTCACATTGTTGTGCGGCCATCACCACCAACCTCTCCAGAACTTTTCCAGTTTCGCAAACTGGAGCTCTGTCCCTGTGAAACACGAACTCCCATTTCCCCCTCCGCAGCCCCTGGCAACCTCCATTCTCCTTTCTGTCTCCAGATTCCACAATTCTAGGGACCTTGTAGAAGTGGAATCATATAGCATTTGCCTTTTTGTTACTAGTTTTCACTCAGCATGATGTCCTCACAGTTCATCCATGTTGTAGCATGTGTGAGTGTTTCCTTCTTAAGGCTGAAAAAGATTCCATTGTGAGTGTATCCTTTACAGGTTTATCCATTTATTCATCAGTGGACACTTGGCTTCCTTCCACACTTTGGCTATTGTGAATAATGCTTCTGTGAACATGGGTGTGCAAATATCTGTTTGAGTTCCTGCTTTCAGTTCTTTTGGGTGTATATCTAGAAGTGTGGTAGCTGGGTAAGATGAGAATTCTATGTTTAATTTTTGTGGAACTGCTGGACTGTTTTCCCCAGTGGCTGCACCATTTTACATTTCCACTAATGGTGCATAAGAGTTCCAATGTCCTCCCATCCTTGCCAACACTTTTTATTTCTATGGTTTTTTTTGTTTTTGTTTTTGTTTTTGAGACAGAGTCTCATTCTGTTGCCGAGGCTGGAGTGCAGTGGCATGATCTTGGCTCATTGTAACCTTCGCCTCCGGGGCTCAAGTGATTCTCGTGCTTCAGCCTCCCGAGTAGCTAGGACTATAGGCGTCTGCCACCATGCCTGGCTAATTTTTTGTTTAGTAGAGATGGGGTTTCACCATGTTGGCCAGGCTGGTCCCAAACTCTTGACCTCAGGTGATCTGCCTGCCTTGGCCTCCCAACGTGCTGGGATTACAGGCGTGAGCCCCCACACCTGGCCTATTTCTGTGTTTTTTTTATAATGGCCATCCTAATGGGCTTGAGAAGACACACCATGTTCTTAAACGAAAACCCTGACCACTTGCTCAGTAAAATGTCAGCCTGTTTAAAACCGAGACCAAAAAGAGATTTCTTTTTCTCTCTTTTCTTTTTTGAGACAAAAAAGAAAACCTCTGTCACCAGGTTGGAGTGTAGTGGCACAATCTTAGCTCACTACAACCTCCACCACCTGGGCTGAAGCCATCCTCCCCCCTCAGCCTCCTGAATAGCTACTATACCCTGCTAATTTTTGTAGTTTTGGCAGAGATGGGATCTCCCTATGTTGCCCAGCCTGATCTCCTGAGCTCAAGCGATCCTTCTGCCTCGGCCTCTCAAAGTGCTGGGATTATAGGCATGAGCCACTGTGCCCAACCAAGAGATTTTTTTTCTTTTTCTTTTTTTTCTTTTTTTTGAGACTAAGAGTTTTCCTCTGTCGCCCAGGCTGAAGTGCAGTGGTGTGATCTTGGCTCACTGCAACCTCCGCCTCCCATGTTCAAACGATTCTCATGCCTCAGCCTCCTGAGCAGCTGGGACTCCAGCTATGTGCCACCACACCTGGCTAATTTTTTGTATTTTATTTTATTAGAGAGGGGGTTTCGCCATGATGGCCACGCTGGTCTCAAACTCCTGACCTCAGGTGATCCACCCGCCTTGGCCTCCCAAAGTGCTGGGATTACAGGCATGAGCCACTGAGCCTATTTCTTTTGAGGATATTCCTAAAAGAGAGACTTGAGAAAACTGGCCCTAATAACATCTTTATGATAGACACAATCAGAGATTTTCATATTGTGATTTTTTTTTCTTTTTTTTTTTTTTGAGATGGAGTCTCGCTCTGTCACCCAGGCTGGAGTCCAGTGGCGCAGTCTTGGCTCACTGCAACCTCTGCCTCCTGGGTTCAAGTGATTCTCCGTCTCAGCCTCCTGAGTAGCTGGGATTACAGGTGCGCACCACCACGCTCAGCTAATTTTTGTATTTTTAGTAGAGACGGGGTTTCACCATGTTGGTCAGGCTCGTCTCGAACTCCTGACCTTGTGATCCGCCGCCCAAAGTGCTGTGATTACAGGCGTGAGCCACTGTGCCTGGCCCATATTGCAATTCTTATAATGCCTCTCGGTCAACAATAACAGCTACCATTTGTCAAGTGTCTACTGTGTGCCAGGCACTTGTTATCTTCCCTTTTAAAAATCTTTATAAATGATTCTGCAAGGTAGATGCCATTATCTTTTTTTCTAAATCTAAGATTCAGAGGGTTAAGTCAGTTGTCTGAGGTCACACAGCTGGTAAGTGGCAGAGCCGGGATTGAAACCCATGCGGGCCTTATGTGCTAGAGGTGTCCAGTGAGCCTGGGCTGCAGTCCTTGCTGAGCCTGTCCCTTGGGGCTCTGGGTCTCTGCTTTGTCCACGCAGGTCTGATGGAGCTGCGTTTCCTGTGCATGGACTCTGCCCTCAGGGTGCCTGTCCAGGAAGAGCTGTGTGGCCTGGCAAGCAAGCCTGGGAGCCGGCGGGAGGTCTGCCAGGCTGTCCCGTGCCCTGCTCGGTGAGTGAGGGGAGCAAGACTGTGTGCTGGCCTTCTCCCTGTAAGTGGGAGACCCGAGCCTTGGCTCCATGCCCGGTGACCTGCGGAGGGGGGCAGGTGCTGCTGGCTGTGCACTGTGTGAGGCTGGACCATGGCCGCCCCATCCCCCTGCCTCACTCCAAGTGCAGGCCAGAGCCCCGGCCCAGCCCCTTTGAGGACTGCAACCCAGAGCCCTGCCCTGCCAGGTGGGCCCCTTCCCAAGGAGACAGGGGGTGCTAGGTCTGCATCCTGGCTCTTTCCTCACCTCCAAGCCAGACCTTTTGACCCTCAGTGTCCTCACCAGTGGGAGCAGGTCATTTTGTGCCCCCAGAAGACTGGGGGAGTTTAATGAAAGGATTAGATGCATGTAAAGTACATGCTAAATGCAATGAGTGTAAAATGCATGCTCGATGCAACGCGTGTAAAGTACATTGCACAGGATCTGGGATGCTGTGGGTGCACATGGTTGCTGGTGCGTTTCTTCATCGCCTGCTCTTTATGGAGCACCTAGGCCCCGGGGCCGTCCTGGAGCTAGGGGACACAGCAGAGAACAAGGCAGACAAATGTCCCTGACCTCCTGGAGCAAATGCAGGGGGAAAGGGGGACAGATAATAATAGGACAGGCGGGGAATGCAGTTTGATGGATGGTGTTCAGTGCGATGCAGCCAAACACAGCGGGAGGGGAGGAGGGGAGGGCTGGCGGGGTGGGCTCCAGGGCGGTGGTGCTGGGATCACTGTTGAAGACAGACATGCAGGGCCCTTGGGTGCCCGGACCCCTGCCCCCACTGTCTCTGGGATACGACATCTGTCGTTTGCCCTCACCTTTCTCTTCTGTAAAATGGGTTTGTCCAAATGTTCTGTCCACTCTGCCAAGCCTCTTGGTGAGGACACAAGGGGGCCTCCAGAAAGAGAACCTCTCCGGGCCCTTCCCAGCTTCCTGTCTCTTCCTAGTCTGGGGAAATGAAGGGGAGACCTGGCTCCCCTGGGTTCCCAGGCCCTGGGGCTGTTTGGGGTCCCTGACTCCAGTTTGCTCCAGGTGGCAGTACAAGCTGGCGGCCTGCAGCGTGAGCTGTGGGAGAGGGGTCGTGCGGAGGATCCTGTATTGTGCCCGGGCCCATGGGGAGGACGATGGTGAGGAGATCCTGTTGGACACCCAGTGCCAGGGGCTGCCTCGCCCGGAACCCCAGGAGGCCTGCAGCCTGGAGCCCTGCCCACCTAGGTGAGTCAGCCGGTGATGGGAGGGGCAGCTCCTGGTGTGTGCAGATGCCAGGCCAGGCGCTGTGGTGTGTGCCTGTAATCGCAGCTACTTGGAAAGCTGAATCAGGAGAACCACTTGAGTCCAGGAGTGCAAGTCCAACCTGGGCAACACAGTGAGACCTCATCTCTAAAAAAAAAACAAGACGGGGCCAGGTGTGGTGGCTCACGCCTGTAATCCCAGCGCTATGGAAGGCTGAAGCGGGTGGATTACCTGAGGTCAGGAGCTTGAGACCAGCCTGGCCAACATGGTGAAACCCCATCTTTACTAAAAATACAACAATTAGGCTGGGCGCGGTGGCTCACTCCTGTAATCCCAGCACTTTGGGAGGCTGAGGCGGGCAGATCACCTGAGGTTGGGAGTTCGAGACCAGCCTGTCCAACATACAGAAACCCTGTCTCTACTAAAAATACAAAATTAGCCGGGTGTGGTGGTACATGCCTGTAATCCCAGTTACTTGGGAGGCTGAGGCAGAATCGCTTGAACCGGGGAGGCCAAGGTTGTGGTGAGCCAAGATTACGCCACTGGACTCCAGCCTGGCTAACAGCAGCAAAACTCCATCTCAAAAAAAAAAAAAAAAAAAGAAAACCCACAAAAATTAGCCTGGCGTGGTGGTGTGCACCTGTCATCCCAGCTACTTCAGAGGCGGAGGCAGGAGAATCGCTTGAACCCGGGAGGCGGAGGTTGCAGTGAGCCGAGATGGCGCCGCTGGCACTCCAGCCTGGGCTACAGAGCGAGACTCCGTCTCAAAAACAAAACAACAAAACAAAACAAGACGGGGTGGGGGGCTCAGTGGCCCAAGAGCCAGTCTGTAAGGAATAGGGCTACCTGGCAGGCTGTGCTAGTTGTGGGAGGTGAAGTTTAAGCACCATGCAGGCAGGGTGCAGTGTGGGGAGGCCTGGGGGACAGAGGAGGCAGCATTTGAGCAGAACCTAAAGCTGTGAGCACCAGCATTCTGATGTGGAAGACGGGAGGGATGGAGGTCTCCACAGGGACACACACAGCCACACTAGGACACGGGACAGAATCATGTTCAAGTCCGTGGGGTCCGGAGCCCAGTGGTAAAGGGCGAACATTTGCCTACCTCATTTACAATTCTTTAATGGTTTCTTTTTGTAGGTTTGCATTTTTAGTAAAGAAATACTTTTCTATATCATACAGAAACGTCCAGAAAAGAATGTAACAGACATGTATGTTCCAGCACTCCAGTTTAATAGATAGCATCCTACTGCCATGTTTCCTTCCTGTCCACTTACTTTTATTTATTTAATTTATTTATTTTGAGACGGAGTCTCGCTTTGTTGCCCAGGCAGTGATGCAATCTTGGCTCACTGCAACCTCCGCCTCCCGGGTTCAAGCCATTCTCCTGTCTCAGCCTCCCAAGTAGCTGGGAATACAGGCACCCACAACCACACCCAGCTAACTTTTGTATTTTTAGTAGAGACAGGGTTTCACCATATTGGTCAGGCCGATCTTGAACTCCTGACCTCAGGAGATCTGCCTACCTCAGCATTCCAAAGTGCTGGGATTACAGATGTGAGCCATCACACCTGGCCAGCCTCCTTAGTTTTAAATAAATCCAGTTACAGATAAGATTTCACTTAAATTTAGGCTGGTCATGGCTCACGCCTGTAATCTCAGCACTTCAGGAGGCTGAGATGGGTGGATCATTTGAGCCCAGGAGTTTGAGACCAGCCTGGACAACATGCCAAAACCTTGTCTCTACTATAAATACAAAAATTAGCCGGGCATGGTGGTGCATGCCAGTATCCCCAGCTACTCGGGAGGCTGAGGCAGGAGAATCACCTGAACCTTGGGAAGTCAAGGCTGCAGTGAGCAGAGATCACACCACCACTGCATGCCAGCCTGGGCAACAGCATGAGACCCTGTCTCAAAAAAAAAAAAAAAAAAAAAAGATTTTACTTAAATTTAAACCCTGTACTAATCTGTGATTTATTTGGAGTATGTTGCAAAGTAGGGACCAAAGGATTTTTTTTTTTTTCTAAATTGTTAACTAGCATCTGTTGGACAAGCCCTGATGCCTCCAGGTGGCTCCTTGGTGGTATTGGTGTGTGTTAGAATCTATGTCTGGGCTTTCTACTGGGTTTTTTTCTTCTCCTTTTTTTTTTTTGAGACAGTTTTTCTCTGTCACCCAGGGTGGGGTGCAGTGGCGCGATCTCAGCTCACTGCAACCTCCGCCTCCTGGGTTCAAGTGATTTTCATGCCTCAGCTTCCCGAGTAGCTGGGATTACAGGTGCCCGCCACCACCCCCAACTGATTTTGTGTTTTTAATAGAGACAGGGTTTCACTATGTTGGCCAGGCTGGTCTTGAACTCCTGACCTCAAGTGATCTGCCAGGTTCTGTTTTTTGTGCTTTTTTTTTCTAGCTATTCTCTTGCCCATACAAAATTGTTTTAAATGTTGTAGCTTTATAACCATTTAACATCTGTGTCACTAGTGTGTCCTGATTTCTTTGCCTATGCTAAAGTCCCTTGGCTGTGTGTCCCATTTATTTTTCCACATCACATTTAGAGATGATCTGGGATTTTATGGGAATTGCAGGGTTTTTCACACTGCACGCTGCCTGCATGGTGCTTAAACTTCACCTCCCACACCTAGCACAGCCTACCAGGTAGCCCTGTTCTCTACAGACCACCTCTTGGGCCACTGAGCCTCCCCTCACTTTTTTTTAGAGATGGGGTCTCACTATGTTGCCCAGTCTGGACTTGAATTCCTGGGCTCAAGTGATCCTCCTGCTTCAGCCTCCCGAGTAGCTGGGATGCAGGCACACACTACATGAGCTCTGGCCATCCCTCTGACGTTGCTGTAGCCACGCTGGCCTCATTGTCCTGGAACATTCCAGGGATACTCCCCTGACTTAGGGCTTCTGTGCTAGCTCTCGCTGCCTGATGTCTTCTGTGGATATCCTCGAGGCCCTGGATATCCCTCCCCCAGGCTCGGCTCAGACACCACAACTCCAAAGTGGCCCAGTGCCCTCCCTGAGCGTCGGTCCAGAACGGCACTCTCGTCCCTCCTGTGACGCTCTGCTTGGCACTTTGGGAGGCTGAGGCGGGAGGATTGCTTGAGCCCAGGAGTTCTAGACCAGCCTGGGCAACATAGTGAGACCCCGTCTCTACAAAAAATACAAAAATTGGCTGTGCGCGGTGGCTTATGCCTGTAATCCCAGCACTTTGGGAGGCGAAGGCGGGCAGATCACGAGGTCAGGAGATCGAGACCATCCTGGCTAACACGGTGAAACCCTGTCTCTACTAAAAATACAAAAAATTAGCTGGGTGTAGTGGTGGGTGCCTGTAGTCCCAGCTACTTGGGAGGCTGAGGCAGGAGAATGACGTGAACCCAGGAGGCGGAGCTTGCAGTGAGCTGAGATTGTGCTACTGCACTCCAGCCTGGGTGGTTGCAGTGAGCTGAGATTGTGCCACTGCACTCCAGCCTGGGCGATGAGTGAGACTCCATCTCAAAAACAAAAACAAACAAACAAAAATTACAAAAATTAGCCAGGCATGATGGCACATGCCTGTAGTCTCAGCTACTTGGGAGGCTGAGGTGAGAGGATGGCTTGAACCCTGGAGGTTGAGGCTGCAGTGAGCCGTGATCACACCACTGCCCTCCAGCCTGGGTGACAGGGCGAGACCGTGTCTCAAAGAAAACCATTAAAATAAAATAAAAAATAAAATTTCTGCGATGCACACGACAGCCTCCACAGCAAATCAGCATCCAGTTGCTCATGCCAGTGATGCCCCAATGGAGAACAATCCACGCTCTGAGAGGAGGTGGGGTCTGGTTTGGTTCACTGCCACCTCCCAGTGTCATGTAGAACAGTGCCAAGCCGCGGAAGGCACGGGTCCAAGAGGCAGCGCTGCAGGGTCATGGGGGAGCACAGTATTGCGATGAAGATCCCAGCTCCCTTGCAGGCTGCCTGGGTTTGTGTCTGGGCTCTGAAGAATGCGGGCCATAATTAGTTATTGATTGATTACAGATCAACATGGGCAGCCTTCCCTTGCCCAAGGGAAGGGAACTCGGCCTTCCCTTGCAGAACGTGGGGTGTTGAGATCTGTCTCCTGTTACCCAGGGGCTCGCTTCCTGTTGCTGTTACTTGGGTCCATAGGCAACCCCTGGGGTGCTGACAGGTGTTCTGTGATAAAGGCGACTAGAGGGGGATGTGCAATTAGGGAAACAGGGGCCTCTTCCCCCTAGGGCCTTTTGGTAGCTCTCCTGTGGCCGTGAGCCCTGGCCCCAGACAGGAGGGGCTCAGTGGCTGCACTTTCCATCTTGCCTGGCCACGGAAGCTGTCTAGGCAACTGTCCGAGTACACGTGGGTGGAGAGGGGCCTGCGTGGGGCAGTACTGTCTCTGGGGAGACCTAGCCTCTCTCTGGGGTCTTCTCTTCCTGCAGGTGGAAAGTCATGTCCCTTGGCCCATGTTCGGCCAGCTGTGGCCTTGGCACTGCTAGACGCTCGGTGGCCTGTGTGCAGCTCGACCAAGGCCAGGACGTGGAGGTGGACGAGGCGGCCTGTGCGGCGCTGGTGCGGCCCGAGGCCAGTGTCCCCTGTCTCATTGCCGACTGCACCTACCGCTGGCATGTTGGCACCTGGATGGAGGTGAGCACAGCGGGCACTCGGAATCCCTATGGGGCTGGGGTGGGCATCAGCTGTGGCTCCTCATGTGTGAGGGAGTCTAGGAGGCATTGGCTCATCGTGTCCCCTGAAAGGAAGGAGAGAGCTGCGCCCGTTGGTGAGGGGGCACCTAGAGGCAGAGAGACAGAGGGCCTAGAGACCTGCGGGCAGCTAGGACTTAAGAGGCCCTTAGGTTTGGGGACGCTGGAAGATGAATGGCAGGCCACTCAGCTCTACACAGATGAGGGAATGCCAGCTGTGCCACGCACCTGGCAAGGCAGGACAGACAAGGGTAAATGGGGTTCAGGCTGCCCCCTGGAGGGGCTCGCTCATGGTGTGGAGGGGGCATAGGGGCACAGCAGACAGAGATGAGCCGCAGCCCCGCAGACCTGCTTGCTCTAAGGCTTGGAGGGACAGAGAGGCCGTGAGGGTGACAGGGACCCAGACTTGAATTATGGCTCCTCCCACCTATATGACCCATGCAAGGTGCCCTCTCTGAGCCTCAGTTTTCTCATCTGTGGAATGGAGACACTTAACTGCCTCCCAGCTTGTACAAGGATTATATTGGATCACTCCTGGCCTGTGGTTACCACTGTCCTTGTCACCTTCTGGCAGGGTCAGCTGTGACTCCTCCTCCCCTCTCTTGGCAGTGCTCTGTTTCCTGTGGGGATGGCATCCAGCGCCGGCGTGACACCTGCCTCGGACCCCAGGCCCAGGCGCCTGTGCCAGCTGATTTCTGCCAGCACTTGCCCAAGCCGGTGACTGTGCGTGGCTGCTGGGCTGGGCCCTGTGTGGGACAGGGTACGCCCAGCCTGGTGCCCCACGAAGAAGCCGCTGCTCCAGGACGGACCACAGCCACCCCTGCTGGTGCCTCCCTGGAGTGGTCCCAGGCCCGGGGCCTGCTCTTCTCCCCGGCTCCCCAGCCTCGGCGGCTCCTGCCCGGGCCCCAGGAAAACTCAGTGCAGTCCAGTTATGTCCTGTCCTCCTTCCTGTCAGGCAGCTGCTGCAGGAGGGGTGGGCAAAGGCATCTTCCTCTGGGAAGGACTGGCACAAGCACTTGGTCCCTGGGTTGTGTGCCTGGGAGGCCGGGATCAGGGCTGGCCCTCTTTCTCCCTGGCAAAGCAAAACCTCCCTTTTACTACTATCAAGGGGAAGTAACTTGAAGGTAGGAACCCAGCTTGTGAGCCCCCTAGCCTCTGGGCTGCTCTGCATGTGCCCCCTCTTGCTGGATCATCTGGTAGCAGCCCTGTGCCCTGAGGGTGATGCTCTGACCTATGCAGCCCCCCTCCCTGTCCTGAGAAGGCTTCCAGCTGGGCCTTGGAGGACAGGGTCCACCCCTACCTCCTGGTCTCCTTCCTCAGCTTGGAAGCCCCGGAGCCTGCCCTGCTGGGAATCGGGGAAGCACTGCTTACCTGTCTCCTGCTCCCTTTTCAGGTGCCTGTGGCAGGCAGCACCTTGAGCCAACAGGAACCATTGACATGCGAGGCCCAGGGCAGGCAGACTGTGCAGTGGCCATTGGGCGGCCCCTCGGGGAGGTGGTGACCCTCCGCGTCCTTGAGAGTTCTCTCAACTGCAGTGCGGGTATGTCTAGGGCCATGCAAGCGATGCTGCCAGTTATGGGCCCTGCCAGGAGCCAGCACGACGCTGCATGCCCCATTCCTGGCAGGAGCCCATGTGCATTCCCACCTGTAGTTTGCATCCCATCTCATGACTGGGGAGTGATGATCTGCATTTTACAGATGAGGAAACTGAGGCTAGGAGAGATTAAGTGATGTGCCCAGTTACTTAGAGTCACATAGCCAGCAGTGGGAGAGGTGGGACTTGAACTCGGCTCAGTCTACCCTGGAGCCACTCCTCTGCTGACCAGGCGTGGGAGTGCTGGACCCTCACTGCCCTGCCGCTTCCTAGGGGACATGTTGCTGCTTTGGGGCCGGCTCACCTGGAGGAAGATGTGCAGGAAGCTGTTGGACATGACTTTCAGCTCCAAGACCAACACGCTGGTGGTGAGGCAGCGCTGCGGGCGGCCAGGAGGTGGGGTGCTGCTGCGGTATGGGAGCCAGCTTGCTCCTGAAACCTTCTACAGAGGTATGGCCAGGCCTTCTCCACCTCCCTTGGGTGCTCCAGTCCTGGCAGGGAGGCTGGGTGGGTGCTGCTGGGGATGGGGCCAGTCCCAGTGGGGCAGTGGGAAGATACGGAGGGAACTGACTGAGATGGAAGGAACTGGGGTTGGCCAGTGTCAGTCTGCACGTGCCAGGGAGGGGTCACAGGATGAATGCTATATCCCTCCTTTTTGGGACCGTGCAGCAAGATGGACGGATGTGGGACATGGTCCACATCCTCAGTCAGTCCCTCAGGCCTCTGCCCCACACCCACCTGCCCCGCCCCCACCCCTCCAGCCTTTCAAGGGCTTTTAGGGTTTTGTGGAAGCCACTGTCCCTCAGCCCTGTTTCAGTGCACTGGTGTAAGCAGACATGCTTGTACATGCATGTGCACCCACAAGCACACCTCAGGCAGAGGATGCCACCTCAGGGACTCCAGCCTTGCCCGTGGCCCCCTCGATATCCTCTGATAGCCCTCTCGGTTGTCCTGGGGGGCTTGCCCTCTCCCAACAGCCCGAGCTGGCCGAAGTTGGCTTCCCTAGCTGGTTCCAGAGGTTCCTCGGCTCCCCCAGGTGTCTGGGGCTTAGTGGCAACAGGGGCTTAGCCTCTGCAGAGACCTAGTGCGCCGCCTCCTTGCCCCAGACCTGCCCGGGCAGAGAGCCGTGTATGTGTCCCAGTGCACAGGCGCTGCTGGGCCCTGCCAAAAGGCCACAAGCCCACTGTCACCGTTCACATTGCTTCTCGCTTCCCGGCCCAGCCCCGCCCACACAGGCATCTGCCTTGAAAGAGGTGCAGGAGGTACAGGCAGGTGGGGGCTCCAGTGAGCTCTGAGGAACAGCAGTGGCCGCCATGGGTGGAGCCTATCTTTGTTGCCAGTTTCAGTGTTAAACACTCTTGCACGTGTGACATCATTGAGTCCTAAAGACCACTCTGCTCAGTGCATGCCATTGTTTCCTTCAGTTACAGAGGAGGGAACCAGAGCCCAGAACATTTAGCCTTTGCCTAAAGTCACTGGGCCAGGAAGTGGTAGAGGTGGGGTTCAGCAGGATTTGCCTGGGAACCCCAATATTGACCACAGTGCCATGCTGCCCTGCACGGCTCCCTGGCTGTGAGTTGTCCTGGCCTCTGGCACCACCGGTCTGTCTGGGTTCCTATGTCCCTATGTCCCACCTGCAGAATGTGACATGCAGCTCTTTGGGCCCTGGGGTGAAATCGTGAGCCCCTCGCTGAGTCCAGCCACGAGTAATGCAGGGGGCTGCCGGCTCTTCATTAATGTGGCTCCGCACGCACGGATTGCCATCCATGCCCTGGCCACCAACATGGGCGCTGGGACCGAGGGAGCCAATGCCAGCTACATCTTGGTGAGGCCCAGCATGGGGACTTGTGCTGTGATTCTGGACAGCTTTCCCTAGGGCGTGCAGGGCTAGGGGACCCCCTTCAGTTTATTTCAGACTAAAACCCTCAAAATCATTAGTGAAAGAATGGGAGAAGATAGCTTCCTCCACATATTCACCAAGAAATGTTTTTTGAGCTACCTACAAGAGTGAAATAGTGGCTCACAACTGTAATCCCAGCACTTTGGGAGGCCCAGGAGGGCAGATCACTCAAGGTCAGGAGTTCGAGACCAGCCTGGCCAACATGATGAAACCTTGTCTCTACTAAAAATAGAAAAAGTAGCCAGGCATGGTGGCGTGTGCCTGTAATCCCAGCTACTTGGGAGGCTGAGGCACAAGAATCACTTGAACCCGGGAGGTGGAGGTTGCACTAAGCCCAGATCGCACCACTGCACTCCAGCCTGGGCAACAGAGTGAGACTCTGTCTCAAAAAAAAAAAAAAAAAAAAAGCGAAATGGTAAAGAATGGTAAAGACCTTTCTGATGTAGACTGACAGCTAACCCAAGACTGAAGCATAATTTTACAGTCTGATATAACTTGGACAGAATAGCACCCTGCACCCTCCCCGAGGTTTCAAGTGTCCTGGGAGAACTGTGTTCTGCAGGGTATCAGCTTCCCCAGAGGAGGCAGCCTGGCCCCGCTCTGGCACCCTGACTGTGTGTCCTTGGGGAAGTGATGTAACGTCCCTGGACCTCGGTTTTCTGGGTAGAGTAATGGCGTATTCCTAGTAGGGCTTTGTAAGCATTAAATGTGATCCGGAATCTGTGAGCCCTTGCACACGAAGGCTTCCGTGAGTGCTAATTATTACTTGTGGCCGGTCCTTCTGGGCTGCCCCTTTTCTCTCAGATCCGGGACACCCACAGCTTGAGGACCACAGCGTTCCATGGGCAGCAGGTGCTCTACTGGGAGTCAGAGAGCAGCCAGGCTGAGATGGAGTTCAGCGAGGGCTTCCTGAAGGCTCAGGCCAGCCTGCGGGGCCAGTACTGGACCCTCCAATCATGGGTACCGGAGATGCAGGACCCTCAGTCCTGGAAGGGAAAGGAAGGAACCTGAGGGTCATTGAACATTTGTTCCGTGTCTGGCCAGCCCTGGAGGGTTGACCCCTGGTCTCAGTGCTTTCCAATTCGAACTTTTTCCAATCTTAGGTATCTACTTTAGAGTCTTCTCCAATGTCCAAAAGGCTAGGGGGTTGGAGGTGGGGACTCTGGAAAAGCAGCCCCCATTTCCTCGGGTACCAATAAATAAAACATGCAGGCTGACCGGCGTTTTTTTCTTATAAGCTGTCCAGACCTGGCTTGAAAACCCATCCCATGGCAAGGCAGGGATTCGCTGGCCGCGGTTGGCTCTATCTTGATCTGAGCAAGCCGCTGGACGTCCCTAGTTATCTTCTTCCTATCCAGGAAGAAAATCCAATCAGGATTCCACTCCGAGGATGGCGCATTAGCCAGCTCCCTGCGAAGCCCCACCCGTGTGTCCTGGTGTGAGGCTCTGACCGCTAAGGTGTCTGCGCGCCTCCAGGCCCCGCCCCCTATGCTAATAAGCGCCCGCCTCCTTTGGGAGCAAGTCGCCGCAAACTGCGAGCCCCCGCCCCCTACGCTAATGACGCCCGCCCCCCTCGGGCACACCTCTCCGATGCCTGCGAGCCCCGCCCCGTATGCTAACGAGCTCCCCACCCCCAGCTCCTCGCCGCAGCCTGCGGGTCCCGCCCCCTACAATAATGAGCACCTACCTCCCCTCAAACGCCCCTAGTCGCGGCATGAGGGTCCCGCTCACTATGTTAATGAGCACCCGCCTCCCTTCGGGCGCGCCTCGCCGCAGCCTGAAAGCCCCGCCCCCTATGCTAATATGCTCCCTCTCCCACAAGGCAGCGCGCCGGCTCGGACGCGGCCGGCTACCGAGCCCTTTGTGAGGGCTGTGAGCTGCGCCTGACGGTGGCACCATGAGCAGCTCAGGTGGGGCGCCCGGGGCGTCCGCCAGCTCTGCGCCGCCCGCGCAGGAAGAGGGCATGACGTGGTGGTACCGCTGGCTGTGTCGCCTGTCTGGGGTGCTGGGGGCAGTCTGTGAGTATCCAGTCGGGGAGAGGGGCCGGCCCCGCCGCGCATGCGCTCCTCGCCCTGCCCTGCCCCGCCCCGCCCCGGCGGCCCCAGGGGAAAGGACCCGCTGGGGGTCGGGGGTCTGCCGGGCGCCTCCCGGGGCGGAGGAATGGCGGGGCCGCCGGGAGCCGGCGTCCTGGGGTTGCCATGGTTACCCGCTCGGGCCTGGGCGCCTTGGTACCCCGGGCTGGGCTGGGCTGGCGCTTCTGGGAACATTCCCGGAGGGACCAGAAACCCCAGGGCGGGGGGGCGGCGGGGGCGGGGGTGGGGCACCGGCCTGGGGCACGTGACTGAGCCCTCCCCCCGCTCCCCAGGGGCTTTTGTGAGACTTTCTCGGTGATGCTCACGGGGCGCATGCCCACCTGGCCCGTACTAAAGCGTCAACTGTTGACTTGGGCGTAGGTGACGGCAGCCACATTGCTAACCTTTGGGCAAGGATTGTTTGTAAGGGAGGCGGGTGCACGGCTGGCTAGATTTCTGGCAGGAAGCCACTGGGCGGAAGTTTGCTGAGGGTCAGGTGGTGTCAGGGCACAGGTGGCCCCTGGGGCCGCGGGGCAGTGAGCTGAGGGCCCGGCCTCTCCCTGGGTCCTCTGTCCGCTCTCATATCTCCCCCGTTGCTGCTGCCTTAGCCGCCTGTCACCGGCCTTCCTCCCCTTCTCCGCACGCATCCCAGTCACAGACCCTGACCTTAGGCTGCCAGGGAAGCTAGGCTCTTAAGCACAGCCAGAAAAGGACAAAGAGGGAGGCAGGTCAGCTCCAGGAGTGAATGGAAGCCGTACAGCTGGCCTTCCAGGGAAAGACAAGTCTGTCTGAGTGATACCCTTTCCTTTCCTGTCTGCCCTCAATCTTGTGGATTACTGGAGTGGGCAAGGTCTTAGAGAATGTCTGTCGAGGATGTCTGCAGGTTTTAAACAGTGCCTGCCTGGCAGAGAGGGCTAGCTCTGGGCCTGGGCAGGGCAGGCCCCATCAGCAATCCTGCCAGAAGGACCACCTTTTCAGGGTCACCTTGGGTTCCACAGCCTTTCCAGGTGGGTAGAGGGTGGAGGGAGGTTGAGGCAGGAGGGTGCTGGGCTAGGAGTGTGCTGCCCTCGCTAGGCATGCCCTTATCCAGAGGCAACGGATACGGTAGGGCAGGCCCTACCCCCAAATCACAAAAAGGCCCCGAGTTTGTGTCACTGCTCTTCAGGGCAAGTACGCTTTTGACTTTGTAGGAGAGACTGGTGGGTTTGAAGTTAGGCATTGGATCCAGTCCTGTCATGTCTGGTTAGCTGTTTTCCCTGCAGATTAGGGTGGGCAGTGCAGTGGGGTGACATGGTCAGTGGTGAGAAAGGAAAGGTCCTGACTATGGCCTGTAGGCCACACCTCCTTCCTTCTTGGTCAGTGGCCCTGCCGACTCCCAGATTTGCTGTGGAGTCTTACTCAGTTCTGTGCCTCTCAAAGTGAGGTACCTCTGCCTTTCCTGGGAGTTCCTGGGGCTCTGTTGGGTCTACAGATGAAGCTTCAGGAGAAACTTGTGGCATTGCCCTGAGTTGTCAGTTGCATCTGCAGATTTTTGGGGGCATGGTTATGTGAACATCAAAATGCTGTATTACAGGGTAGAATGCAAAAATGCAGGGTGTTTTAGAGATGCGGCAGGAGTTCAGACAAGGGTTGTGTGCCGGGCTGGTCCTTGGGTAAGGTTTTCCTCCTCCAGGGTGAGGGGATCAGAGAGAGTACCTGGAGAGGGTCTACCCTGGGTCCTAAGAGCATCTGGAGGTGATACCTTGGGAGGGGACAGGATTGCATGGTGACAGCCCCCTCACGTGGAAGATATCAGCATTGAGGCCCCCAAGTGGACATCCTCCAGCCCTTTATTGCTAAAGGATTCCTGGCTGGAGCCTGCTGGTCTGGCTTGACACCTGGTCCTCCCCCAAGGCTGGCTGTGGGTTGGACAGCTGGGGTAGGGTTGGAGCTGGAGGCCAAATGCTGACTGCAGCAGGAAGCACAGCCGAGCTGTCAGGTGAGGCCAGGCACAGCAGAGAGGCAGGGAGCCGTGTCACCCTTTGGGCACTCTGCTAGGACAGGCAGGCCCCTGTGTACCTGTGGTTCTGGAACACCTTGCTGTCTGAAGGCAGATGTCTAAGGCTGTGCTGAGGAGCAGTGCAACGCTTGAGTCCTTTGTTTTAGAAGGAGACCCTGGGGGCCCATGAAGCAGTCCCATTGCAGTTCGGCTCACTTTATCTGGCTTCTTTGCCTGCTGTCTGCATAAGGTTACCTGGGAAAATGGAAAACAGCAGAATTCCAGACCCAGGTGGAGGGATCAGGTGCAGAGGAGCTGCTGCAAGTTTAATGAGCTGGGTGCTAATTGCTGCCTCCAAGGCCCCCCTCAGTGATGGCCTGGGCTTGCTCCCTGCCCAGCAGCCACCTCCTTGGACCTGCCTTGAAGGCTCCTGGAGTTCCTGGTGAAGCCAGGCTGCAGGCTGTGGGTGGAGGAGGGAGTTGGGTGCAAGAGACCCTGCTGGTGAGGTGCAGCTGGGAGGCGGGGCGTCAAGGCTGCACATCTGAGCATCAGAGAAGCCACGTTCTGGGGTGGAAAACGATGCCCCCTCCCCTTCCTGGCCTTATGGCATTTCAGCGGTGGGTGGCTGGGCTGTGGGACTTGCTCATGTGCAAGAGGAGAAACGGGTCTAGGAAGATGAAGATAGCGTGCCAGTGGCACAGGGCTGGTGAGGAAGTTAGAGCTGGAACTGCTGCTCAGTCTTACCTGGTTCCCATCTCTGTTCTGAGAGAGGCACCCCTTGTCCCAACCAAAATCCAAGCCACATTTTCTGAGTCAGAGGACTTCTTGTGTGGCCGGCCCTGTGAATGGTGGCAAGTGACCCTTACCGAAGGCTGAGTCTTGGGGGAGCACTGGCCTGAATCCTTGAGGGACATTCACTCTTTAATCCTTCTTTAATCCTAACCTCCCTTTGAGGTGGATATTGATGTAGCTGGGGTCAGAGGGCCAGCTCCTCTGAGCCCTGAAACGGGGAGAGGATGCTGTGAGATCCACCTGCCACCTTGCTGCCACCTTGCTGTGGGGCCTGGGGCAAGCAAGGCACTGCACCTCTCTGCGTCTCCTCACCTGTCTCAGACGATAGAGGGCAGGCTTCTGGGTGCTGTGAGAACTGTGTGCTGAGCATCCGCAGAGACTCTCGTCCTTTCCAGTCATCTCCCAAGGCCGCCTTCCCAGCGGGCTCCGCCTGCCTCCCTGCTGACTCCTGCCCGTGTCTCTTGTTTCAAGCTTGCGCGATCTCTGGCCTCTTCAACTGCATCACCATCCACCCTCTGAACATTGCGGCCGGCGTGTGGATGATGTGAGTAATGCATGGCCGTCCCACCCCGGGGGTCTTGCTGGTCGGGAATCTGCTGGGCACCTCCCGGGACAGAGGAGTGGCAGGGGCCGTGGGAGTGGGCATCCTTGTGGTTGCCATGGCTACTGGCTCCAGCCTGGGTGCCTCGGGCATGTGAGTTTCTGGCCACAGCATGCGGCTTCTTCCCCTTCATACCCCCACCATGTTTAGTTTCCTAATGAGAGGTCAAGGCCCAGGGAATGCCCACCCCGGCCTTCATCCGGTGCAGGGGCAAGGCCATCAGTGCTCCAGACATTTCTGGAGCATCCACTGAGACTGCAGATGCCAAGTCCACTATACTGGGGCCCTCGCCCTCTGGGAGCTCCCAGGACTGGGGTGGGGAAGGCTGTTCATTGGGGCTGGCTGAGGACTGGGTTGAATGGTCTGCTGGGAGAGGGCACTCGAGCTCGGAGCTGTGCCAAAGATAGATGGGAGAGGCGGGTCGGAGTTGTCACGGGAACCCGTGGTCAGAACACCCTCATGTGCGTTCCATGCCCACCTCCTGCCAGGGTTTCGCCATCCCATCGGAAGGGAAGGCGGGGTGAGGGCAGGCCCGTGTGGCTTGGGGCACGTGAGAAGTGGCGGTGCACCAGGAATTGATGAGTGTCCTCATGGGGCTTGGTGCCTTGAGGGGTACAGAGCTAGACGAGATTCAGGTCCCGTCCCCAGTGACCTATGGCCAGTGGAGAGCCTCGGGGGCCTGCTGTGGTGGGGTCCTCAGTGCTTGTGCTGGCCAGTGGTGGATAGGGAAGGGGGATGGACAGAGAGGCGCCCAGCCCAGCTTCAGGGGGTGGAGTCGGAGCCTGGCCGAGTTTGAAGTGGAAGGGCTGGCCCAGCACAGAGTGAGCCCGTGCTTGGAGGCCTGGTGTGTGGGAGGCTCGGGGCGGGTGCAGTGGTTAAGAGTTGTGAAGAGAGTGCCTGCCCCGGGCTTGGGGTGGCTCTTAGGTGTCCTGAGCCTGCATTTCTGTTACACAGGCATAATGATGGCACTTTTCTCCCAGGCCTGGGGACAGAAGGGCCTGGCTCAGTGTCTGCTAACTGATTGTTATCCATGCATAGAGAATACCAAGACCACAGCAGACACCTTCCGTCACCAGTGGCTTAGCTGTTCCCACCCCAAACATAGGGCTGGATGCAAGGACTTGCTAAAGTTCTTCCTCCCCAGCGTGGGCTTCCCCTGGGTGTCCCCGGGCCTGGGGCCGGTGGCATCAGGTGTGTGGGCAGCTCTCCGTGACTGTTTTGGGACTGCGTGGCTCCAGCTCTCTGCCTCCCTGGTGGGGCAGCCTTCCTGGTGCTGGTGCCACTGACGGCTTTTGGTGGCCATGGCGATAATACTAACAGCAGACAGAGGACACAGCTGCCAGTGCTCCATCTGTGGATGAACCTGCCGCAGCGTTGTAGCAGTGCCATGATGTGGGGTCCCCTTTCCTCCATGTCACACAGGAGGAGGATAAAGGGAAGCAGAAGCCCAGGGGCTTCCCTCTAGGAGTGTTCAGTTCAGCTGGGGAGATGGGTGTGCAGGAGCAGCTGGGGAGTGCTGGAGTCTTCAGCAGAGGCTCTCCGAGGGGTACGAGCAGGTGCCCTGGAGCAGCCGGGCGGCTTCCCAGAGGAGGAGGGATGAGGGCAGGAGGGTGAGGGAGGTGGCATTCCTTATGGCACTGGCACTGGGGGCCGCCCTCATCCTCCTGGGATTGTCAGTCGCTGCTCTTCTCCTGCCCTGGTCCCTGCAGCATGAATGCCTTCATCTTGTTGCTGTGTGAGGCGCCCTTCTGCTGCCAGTTCATCGAGTTTGCAAACACAGTGGCGGAGAAGGTGGACCGGCTGCGCTCCTGGCAGAAGGCTGTCTTCTACTGCGGGTGAGGGGTTGCTGGGCAGGGTCCCGTGACACAGTTCCCCAAAACCCCACTGACAAAATAGGACCCAAAAGTCAGGTGAGGGTGGGCAGTGTATTCAGTTCCTCTCTGTGGAAGTGTAAACTGGGATTGCCTTTGTGCACAGTGATTTGCTCATAGCTGCCAAAACGTGCCCCAGTGGTTCTGCGCCCAGGAACTCAGCTGTCGCTGTGCCGTAGTCACTGGAAGGTTCAGAGGTATATGAGCATGTGTGGCAGCATCCGTGCAGTGGAGAGAAAGTGGGAAGCGTCTGGAATTTTGGTCCGTCCACTGGGAGTTGTTAACCAGATGATAGTAGGTCTGTAGGACATGTTTCTCTGCAGCCTTTCCGAAGAGTGGGTTCATCTAGATGTCCTGACGTGAAGGGGGAGAAGCAGGTTGCAGAGCAGAAAATGTGGTTGCCCTCTAAATACACTTGTTAAAAATTTTCCCATTTCTAACAATGAAATCAATATGTAATACTTCTCCTCTCAGTCATAAGAAGGAACTAATTTCAGGATAAGCTTAATACACGGAAACTCCTAGAATAATGCCTCTAGTGCATAGGAGGCTGGTGGCAGCTGTATTCATTATTGTCTAGGTTATCTTTAGAAAGAAGTCTAGATGCAAGCTTGCTTCCCCTTCAGAGAGGCCCGGTAGTTTTGATGGTAAGAGCACAAGCCACATGCTTAGTTCTGGAGCCATCTTGTGCCATATCTAAATCACGAAGAACACAGGATCACAAAGCTCTTATCTACACGCAGTGTCATGTCCTTAGGGGTTCAAAAAACTGTATTTTAAAAATGCTAGACATCATAGAAATTCATTCACAATAATTTGGAATATAGAACAATGTTACTCGAAGCCCGCTGCCTGCTAATCTTCTGATGTGTGTGCTTCCTGTCTGCAGGCATTTTTTAAAAGCCTGCTTTTAACACAGTTATAACCATTATGAATAAGTTTGTATCCTGCCTTTTTTCACTTAGAGTAATGATATAAGCATTTGAACATCACCACAGACTTTATAACATTCTTTCAATACAGGAATATTCATTCAGCTGGATGTATCATGCTGTTCTTAATTTCTTAACTGGTGTAAATCGAGGTGTGATAAACATGTGTCTGCTAAAACTTTTTCTGTGTTTATGATGATTTCCTTAATATCTATTTTCAGGTGTGGAATTACTGGGTCAAAGATTCTGATCATTAAAAATATTTTAAGATGCGTGGCTACGTTGCTTTCCAAAGAGGTCCCTTGAGTCTCTCCCCCGCCCCCACCCCAGCCCAGGGCTGCACACCACTTCACATTCGCATTTATCTATTTGTTATCTAAGAGGGAAAAATATTTTCCCACGTGTTTCCATTGCATTTTCTGATATGAAAATTTTCGAGTTTACTTTTTAACCTGTGGGAACCTCAGTGTTCTGCTTAGCAAGTTCAGTGTGTTTTCTGTATTAAAGATTTCATGATCCTTGGTTGTATTTCCTGCAACTATTTTTCCAGGCTCTTGTTTGCCTTTAATTTTGTTTTTGTCAGAAGGTTCCCCGCCGTGGTCTTTTTCTTTGTAATTTCTATTATTATTTTATCATTTTGAAATTTTTTAACGACAGAAAAATCTCACAACCACATGTCTACAAGAATGGAAACTGAGGTAGAATGCAATTGGCCACGAGTCTTGTCCTCCTGCACAGGCAGCCTCCTCTAGGGAGGCGACAGGACAGAGCGCTGGCCTCCAGGCTGCAGGTATCCTCCTGGCCCAGTTAGCCCAGGAATTGCTGCTGGCCTGGAAATTCCAGCCAGGATGGAGAATCAGCCCCGGGGACGCTTAAGCCCCAGTGGACCCTGCCACCAGGTGACGCCAAACTGCAGCAAGGTCTGGGCCGACCCCGCAGACCCCGCAGCCTGCAGCCCTCCCATGATGAGACCCTGTGTTCCATGTGGTTGAATTCCAGGGACCTTACTTGTGGCGATGTGGCTGGTGTTACTCTATAACTCAGAGCATTTATTTAGTGCCTGTGGTGGTCAGCATTGTGTAGGTAACATGACTGACCTCGGACAAGCTTTGATCCCCTCTCCGCGGTGGAGATTCCGAGTAACTTGCCCGCGAAGCTAGTAGGTCCTGGATGGGAAGCCAGATTCTCTGTCACAGGCTCTTTCTGGCCAGTTTTTCTCACAGTGAGGGCACTGGACCATCTCGTTACTGTTTAGCTCTTTTTGGGATCACAGACCCCTTCAAAAATCTGATGAAAGCTTTGGATCCTATTCCCAGAATGGAACAGTTTTACAGACAAGTTCAGGGCTGATGAAGGACTTTCTGAAGCTGTGTCTCAGTTGATTTTTGGGGATCCTTCCTGTGCCCTGGGTGTCTAGGAAGGATGCTGGGCCGAGTCTGGGAAGCGGGGAAGGATGTGGTGGCTGTGGGGCCGGAGTGCCCCCTTGACCTCTGCTTTCCCCCCAGGATGGCGGTCGTTCCCATCGTCATCAGCCTGACCCTGACCACGCTGCTGGGCAACGCCATCGCCTTTGCTACGGGGGTGCTGTACGGACTCTCTGCTCTGGGCAAAAAGTGCGTCTGCCAGGCCCAGCCCCTGGGCAGGGCCTTCCTCCCTCCGCCCCCCGAAGTCCTTCAGTGAGGAGGATCTGAGAGTGGCCCCTTTTAGCTAGTGGAGACCGAGGCAGAGGTCCCAGTAACTCATTGGTGCCTCCAGGGCTCAGCTCGAGTGGGTGAAGACAGAGGACTTACAACACTTCTGCGTGGCCCAGTCTTGCCCCGTCACGGCCTGCAGCAAGGATAGCAAAAACATGGCTGGTGGGAGCCCCTTCCCCTCCCAGGTCTGCACCGGGCATTGTACTCAGTTGCCACCCTCTCTCCTGCAGAGCCCAGACTGAGGCTGGTTCCTTCGCAGCCCAGCATCCCAGGGAGCCTGGGCCATTCTCAGAGGGGACAAGACAGGCCTTTGCCACCCCAGCAGTTGTCTCTGGGGAAATCAGAATGCCTGCAGGTCACACCTGGGTCACAGGGCAGGAACCGGGCAGTGGTCAGGAGGGCTGTGGGCATGGGGCTGGTGCTCCACGTGACGCTGCCTCTCTCTCTCCCCAGGGGCGATGCGATCTCCTATGCCAGGATCCAGCAGCAGAGGCAGCAGGCGGATGAGGAGAAGCTCGCGGAGACCCTGGAGGGGGAGCTGTGAAGGGCTGGGCGCCCCTCCCTCCCTGTCCCCTCTTCTGGCTCTGTGTGGGTCCAAGTGAGGCCTGGACTGTCCACGCTGAGGCACAGCCTGGAGAGGGGCCTTTGCACGTGTCCCTACACCTGGAGTCCTCTGCTCCTTTCTCCAGACTGGCTTAAGCCAGGAGCCACTGGCTGCTGGTGTGAGGGTCTGGGCTGCTGGACTTGAGGCAGAGCCTGCAGCAGCTGTGTGGACACTACCCAGCCCTACTCCTCTGCTGGGTGGGTCTGCAGATCTCACACCACAGACAGGGCTGCCTGTGACCTGCTGTGACCTGGGAGCAGCTTCCCCTGGAGATGCTGGTCCTGGCTTGAGGGGAGGGGCAAGTGGGACCCTGCCACCTGGGCACTGAGCAGAGGGACCTCCCCCAGCTCTCTTAGCAGGTGGAGCCCCAGGGCCTGGGACAGCCTGCCGCTGCCAGCAACCTCCCACTGCTGCCTAGGGTGCAGCGCCCACTGTCACCCTGCCTTCTGAAGAAGCCCACAGGGCTCCTAAGGTGCACCCCGGTACCTGGAACTGCAGCCTTGGCAGTGACTGGACAGCTGGGTGGGGGATGCTCCCTGCTGGCCCTGGGAACCTTGGACAGGCCACCTCAAGGCCCCTCGGCTGCCCCTCCTCCCTGGGCCTGCTGGGGCCCCTAGGTTCTGCCCATCACCCCCCGCCCCTGCTGGCCTTGGTGCTAAGGAAGTGGGGAGAGCAGGCTCTCCCTGGCACCGAGGGTGCCCACCCTCTCCCTGGTGTGGCCCCGTCAACATCAGCCACAGCCCAGCCCCATTAGTGGGTTAGTGGGTCTGACCTCAGCCCCACTCAGGTGCTCCTGCTGGCCTGCCCAAGCCCTGCCCTCAGGGAGCTTCTGCCTTTTAAGAACTGGGCAGAGGCCACAGTCACCTCCCCACACAGAGCTGTCCCCACTGCCCTGGGTGCCAGGCTGTCCGGAGCCAGGCCTACCCAGGGAGGATGCAGAGAGCTGGTGCCCAGGATGTGCACCCCCATATTCCCTCTGCCCTGTGGCCTCAGCCCGCTGGCCTCTCTGACCGTGAGGCTGGCTCTCAGCCATCGGGCAGGTGCCTGGTCGGGCCTGGCTTAGCCCAGGTGGGGTTTGGCAGAAGCGGGCGGGTGTGGAAGATATTCCATCTGGGGCCAACCCCAGGCTGGGCCTGCGCTGAGCTTCTGGAGCGCAGGTACTGGGTCTTGCTAAGTGAACTGTTTCCCAGGAACACCTCTCGGGCCCATCTGCGTCTGAGGCTGGGAGTGGCATCTGAGGCCGGGAGTGGCATCTGAGGCCAGGAGTGGCAGGCTGGTGGGCTGGGCGTGGGGTTTTCTGGGCCCTGCCCAGTACTGCCCTGGGGACTTGGTGGGCTCCTGGGTCAGCAGCATCCCACCCCTGGGAGTCTGGCCAGCTGAGCCCCAGGGTGGCAGGGGCATTATAGCCTGGTGGACATGTGCCTTCAGGGTTCCTCCGGGGCCACCTTCCTCAGGCCAGTGCTGGGTTCAAAGGGCTGTGTGTGTGTGTGTGTGTGTGTGTGTGTGTGTGTGTATGTATATGTGTGTGGGTGCACACATCTGTCCCATGTATGCAGTGAGACCTGTCTACCTCCCACAAGGAGCAAGGGCTCTGCCCGCCCTCTGCTCATTCCTACCCAGGTAGTGGGACCCCGGGCCCCCTTCTGCCTGGCTTGCCTGCTTCTGCCCTTTCCAGAGGGGTCTCACTGACAGCCAGAGACAGCAGGAGAAGGGTTGGCTGTGGATCAAGGAAGGCTGCCCCTGTACCCTGTGGGGAAATGGTGGGTGCATGGCTGGATGCAGAGGTGGAAGGCCCTGGGCCACAGGCGAGAGTGGGCGTGTCACCTGTCCCAGGTTCCCAGCAAGTCTGCAGCTGTGCAGTCCTGGGGTCCCTGACCCTGTCGCCCAGGGGGCGTGCTGTCCAGCAGGGGCCCTGCCTTGCAAGGAACGTCTCTTCCGGCGGCTGGGCCGCTCCTGCCTGGTCTGGGCTGTGTGTGGCGCCCTTTCCTCCTTGTTTGTTCCTCTGTGTTCTGTGTGCGTCTTAAGCAATAAAGCGTGGCCGTGGCTCGCGTGCCTGCCCTCTGCTCCCTTCTGCCTTGGTGCCTGTGTGTGAGTGTGGAAGCCAGGCAGGAGCCGCTGGCCCAGGAAATAACTACAGGTCCTGTCCCGAGGCTGCCCCCAGCATCCCAGACAAGGAAAGTGACCTGCCCAAGGTCACACAGCTAGAAAGAGCCTGTTAAGGGTGGGCCTCGCAGTGGGCTTCCCCTCACTGCAGCCTTTTCCCTGCCCTGCTTTTGCTATGGATCAGCAGTCAGTGGCCCTGGCAACCTTGGCTGGTTCGGGTCTAGCCTGGCTGCTGTGGGGGCTCCTGGAGTAGACCCCACTCTTTCCTCGCTAGGACTACAGGTCCAGTTCCTTTATTTTTACAAAAGGGTGAACACAGTTTGCAGATAGGAGCTGCCTGTTCCCAGAGGTTGGGCTGGGGCAGGAGGAAGTGGCCACGCCAGGTCCTTTGCCCTGGCTTTTTTTTTTTTTTTTTTGGCAGGGGGTGGGGACGGAGTTTCACTCTCGTTGCCCAGGCTGGAGTGCAATGGCATGATCTCAGCTCATTGCAGCCTCCACCTCCCGGGTTCAAGCAATGCTGCCTCAGCCTCCCAAGTAGCTGGAACTACGGGTGTGTGCCACCACACCCAGCTTTTTTGTATTTTTTAGTAGAGACGGGGTTTCACCATGTTGGCCAGGCTGGTCTTGAACTCCTGGCCTTGGGTAATCCACCTGCTTTGGCCTCCCAAAGTGCTGGGATTACAGGCGTGAGCCACTGTGCCCGGCCTGCCCTGGCTTTTTAAGTCCAGGATGTTCCCTGTGGTGCCCATAAGACTTGTGAGGGCAAAGCCGGGTCTTCCTTGCACAGCCAGATGCCACCAGATCAGAGCGCGATGATATGACTACGTTACTTGGCTGCCTCCAGCCCTGTCCTCTCAGTCCTCCCCGTAGCCTTCTGTGGGGCGTGTCCTTCACGCAAGGGAAAGGGACTAGGCCTGAGGTCACCCAGCAGGGCCGTGTCCCTGGATGCAGGGTTGTATGCACTCCTGCGGCCCATGGCTACGTGCAGCACTGTGGGCTGCCTGGGCTGGGGCTGTGGCTGGACAGCAGTGCTACCTGTCCCGAGCCAGGGGCACCCGCTGCTGAGGCCCCATCACACTGCTCTTCCTGTGCTCTGGCTGGTGGCAGGGATGACTGCTGCCTCTTGGTCCCAGGGTGCAGGTTTGTAGCCAACACAGAGGCCCAGCCACTGGGGGTTTGGCCCCCTCCAGGCGGGGACCTTGACCTAGCGCAAGAAGGACCTTCTCCCCGTGCGGAAGAAGGACTCGATCTGCTCCAGGGACCGTCCCTTGGTCTCGGGCACACAGCAGCCTGTGAACACCAGGCTCACCAAGCAGATGGCCGCGAAGAAGAAGAAAGGCACCTGGAGGCCGAAGGTGCTCTGCGGGTGAAGAGCGGGGCCGGGTCACAGGGAGAAGCTCCAGGGTCCTCCTGCCCCAGAGGAGCTCGTGGGCGCTGCTGGTAGTGACCAGCCCTGTGGGGCCTTCATCTGGTCCTTCCTGTGTTCAGAGACCGCCCCCCCACACCAGGGCTCCCCCACTGTCCCCAGGACAAATCCGAAGTAGCCCTTGAAGTCTGCATCCCGTCTGCCCCTCGGCCTTCCTCAGGGGCTGGGCCCTCTGGCGTCAGCTCAGGTACCCCCTCCACACCCCCTACCCAGCGCTGGCATCCCAGCTGTTCCATGCCGCGGCCTGCAGGAGGCCCGCCCTGCAGCCTGGTGGGCACGCAGGTTCTTCTTGGACCCTCTAGGCTGATGGACTCACTCTGGGTTGCCTGCCCTCCCCCAACCCCCCTGCCCTGACCACTGCAGGGACAGCTTAGGCGCTGGCCTAGGCTGCCCTAGCCAGCTTCTCCCTCATGGGAACTTACTCTGGGCCTCACAGATTCTGGCTGGTCACAGGGCCCGTAGTTTTGAACCAGGAGGCAGGGGGAGTGGGTGGGGTTGAGGGGGGAGTGTGGCTGCTGCTGAGACCCAGCGCCCAGGAGGGCGGGAGATGAGGCACGGTGGGGAGGTGGCTTCCGGGGCCCCTGGCAGGGTCCTGGGCCATGTCCTGCCCTGGCCCAGGAGGTAACCTGACTTCCCAGAACAGTTGCCTACGCCCGTTCCTGTTTCTTATAATGAAGAGCGTTTGCTAGGCTATCACGTGACCACTCTGGGGTCTCTGAGTTCAGGGGGTGTGTGCTCATCTCCTAGGGTCACTGAGAGTTAGGGTCCTGACAGCAGGCCTTGGCACAGCCCCTGGCACTGAGAAGGGTCCTGGCCAGTCAGAGAGGGCCTAGGGGCCTGGGGCCTGGGGCTGAACACTCACCACCACTGGCAGGAAGGACTTGGTGAGGACGAAGGCGGTGAGCCAGCTGGCCAGCACGCAGAGCCCTGAGGCCACGCCACGGGCACGCAGGGGCAGGACCTCAGACATGAGCAGCCAGGTGATGGGACCCCAGCCCACGGCGTAGCCTGCTCGGAGGAGGAGGCAGGTTCAGGCCCTGTGGGGTGACTGGAGGCGGCTGTGTCTGTCTCCGCTGAGCTGCTGGAGACCCCCCTCTCCAGCCACCCCAGACACATCACCCATCCCTTAACACCCAAGACAGCCTGCCCCTCTGAGCCACCACCACACCTACCCATGATGAAGAGCATGGTGGCCAGCAGGGGCACCAGGGTGAGGTAGCCAGCGGGTGCTGCCAGGGGCTGCGCCAAGTCCCCCCAGGACTCGCTTTCCAGGCCCGCAGTGCTGTTGGGGCTCAGAGGCCTGGGGCCAAAGTGGATGTACAGCCCCAGAGTCAGGTTGGCAGCAAACATGATGGCCGCTGTGGACAGACAGGTGGCCTCGTGGGGCCAGGACCCTCTGAGCCAGCTGTTTCTCTCAGAGCTCCTTCTGCAGAGCCCCTTGATACTTGCGTGGTCCAGCTCGTGTCTGGGACTAGAGACCCCCAGCAGGGCAGCAAGCTCTGTCTCCAGCCGCGTGTTAGGCTCCCACCGTGGAGTGTCACAGCCAGTGTGTCCACTCGGAGCCCCAGCGGACCTTTCTGGACCACTGGCCTGGGCCAGGGCCCTGCCGATGCTAGGGAGGCAGGTGCTCTGCAGTTCCCAGCCACACAGCCCCACCCCGAGGCAGGCCTGCACACCCAGCCCAGCCCTGACCCATGCGGAGGAGTGGGGCAGGAGGGCTGCCTGCAGGGTGCTTACCTGAGACGAAGAGCAGCACCTTGCGGCCTGCGAGGTCCATGGTGAGGGCGGCGATCAGCACGGACAGGAGCCGCACGGCCCCAACGATGGCTGCGTCGTCCTTGGGGGGCTATCGGGGGGAGACCACCAGGGCTGAGGGACCTGCCTGCTGTTCCCATCCCCCTCCAGGACCCAGCTTGTCCCGGCAGGCATTGCAGGGGCTCAGGCCAGCAGCTCAGTGCAGTACTGAGTGGCCTGGCACCTGCAGCGTGCTGGGCATCTATACTGTCCGAGCCTATGGGGCTCCTGGGCAGGGACACATCTGCTCTGCCCACCACTATGCCCAGCTGGCACAGAATCCAGGCGTGATGATGACTTGCTGAACCGTGCTGTTACTAATCTTCAAATCTCATCTCACTTTGAGCCTTGGGGCAGGCTGATGGAGATGTGCTGCTATCTTCATCTTGCAGAGGAGGAAGTTGAGGTTCAGAGGGGAAAGTGACTTCCCTCATTAAGTGGCAGATGCCACAGGGCTCTGAACCTGGGGTCTGTGGCCTCAAGGGGTCCACGTTTCTATAAAGCTGGTTTCCTTTGTAATCCCATGTATTTTATTTAATTTTTAAAATTTCTATATGTTTTTAGAGACAGGGTCCTGCTCTGTCACCAGGATGGAGTGCAGTGGTGAGATCGTGGCCACTGCAGTCTCACACTCCTGGGCTTAAGTGATCCTCCCGCCTTGGCCTCGTGTTGGGATTTTGCCAGTATTTTATTTTAAAACACTTAAGCTTATCTTAAAAACATTCTGAGAACAGGTGAAGGCACTGGAACTGTCTCCACAAGGCCCAGATCTCAGATCTTGCTGTGGCATCCCTGACACCTGGCACAGAGCAGGTGTGGGTAAGACCAGGGGTTGGGTAAGTGCAGGAGCAGGCCCTGCCTCCCCTGCCCTGCCAGCCTCCAGGGGACCCCGTGGGTGGGCGCCGGCCGGGGCTGGGCTCTCACCAGCAGGACAGCGGTGCTGTCGAAGATGGACTGCAGGTAGACCAGGATGGGCGTGATGCCCGTCAGCTGCTGCAGGAGGCGCATCAGCAAGGCCACGGTGATGGGCCGGCACACGTGTGGGGCCCGTGCCTCAGCCCACGATACTCGGCTGCTCTGAAACACAAGGCCGCCGCTGAGGGCGTTGGGCCAGCCTCTCCAGCAGGCGCCATCCTGCCCTGGACCGCCAGGGGTTGTGTGGGAGACCTCCTTTTTCCCTCCTCCAGGAAAGAACCAGCTTACCAGGCCACCCAGGCTCTGGGAACAGCCCCCCACCCCAACCCAGGCACTTGGATTAGTGGGAACTACTGTGGTCCTGTCTTCCAGGAAAAGCCTCCACGGCCACACACAGCTGAAGTGCTGGAGGTGGGCCTGCCCGGTTCGGGCGCACACCCTCCTGCACCTGTCTCCGGACGTTGTCCTGGATCTGCTCGAACTCCCAGTGGACATCGACGTCCGTCCCACGCAGCCAGGCCAGCGCCCGCAGGGCCTCTTCGTCCCTGCCCCGAGAGAGCAGGAAGCGCGGCGAGTTGGGCATGAAGCTGAGCAGCAGGATCATGATGAGCACAGGCGCCTCCCCGGCCACAGCCAGCCAGCGCCACGGCAGCAGGAGGCCTGGGGGCGAGGGGTGGGTGAGGGGCCAGGTCCAGGCCTGGTACAGCCCCTTCCCTCTGGAGCCTCTGAATAACCTCATCTGCCCTTCAAGGTCTAGTCCAAGGGCCATCTCCTACAGGAAGCCTACCCTGATTGCCCCAGGCAGGGTGGGGCTGCAGGGATTGCTCAGCCCCTGGCACATAGTGGGAAGTCCTTGGAAAGTCTTAGGGCCAGGGCAGGATGAGGAAGGGGTAGGTTGGGCAGGCAAGGCCCTAGGCCTCCACCCAAGACCTCCACGCCCCCTCAACTGAGCAGCTGCACGCACTGTGATTTCTTTTCTATCTGGACTTCCCATCTGAGATGGCATTTGATGGAAGCTTTCTGCCGTTAAAAGATAGTCTGGCGACTGTGGGTCCAGGAGAAGCCCTGGCTGCCCCAGCTAGAGACTGGGCCTGTGGCTAGAGGGGCAGGCCCTGCCTGGAGGTGCCCAGCAAGGTGCTGACTGAGTGGGGCCGGGATGCCAGATCTCTTGCCTCTCAGCCCAGGATCTGTTCTGGGACAAATCATTCCCTTTCCACCCACGTCTACCTTGGCGGCACCCACCCCTCCCACCAGCCTGCACACAGGAGTGCGGGGCCATACTTGCCAAGGGCGTAGAGGGACAGGGATCCGAACACTGCCATGAGCTGGGGTGTGGCCCCCAGAGCCCCACGAACGCCTGGGGGAGCAATCTCAGACACGTACACCTGCAAGACACAGCCGCCGCACCAGGTTTTGCTGAAAATACTGGTTCCTAGGCCCGGCCGAGATGGGAGAGTCAGCCCCTGTGAACCCCGGAAAGTGGGAAGTGGAGGCTTTCTGGTGGGGCTGAGTCCTGGTCATGACTCACTGCAAGACCTTGGGCGGCCTGCCTGATCTCTCTCTGTCCTCAGTTTCCCTAACTGTGACGTGGGTGGAAGTACGCAGCTCGGAAATGGGCAGCATGACGCTGGGAAGGAGGCCCGAGGGCTCCCAGGCTTCAGGGCTGAGCAGGTGAGTCCATGCCTCCCAGTGAGTTTTGTCTCCTCTGCTGGGCTCACCACCAGGCCCCGTGTGGAGTACCACATAAGATAAGAAGGTCCCGGGGAGGGTGTAGGGCAGGGACTTCCCTCTCCTACCCATTGCTCAATGCGGATTTTCTCCAATTGAGTAATACATCTGACCGGTCAAGAAACGGGGTAGAAGGCTTGGAAAGTCCAGAGTGGGGGCAGCTGGGGACCTGGAGACAATTTCCCCCAAATTAGCTGCCCTGCTGGGGGTGAGCTGAGGCGCCCTGGGCATCCGCAGGGAAGGCAAACAATTCTCATTGCCCAGAAGGCATGGAGGCTGGGAGGCCTTAGTCAGATGGAGGCTCAGCACCAATACAGAGGCATTGGGGCGCCTGGGTGGGAAGGCCTGGCCTTACCGGGATGCAGGCAGCTGTGAGCCCCCCGGCGAAGCCCGTCAGCGTCCTTCCGAGCAGCAGCATCCAGAGGCCGTGCGCACCCGCCATGAGCGCATAGCCGGCCGCCGACGGCACAGCTGAGAACATGATGCTCAGCTTCCGGCCCAGGAGGTCGTTGAGGATCATGGCACTCAGGCCTCCGGCCGCTGCTCCCAGGGTGAACACGGACTGCAGGGGAAGGGGGTGCAGGGCAGATATGTCTGGGCACTTGGCACCCCAATCTCATCAGAGTCCAGGGACAGCTTCTTCCCTAGGCCGACCCCAGGAGCTGGTCAAGCACTTGGCCAAGTCAAGCACTTGAAACAGGGAGCCTCCTGTCTTCAAGGAACAGCCATTTGTTAGGGATGCCCAAACGGGGAATTCTGCTCTAAGGAAGAGGTGCTGCGCCACATATCCACAGTGGTTCTGTCCAGCCTGATGTTTAAATGTCTAATATTTTAATACAGGAGAATTCTGTGACTTGAAGGTACTGGGCTTTAAGATTTGGAGGTTCTTAAGTTCCCTGTACAGCAGCAACTGGGACCCCCTCTGGACTCTGCTAACTGGTAGTGGGACCTGGGCACATTGCCCAGCCTGTCTGCACCTCAGTTTCTTCAGCTGTCTTATGGGGAGAGCGCAAGTTCTACCTCGTGGCGTTGGCCCTGAGAATCAATGAACGTTCAGTGCCCAACACATGCCTGGCACATAGGAAGTGCTCAGTAAACCTTGGGAATTTTTATCTTAACTACTATGTTAACAACTCTACATATGAGGCTATTAAGATTATAATTTTAGACTCTGGGACTCTGGGATCTTCCTCTCCATCAGCCCACAATCTGTCCTGCGGACTCTCCTTGCCCCAGCCAGTGCCTCTCCCCACTGACACCTGATACCCTTGCCCCCATCCAGCCAACTGTGGGTGTGGGGACCCGGGGAAGCCTCAGCCCCACCTAGTATAGACCCTGACAGCCACCTCCCCACCTGCTCCTTCCCTCACCCTCTCCACTGGCTTTCAGTTCCTCATTTCAGAGGAATCCTGTAGCTTTACCCCACCCACTAGTGGCCTGGATGGCTGGGGGAGGGGGGACCAGGGCCCTGGAGGGACCCCCAAGGTGGAGAATTTGGGAGGTTCCTAGCTGGAGATAAGGCTCAGCAGGTCCCTCCTTCCTGCACCCACCCTCCTCCAGAGGATGGTCCTTACCCCAAACCAGGATGCCTGGGATTTGGTCAGATGCAGGTCAGGATCCAAGGAGCGCTCCAGGGCTGGGATGACAGGGGATGTGTAGACCAGGGCATACCCAAAGCTGAAATTGCCGAGCACTGCGGCGAAGGTGGCCAGGAACACCCTTTTGTTCTGCAGGGTCCTGGTGATGGTGGCGGACAAAAAGACCAGGGTCTCTGAGTCCCTCCTCCAGGGACCATTGCCTTTTCTGAACCCAGTGGCTGCCCGGCTCAGCGGGCAGTGCTAGGGAGGCCTGGGTCCAAGGCCATTCACGTTCCCAGGGCCTGAGCCCCAGCTCCCCTGGGAAATTCCCAGGCCATTGTTAGCTCATCCGCAGTGGCTGAGCCTCTGGTGCTGGGGCCTTTTCTCCGGAAGAGGAGGCTCTGGTTCTGCCCCCAGGGCGGCGGCTGGAGGCTTGCTGTGTGACCTCAGGCAGAACCCCTGCTCGCTGGGGCCTCAGTCTCACTGTCTGTGGCAGTGGGGGGCTGGGCCCGGTACTCTCGTGGATCGTTCCTTCCCTTAGGGGGACCAGTTCCTTAAATAGGAGTAGCGTGTCTGGGACAGGAGGGAGCCAGATGGCCCCTCGGTGGCGACTAGGTCAGGGGAGGCCCAGGGCGGGAGCCTGCCGCCGGCTGGAGGGAACCAGGGCCACCCCCAGGCCCCACCCGCAGCCCCCAACCTAGCGACTCTCACCCGACCCGCGCCCTGTCCCCTGGCGACGGGGGCGGCTTCTCGGGGAAGGTGTCGTAGTCCGGGCCCTCGGCTCCCAGCAGCGGCTCCTGCATGGCCGGGTCTCTCTCGGGGCGAGCGGAGGGCGCTCAGACTGGAGCAGCCGCCCGGGGCCAGCAGCTCCGAGGGCACCGGCCAGGCTCCGCCCCTTGGCCGCTATTGGCTGTGGGACGGCCCTGCAGAGACACGCCGGCCAATGGGGCGGCCGCAGGCTGTCCTGATGCTCGGATGCGGACCCGGCTTCCCCGGGCGCGGCCGGCACCGCGTGCGCCCCCGAAGGTCACGCCCCAAGACAGGATGGGGGTCCCAGGGCGGAGCCCCTGCTGGATCGTCCGGGGCCCCCGCGGAGCGCCGGAAGCGGCTCACCCGGCCCGGCTCTTGCAGGCGTGACTGCGGCAATGCGCGCAGCCCCTGTCGTACTCGCTCCCGCGGGGTGGAAACCGAGGCCCAGAGAGGCGAAGCCGAGCGCCAGGGTCACAGCGAATGCGCACCTCGCTCCTCCTTACGCTCTAGCCCTCCCCGTCGCGTGGCGTCTCAGGGCCACCTCTGCCCTGGCTCTCCCTGGCACCAGGGAATCGGGGTGTGTCAGGGCAGCAGCGGATGTGCGGGACGAAGGAGGCAGGAGGGGCCGGCGAGGCGCTGTGGGCAGCTCCAGTGGGCGAGGTCTGTATCCTCCACCCCAGGCTCTGGTGGTAGAAATAACCTGAGCTCGTGACACGTAACCCAGGTAGTAAGATAACATTGAAAAATAAGAAAAGCAGAAATGGAAAATTCCCGGGAAGACCGTCCTCAAAAAATCCCACAGCAGTTCCACCTCTCCCTTTGGGCCTTTTCGGGAAGAGGACGGAATCACGCCCTGCTCTGTTGGATGGACGTGCCACACACGCTTTTAAACGGAGCCTTTGTTGCTGAGTATTTGGGTCATTTCCCATTTTAGCTATTAACATGGTAAAGCATTTTTAAAAGTTAGAATTCCCTTTTATTATGATTGAAATACAACCATAATAGAACAATAAAATCACATCCATCTCCCGTCAGCCTGACCTTGATGGCGTTTTAGCCTCTTCCAGTCTTTTCCTCATGTGCCTATTTTGCATATTTGCTATTGGGGCCCCCATTAAACTGTGCAGCCCCTTTACGTCACCGTTTTCTTGCCATCAAGATCATAGGCTTTGGACTCAGGCACACCCTGGTATGGTGATCAGGCTGCACAGTCCTCGTGGCCATATATATACGTATATACATATATATGTGTATGTATTTTTACATATCTATATGTGTATTTTTTTTTTTTTTTTTGAGACGGAGTCTCGCTCTGTTGGCCAGGCTGGAGTGCAGTGGCACGATCTCAGCTTACTGCAACTTCCACCTCCCGAGTTCAAGCGATTCTCCTGCCTCAGCCTCCCAAGTAGCTGGGATTACAGGCATGTGCCACCACGCCCGGCTAATTTTTGTATTTTTAGTGGAGACGGGGTTTCACCATGTTGGCCAGCTTGGTCTTGAACTCCTGACCTTGTGATCCTTCCGCTTCAGCCTCACAAAGTGCTGGGATTACAGGCGTGAGTCACCGCACCCGGCCTTCTCTTTTTTTAAAATGTATTTTTTTTCTTTTAAAATCAACTTTAGGCCAGGTGCAGTGGTGTGTGCCTGTAATCCCAGCATTTAGGAGGCCAAGGTAGGAGAATTGCTTGATGCCAGGAGTCTGACACCAGCCTGGGCAACAAAGTGACCCTGTCTCTACAAAAAGCTAAAAAAGTTGTCCAGGTGTGATGGCAAGTGCCTGTGGCCCCAGCTACTCGGAAGGCAGAGGTGGGAAGATTGCTTGAGCCCAGGAGTTTGAGGCTGCGGTGAGCTGTGATCACACCACAGCACTCCAGCCTGGGTGACAGAGGGAGAGCCTTCTTGAAAAAATAAAATACAAGAAAAATCAACTTTGTTAAGCTATAATTTATATACAGTAAAATGAATCCATTTTAAATATAGGTTGATGAGTTTTGACAATTGTATAACCCCAAACACCCCCAATCAAGATATAAAACATTTCCACCTTTTCTTTCTTTCTTTTATCTTTTTTTGAGACAGAGTCTCTCTCTGTTGCCCAGGCTGGAGTGCAGTAGTGCGATCTCGGCTCACTGCAACCTCCGACCACTGGGTTCAAGCGATTCTCCTGCCTCAGCCTCCCGAGTAGCTGGGATTACAGGCGCCCGCCACCACACCTGGGTAGTTTTTGCATTTTTGGTAGAGATGGGGTTTCACCATGTTGGCCAGGCTGGTCTCAAACTCCCAACATCAGGTGATCCTCCCGCCTTGGCCTCCCAAAGTGCTGGGATTACAGGCGTGAGTCATCACGCCCAGCCCATTTCCACCCTTCTAGAAGGTTTCTTTGTGCCTTTCTGAGGTCAACCTCCTTTCCCTGCTCCCCAGTAAACTATTTTTTTTTTTGAGAGGGAGTTTCACTCTGTCCCCCAGGCTGGAGTGCAGTGGTGCGATCTCGGCTCACTGCAAGCTCCGCCTCCCAGGTTCATGCCATTCTCCTGCCTCAGCCTCCTGAGTAGCTGGGACCACAGGTGCCCGCCACCATGCCCGGCTAATATTTTTTTGTATTTTTAGTAGAGATGGGGTTTCACCATGTTAGCCAGGATGGTCTTGATCTCCTGACCTCGTGATCTGCCGGCCTCGGCCTCCCAAAGGGCTGGGATTACAGGCATGAGCCACCGCGCCCGGCCTCCCCAGTAAACTATTAATCTGCTTCCTGTGACGATAGATTACAGTGGTCTTATAAAGAGAACCTATGTGAAGCACTGTTTTTTTGTCTGCCTTCTTTTTTCAGCATGTTTATGAAATTTATCAGTGGTTTGCTGATGTTCAGTGGTTTGTTCTTATTTGCAGCCGCGTAGTGTAGTGTTTTACGGATGTAGCACAGTTTTTGGCTAAAAGAATGAGCCGGTGTGAGCCTTCTTGCACAGAACCCTGCTTAACAGCCTTTTTTTTTTTTTTTTGAGATGAGTCTCGCCCTTTCCCCCAGGCTGGAGTGCAGTGGTGCCATCTCAGCTTACTGCAAGCTCCACCTCCTGGGTTCACGCCATTCTCCTGCCTCAGCCTCCTGAGTAGCTGGGACTACAGGCGCCTGCCACCACGCCCAGCTAATTTTTTGTATTTTTAGTAGAGACGGGGTTTCACCGTGTTAGCCAGGGTGGTCTCCATCTCCTGACCTCGTGATCCGCCCGCCTCGGCCTCCCAAAGTGCTGGGATTACAGGCATGAGCCACTGCACCCGGCCCTGTTTCACAGCCTTTTAATGTTAAAGGCTGGGTGGATGAGCTTGAATTTGTAATGAATCTTCTGTCATGGGCATCAAAGCTGTTTCAAACTGTAAGGGTAGAAAAGGTGGAATCCGTTTCCTCACCCATTGTTACAAGACCAGCAGATCCACATGCCTGCTCCACCGTGACACCACGACACACCAGTACACCGTGCAGCAGGGTTCGCAGCAGGGAAGAGTTTAATGATTGCAGGGCTCTGAGCAAGGAGATGGGAGGAGATCCTCAAATCCATCTCCCCTAGGAGCTTTGGGCTGGGGCTTTTAAGGGGATCATGGAGGGCGATGGGCTTTAGAAGTGGGTTGTTGATAGGTCTGGGGATGGGAGGTAAAATCATCAGGAGGTGGAAAATGTATTCTTTGGTGAATCAGGTCCTCCTGGGGTCCTTGAGACCAGCTGTCATCAGTAGTTTCTTTCTTTTTTTTTTTTTGAGACAGAGTCTCACTCTGTCACCCAGGCTGGAGTGCAGTGGTATGGTCTCCACTCACTGCAACCTTCACCTTCTGGGTTCAAGCGATTCTCCCACCTCAGCCTCCAGAGTAGCTGGGAGTACAGATGCATGTCACCACACCTGGCTGATTTTTGTATTTTTAGTAGAGATGGGTTTTCACTATGTTGGCCAGGCTGGTCTCGAACTTCTGACCTCGTGATCTGCATGCCTCAGCCTCCCAAAGTGCTGGGATTACAGGCGTGAGCCACCGCGCCCGGCCGGTGTCAGTAGTTTCATTGGTACACAGGACCCAAAAGAACATCTCAAATGGAAACTTTTGACTGGGCGCCTGGCCAACATGGTGAAACCCTGCCTCTACTAAAAATACAAAGAATTAGCCAGGCATGGTGGCGTGAGCCTGTAATCCCAGCTGCTTGGGAGGCTGAGGCGAGAGAATCACATGAATCTAGGAGTGGAGGTTGCAGTGAGCCGAGATCGTGCGGTTGCACTTCAGCCTGGGCAATCAGAGCAAAACTCTGTCTCAAAAAAAAAAAAGGAAAAGGACATCTTTGCAATGTTAAAGTTGTTATCTATATCTACAGGGCAGTGAGGGAGAGCTACAATCTTGTAACAGAGTCTCTGTGATTCTAAGGCAACAGGCACCAAAAAACTTTGAGGTCAGAGAGCAAGTTGACCTAGCGATGGATGCTGAATGTGCTACAAGCCTGGTTTATTCTCATTTCTCCTCCTCTCTTCTTCCTTGATTAATTTTATAAAGTTTATAGGGATGGTCTCATCATCATCAGGGCCATGGGTGACAGTTCTATAACAAAAGACAGGTTCACAAGAGAAAAGCACACCAGATTTATTTAATCAAAGCTTTATGTGACAGGGAGGTGTCAGAAGTGGAGACTCAGAGACCCAGGGAAGATGGTCCCTGTGCTTAGAGTTGGTGGAGAACAGGCAGCCGTGTGGACAGGTGTCGGACGGCAGGGGATGCCTGTGGGGATGGACTGCGAGGCTGGCGAGGCCAGCTGTGCAGATCCCCCTTGGCCTCTCTGTGCAGTGCTTCTCCCCCCAGGGATGGGGTAGAACCCCCGGAGGGAGGGTCTTTTACGACCCACAGTCAGACAAGGTGGGCATGGCCAGCTCTTCCCCAGAAAGGCAGGTAGCGTTCGAGTCATGTTTCTAGGTCTCATGGCTGGCTTTGGGGGAGAGGGACTCTAGTGTCCATGGCCCACCTAGGGAAAGAGGAATTCTGGCTTCTGCAACTTGCTGCTGGGGAGAAAGAGGGCGGGAGAAAGGAGGGGAGGAGAAGGTTGGAAGAAGACTTCGGATGCACCAGAGGCCTTCTGGTTTCCTTTAGTTCTGAATCCTCATGCCAGGCACCCTGCTTGTGGGGATCATGGTCTGAACCCCAACAAACCATTTTTGCTGTTAAAATTAACATGATGGGGCCGGCCAGGTGCAATGGCTCACGCCTGTAATCCCAGCACTTTGAGAGGCTGAGGCAGGCGGATCACCTGAGGTTGGGAGTTTGAGACCAGCCTGACCAACATGGAGAAATCCTGTCTCTACTAAAAATACAAAAAAAAAAAAAAAAAAAAAATTAACATGATGAACATCTTTGTTTTTAAAGAATAATTTCCTTCTGCAGGGACTGCTTTTGTGACCTCTAAAGCCTGTTTTAACCTTCTCATGGGGAAGCTCACCTTCCTCTCTCCTGTCCTTCTCTCCTGGATCTGTGACAGACAGGCTGCTTGGGGACCTGGCCTCTGAGGGGGTGTGAAGGCACCCCCCAATCCATAGTGCTGGGCACACAAAGGGTGTCTGGAAGCCCCTTGCTGACTTGAACTCAGAGTCCTCTCCCCTTCCGTGGCCTCCCGCCCCAGGCAGGAATCTCAGTTCAGAGCAGCAGAAAGAGAGCTGGTCTGGGGGGACCCTGGGTCTGCTCTGGTGCCTGGGACGGCCACCACCCCTCTCTCAGTGCTGGCCACACCCACAGCGAGTTCTCCCTCCTTTCCTGTCATTCCTGCTGGGCGCCTCCCCGAGGAAGGCCCCAGGGGGGTGGGTCCTGCAGAGGGAAGCTCGAGGGGGTGCACTCAGCTGCCACTGTCCGCCGCCTGTCCCTGGGGAGCATGGCAGCTGAGGGCAGGCCCCTCCCAGGACATGGGACCCCCCATGGCTGGAAGGTGACTGGGCCTTGCACACCCAGCTGGGGTAAGAGGGAGGGGCCTGGAGTCCAGCTTGGGGGCAGGATCTGGAGGGGGCTGGGTGGAGCATCCCTGGCGGTGGTTTGCTGGTCCAGGGCGCTGGGGCTTAAATGATCTGGTCCAGACTCTGCCCTGTTGCGGGGGAGGGCTGGGGCCTGGCACTTGGAAGCTGTTTCCCAGGTCTCCACGGGGGCTGCCATAGGGGCCTCTGCCAATCTCCGGGGCTTCTCAGGAGCCACTGGTCCGCTAAGCCTCACTTTTCTCATCTGTAGGATGGATGCCACCTGTGCCCACCTCACCGCTGCCGTGCAGGGGGAGGGCAGCTGGCCGCGTTGATGCAGTTTGACAAAGGTCCCTCCAGACCAGTCTGACAGCTTCCCAGTTCCCCGGAAACGGGCCAAGCTGCATTCCAGGCCTGGCACCAGGGCCGAGGTCTCCGAGGGGACAGTAGGGCTGCCGTGTCTTGGGAAGGTGGGAGGCGGGGAGCAGATGCCGGGAATACTCATCCCACTCTGGGGGTCTTCTTCACCCCTGTTTTATGGAGGAGAAGACTGAAGCTCAGAGCTGCTGCCCAGGGTCACTTCTAGGTCACCTCATGCCCCCTGCTTTGGCCTATGCAACCCACATCAGGCCTTCCTGAGGGAGCAGACCAGAGGGACAGCAGAGGGTGGGCAGGTGGGGCCTTCCCCGAGGAGGTCCTGCCCCTTGCCTCCTCCTTCCCACAGATGGGCTGCCCAGGGCCCCCAGGGGAGAAGGTCTCTGGCACCCAGCTGTCCGGTGTCCCCAACGTCCCCAGAGATGTCCCTGGTGATGACCCTGAAGACTCGGACCTGGTGCCTTCCGTGACCCTGGCGCCTTCCGTGACCCTGGCTGCAGCCCTTGTCCTGCTGTTCCTCCTGCTCTCGGCCTGGCTGGTGTGGGACGGACCTTGCCAAAGCTGCTGCTAATGTGGGCTCCAGGAAAGTGTTGGGGGCCTGGGCCTGGCACGGAGTTAGGGGAGGCACAGCGGGGCCTCCCAGCGACACCCTGGGCTGCACTCCATTCCACCCTTTCCCAAAGCAGCCCCAACGGGACCCCAAGACTCCCCAGCGGGGCCCCTGGGTGGCACCGGACTCTGCCATTGCAGGCAGGGGGCGTGCTCCTGGGGACGGCCCCGGATGTTGGGCTGAGAGCCTCGCGCAGCCCCGGCGCTCAGGCAGATCGGGCTCAAATCCACTTCCTCTCCAGGCTGGCTGCAGGACCTTGGCCCCGTCTGAATCTTTGCAAGGCCCTTTTGGGTATCGCAGTTAAAGCCAAGTGACCCCTAGGTACTGGTGAAATGAGCGGGTGAGTTGGAAGATGGGGGTTCTAGTCCAGGCTCTGCCCGTGCTGGGCTGTGACATGGGCAGGTGCCTTTTCCCACCTGGATCCTGGTTTCCCTGGTCATCCAATGGGGCTCACAATACCCCACTTCTGGGCCCTGTTGGGAAGGCAGGTGCCGTGGGAGGCTGGGGCTGGGCCAGGCGGGTGCCCTGGTCTTTGCTGCCACCTGGTGGCTACAGATAGAATCGCATCGTCTGCTGCATGGTGCCCTCTGGGTAGTCCAGGCCAGGGCTGAGGAGCTGAAGGCTTTTTATGTTTTGGTGCAGAACATTTTGAGATTGTGGATGTGGATAAGCACAAATCCTGTTACCCAGAGAGAACAGATTTTTAACATTTTCTATTTATCTTCTTTCCCCATCTCCATATCTATAATCTCCTTAACAAAATCATAGGGCGGAGGTAAGTTGTGAGCCGGGCTCTAGAGTCAGAGAATGCTGCCTGTGGCCCTGGCCCAGGGCCCTGATGCTCTTTTGTGCCGCAACAGCTCCCTCCCTGACCTCGACATAGGAAGCAGGGAAGCATTTTTAGGGCTGGGAGGAGTGTGGGAGACCTTCGGGCTGGAAGGTCTCCTGGAGGCTCCAAGACCCCCCACCGCCGTCTCTCACGGAACAAGTACTTGTCAAGATTTCTACTGTGGGCCGGGTGCGGTGGCTCAAGCCTGTAATCCCAGCACTTTGGGAGGCCGAGGCAGGTGGATCATCTGAGGTCAGGAGTTCGAGACCAGCCTGACCAACATGGAGAAACCCCGTCTCTACTAAAAATACAAAATTAGTTGGGCATGGTGGCGGCCACCTGAAGTCCCAGCTACTCAGGAGGCTGAAGCAGGAGAATTGCTTGAACCCAGGAGGCAGAAGTTGCGGTGAGCCGAGATTGAGCCATTGCACTCCAGCCTGAGCAAAAGAGTGAAACTCCGTCTCAAAAAAAAAAAGAAAAAAAAAATTTCTACTGTGAGCCAGCCCCTGCGGGGAAACAGGGTAAACAGGATCCCTGACGGAGCTGGGGTATGACCAGGAATGGGAAGGCTGGACTCACTGCAGCATGCTGGGGCTGGGCTGGGTAAGTAGGGCCTGCAGGAAGGGGCAGATGAGCTCTAGGGTGTAGGAGGAGTAGGCCAGGGCCGGGGTCCCCAGGGAGGCTGTTCCAGGCAGAGGAACAGACTATGGGGAGTTCAGAAGTCACTCTGTGTTCTTCTGCACCAGCTACTGCTCCCCTCAGGGAACTGGAGGCCTCTGGAGCCTCCGAGAAGCAGCCACCGAGAAGGGGCAAGTGAGCGGCAAGGCCGTGGTTCCACATTCCCAAACCACGCTTTGTCCTTCCTGGGGTCCCCGTAGGTGGGGCTCTTCTCCCTCCTCCAGCTTTCTGAAGCCAAAGTACACACCTCGGTGTCCATGATGGGGCAGCCGGGGGGCTGTACGCTTCCTCTGTCTCTGTCTCTGGGCAGACCATAGTCCAGCGTGCTGCCCCTACTGCCCTGGAAAAGCCGAGCCGGGAAGCGAGCGGTGGCTTTAGAGGCGTCGTGCAGAGGGGGAGACGGAGGTAGAGCCTGGAGGTTTGGGGCACCTCCTGAAGCAGTGGGGTGGCCTTTCAGGTGGGGGGACTGAGAGAGCAAAGGCCTACAGGCTAGACCGGGGCCTCCCTGAGCTGTCATAAGCAGGACAGGACGTGGGGGCGCGCCACGGAGCCGCCTCCCTCCCCTGCCCATCCTGCCTGCTACAGGAAGGGCACACCCGGAGAAAGGAGGGAGGCCGGTTCCTGGCAGAGCAATGTTGAGGCTGATCCTCCCTGCTTCCCCCCACAAGCCTCTCTGTGAGCCTCCTCCCTGTCCCGCACACCCACCTGGGGGATGCCGCAGATTCTCAGAATCAGGCTCTACATGGCCCCAAGCAGCACATGGCCTGGCGGAGGCAGCAAGCATGGCCGCCGGAGCCTCTGGCCTTCTGCCCAGGGAGCAGGGGCCCCTTGGGGGCTGTTCTCTCTGCTCCCTCTGTCATGTCCCCTCTCTGTTGGTGGAGGAGAGTGGCTGCAGGCAGGCGCCTGACTCCCCCAGCTCCACACGGCTCCAGCTTTCTCTGCCTCTCCGTGTTCACCCCTCAACGCATCTTGTCAAATGGAGACCTCGAAGGCTGGGTGCAGTGGCTCAGGCCTGTAATCCCAGCACTTTGGGAGGCCGAGGCAGGTGGATTGCTTGAGGACAGGAGTTCGAGACCAGCCTGGGCAACATGGCTAAACCCCGTCTCTACAAACAATTTAAAAATTAGCTCGGTGTGGTGGCACACGCCTGTAATCCCAGCTACTCAGGAGGCTAAGGCAGGAGAATCGCTTGAACTCAGGAGGTGGAGGTTGCAGTGAGCTGAGATCACGCCACTGCACTCCAGCCTGGGTGACAGAGCAAGACTTTGTCTCAAAAAAAAAAAAAAAGAAGAAGAAGTAAAAATGGAGACCCTGAGACCCAGCTTCTGAGGTCGGGGGGTGGAGTTAGTAACTCACAGTACGGGCTGGTAGAGTCTGCCAGGGTGGTCTGGGCTGGGCTGTTGGGGATTTCAAACCCACGTCCCTCTTCGCATCCCGTCAGAGGCTGCCCGAGGCAGAGGCAGAACCTGCGGCTTCTTCCTCCCAAGTGCTGAGATCAGGTCCGAAAGTTCCAGTCATTCGCACTCCTAGAAGTGGCTTCCAGCCTTGGCCCAGGAGCCATCAGGACCAGGGACGAGGGCTGCAGGGAAGCCCAGGTACGCAGGCCGAGGAGCCCATGTCTGCCCCAGAGCAGGGCAGCAGGAGGATGGCCTCTGGCCCTTGCCACCCTGGGCCTCAGCCCTGCCTGCAGGCCCAGTGCTAACGAGAAACGCAGGCCGACCAGGGCAGTGTATGCCTGCTCTGTGCGTTTGTATTTCTGACCAGCGCCCATGAGAAGGCTGTGTGGTTTCCAATGCATTTCCAGGGGCCAACTCATTCCACCCGCCTAGCTCTGGTGGCTCCTGCAGGCCAAGCCCTCGCAGAGAGGGCCTGGGGTGAGAGCAGGCATCTCCGTGCAGCTTGGCCAGGAAGGAATCGCATCCGCAAGGAAAATATTGTTCTGTATAATTCAGTGGCCCGTTTTATAAACATTGTGGTTCTACCTTGGGGTTTTTCCCGCCTTGTCTCCTACCTCCCCTCCCCACCTTCCAGGGGCTGCTGGGCAGCCAGATGCCTGAGGTTAGGAAAGTATGTGCTTTTGCCGGGCTAGACAGTGCAAAGGGTGACAGGGTGGGCCTGGGGACGGGGCTCAGCCAGCCAGAGAGAGTTCTGGGGTGGGGTTGGCAGGACTGCAGCTCAAGCTGGTTTGCAAAGAGGTGTGAGAGCAGGCAGCCCGCCAGAGCGTGTGTGCGTGTGTGTGTGTCTCTGTGTAGGGATGTGCCTATGTGTGTTTGCCTGTGTGTGTGCCCGTGTGTGTGCATGTGTATATATGTGTGTTTATGTGTACATGGGTTCTGTGTGTTTGGATGTGTGTCTTTAACCAGGAAGCTGGGTATGGAGTGACACTGGCATCCTTTCTACCAGCCTGGATGTGGGCTGGTGGGTGTCTGCAAGGCCAGGTTAAAGTGGCCCATAGAGGGGCAAGGCAAGCTCCCCCCTCGGGGAAGAGGCTGCTCTGTGCCATTGTTGAGAGAGCGGGCATGGGGACAGATGGACTCCAATCCAGCCTGTATTTCCAGCACTCCCTAGTTGAGTGGCTTTGGGAAAGTCACTCTTCCTCCAGGTCAGTCACCGGGGGCTGTGGGGCTATACTGCCACCTCCATTCCTTTCTGCTTCCTTCTGAAAGGACCCTAATTTTGCTTGGGGATGGCAATGAGCCTTCCCTGCGGCCAGGTGGCCACGTGTCGGTGCAGAGGCCACGAGGGCTAGACAGGAGGGTCTGGGGCAGCTCTTCCTGATTAGAGAGGTAAAGTCTCACTGGAAAACGTTTTGGGTCCTGCCCTCTTTTTCCTGCCTGGAATCCCGTCGCGTGGCCGGGGGAGGCAGCTGCTCACTGGCAACCATGAGGGTGAGACCCAGTCTTGAGGCTGAGACCGAGGCAGGAGGGTGGGACCCACGCTACGCTGCTGGGGAAGGAAGCAGGCAGGGGCTCTCAGGCAGTGTCTGGAGGCTGGATGTCCATGTGGAGTGATGGGGTTGGCTTCTGTTTGCTGCAGCCTCATGCACTCCTGCTGGACACCCGGTGTCACTCTCTCTTCATCTGGGGATTGAGGGACCTGGAGGCTGGAAGGGGCTGGCTCATGGGTGTGCTCTGGATCTAGGCACCCTCCTCACTGCCACACCCTGAGGGGCACTGGGGAATCGTCCTCAGAGGCGTGCAGGGGTGCTGTCGGGACAGTCGGGCCCTACTGCTTCAAGGCTGCAGGAGGAGGATGGGGAGGATCTGGAGGGGGAGGAGGAGCTGGAGAAGGAGAAGCAGGGAGAAGAAGGAGGAGGAGGAGAGGGAGGAGGGGGGGAAGGTGAGGAAGAGGAGCTGGAGGAGGAAGAGGGGAAGGAGGTGCTGGAGGAGGAGGGGAGGGGGAGAAGGAGGAGTTGGAGGAGGATGGAAAGGAGGAGAGGGAGGAGGAAAAGGTGGAGGAGGGAGGAGGAGGAGTTGGGGGAGGAGGATGGAAAGTAGGAGAGGGAGGAGCAAAAGGTGGAGGAGGGAGGAGGAGGAGTTGGGGGAGGAGGAAAGGGAGGAGGACAGTGAGAAGGAGAAGCTGGAGGGGGAGGAGGAAAAGCTGGAGGATGAGGGGGAGGAGGAGTTGGAGGAGGAGGGGGAAGGAGGAGCTAGAGGGAGAGGAGGGGGAGGAGGAGGGGAGGAGGAACTGGAGGAGGACTTGGAGGAGGAGGGAGGGAGGAGGACAGCCTGGGTGGGAAGTTGCACTTGGCCCAGCTCCCAGAGAGGTGGGTGGCTTTAGGTCATGCGTTCATCTGAGACCTAGTACAACCTAGGACCCTGGGGCCCTGTGCCGGTCACTGTGCCTCTTCCAGCCTCGGTATCCTCTGGAAGGTGAGAATGAAAAACACCCAATGACACTCAGACTGGACAGGAGCAGGTACGCAGACAGCAGATGGCCAGGTGCACAGAGGTGTCGCCTGACTTCCTCACCGGGACGGCATGGGGTGGGGCTCCTCCTGCAGGCGAAGCCCGCCCGGGACTGGGCTCTGGTGGGTTCTCTCTCTTTTCCTTCAACCAAAGACCTGGCTGGACACCCCCCATCTGACACTCCGGGGGCTTTCAAGGGGCTTCAGGCAACCCACATGCATTCTGGGCATCCCATTTAGGGGGATGAAGAAGGAATTGGATAAGGCAAGGGTGGGGCTGGCCCGTCTCCTCTGCTGGTGCATCAGCCCCTCCTAGGGACACCACTGTCCTTGACCCCTCTGCAGGCCAATCAGCCCTCCTTGGGAAGCCGCCGTCCTTGCCCGCTCTGCTCCTGGGGTCCCACCCAAGCTTCAATCCTCGCTGTGTGGTCTTCCCTCCGTGAGCCTTCATTTCCTCATCGGTAAAATGGGGGAGAGGAGAGCGCGGGGGTCAGCCCTGAGCCTGGCTGGTTGGCTACTTAATGGGCTTCTGGTACCTTGACCACCATCTTTGACAGCCTCAGTTTACAGATGAGGCCCTGAGGCCTGGAGGAAAGGATTAGGCTGCCTGGGATGTGGGTGAGAGGTCTGATTCTGACCCGGTGAAGTGAGCTCCTGTCCCCTCTGGGGTTCCCCAGCAGGCATTAAGGGAGGGGTCAGACGAGGTCCCCCTACCGTGGCCAGATGTGCAGCGACCTTGGGCTGTAACCTCAGGGGGTTCGCGCCCCCCACAGCCTGCTGGGGACTGACCAGGCCTGGGGGAGACTGGGGGAGCGAGGGGCTGGGAGGGAATACCACCTGGCCGGACGAGGCCCACACCGCCCTGCCAGCCTGGCATCTCTGCTCTCCCAGGCTCAGCCAACACCCGCTCTAGGACTCAGCCAACTATTTGTGGGCTGCTAAGTAGCATGACAGCTGCTTTTCTTGCTAAAGTATGACATTACATTTTTCCGGATGGCCGGGCACTTCCTGGCCTGAAGTGTGCTAAGTGACAGCCTCACTCTGTCCCGCTGCCCCCCGAGTCCCTGCCCGCCTCCCTGCTTTGTCCAGGCTGGCTTGCAGGGCCAGGCCGAGACCCGTCCTGGCCTGTGTTCAGACAGAGCCTAGTACGGGCCCCCAGGGCTGCAGGTGGCCCAGGAAACTTCCCCGGGGTTATTTTTGGCCTCTGTGCTGGCCCATGGACTCCCTGCCAAAAGCAATTACTGAATTTTCATCTTGTTTTGCTGATGGTTTAGACTATGTCAAAAATGTTCCACTGGAAGGCCTGAGGGCACCTCGGGCTGGGGGATGTGGGGCTCGGGAGCCCAGCTGTGGCCGGGTCCCCGGAATAGATCTCTGGGGTTGCTGGCGAGAAGAAGGAGGACAGGGGAGCCGGGGCCTGTTTGTTTGTAGCTGCCACTGGGTGCTTCCCACACGCACAGCGTGCTCGGCTGGTGGTCATGCTCCCTGCGCCCTCTGCCAGCTGTGCGTGTCCTTCTCTCCCACTTTACAGAAGAAGAAACAGGTTCAGGGAAAGGGCCGAGGGCATGCCCAGGCTGCACTCTGTTCTGTGGGCTGCCGCACTTCCAGCGCAGAAGGATTTCCCTGGCTCAGGGGTGGCAGGGACTGGGGGCTGGGGAGGCCACGGGGAACAAGGCAGGGTCTGCCCAGGCCCTCTTCTCACTGCCCGGGGCGAGGGGTGTCCGAACCAATCAGATCTTTCCTAAGTTAAATGTCTGTGTTGCGGGCTTCGGCTACTCTGTTCATCCTCCTGGGAATTGCCCAAATGGCAGCCAGGTGGATGCAGGAGAAGGTTGGAGGGAAGGCTGGAAATCAGAGGGGGCCGCCCTCAGGCTTCTGTCCATCTGCAGGGGCCCCACTGGCAAGCAGCACCTCTCCAGAACTCTGTGTCCCTTCCTCTCCCCTCCGCAGCAGCCCTGGGAGGCAGATGCTGCCATGAAACCACGGTGCCCTCAAGAAACCTGGCCATGAGGGGGCTTCCTGCCTGCCCACGGCCCTGCAGGTCATGGTAAGGGGTGGTCCTGGAGTTTGTGCCCTGGCACTTCCATTCCAGAGTCACTGCCAGGACCTTAAGCCTGGAGCTCCCCAGGCTGCATGGCAGTGGCTTGCTATGCAGGCCATGGCTGGGGTGAAGGGTGCCTGGGGCGAGGGGACATGTCACTTGGGGCCCTGGGTTGCCTGGCCTGCTGGGGGCCCCCTTGTTGCTCAGCTGCTGTCCTGGGGTCACGGCTCTCGGCCACTCTGCTCACTTGCAGTTCCTGGGAGCCTGTGGACATCGTGTTCTCGAGCCTGAAGGACCAGCAGGGCCCTGGGTGAACGGGGCGGTCCAGGGCCAGGGCCTGTGCTCACACTCCTGCGTGCATTCCCACGCTTCAGCAAAGCAATGCCGCCTCCTATCTGACAGGCTCAGGGTGGCCCTTCGTGGGTATTGTCACCACATTCGCTTGTGCATCAGACGCTTTTTGAGGAAGCTCAGGCCCAGCTTCATACCAGGCACTGGGATGGGGGTCAGCCCTGCCTTGAGGGCTGACCAGTTCCAGAGGGGAGACACACTGAAAACCATCACACCCTCGGCAGGCTGGGGCAGGGCAGAGGGGCACAGGCACCAAGACACAGGAGAGCCAGGTCAGGGCAGAGGGGCACAGGTCCCCGGACACAGGAGAGCCGGGGCAGGGCAGAGGGGCACAGGACTCGGGACATAGGAGAGCCGGGGCAGGGCAGAGGGGCACAGGCCCCCAGACACAGGAGAGCCGGGGCAGGTCAGAGGGGCACAGGACCCGGGACATGGGAGAGCGGGGACAGGCTGCTTCCTGGAGGAGGTGATGCCTGAGCTCAGTGAAAAAACACATGTGTGGGGCCAGCCAGGGGATCGGGTTATGCAGGGCGAGGCTGCCCCAGGTACTTGGGAGGGAGGTGGCCCTGGGTGGGTGTTGGGGCCGTTGGCGGCAGGTGCATCTGCCCTGGTGTCTGCCAAGGCAGAGCCCAGACTGGACGGCTCAGCGCTGGCCTGGGTGTGGGCGACGCTTGCAGGGGCCGTGTGGGTGTCTGCGTGTGAGTGCCCATTGTGAGTCTCGTGTACCTGTGTTCACATGGCTAGGGTCCGGCTTCCAGCTGGTCCTGTCGCCCTGGGATGCCACACGTATTGTAATTACATCTGGGATTTCAGGGGGAGGAGGAGATGGGGTGCCTGCATGCCTCCTAAAATGTTTGAAGGCCTTATATTGGAAGAATGGGAATGTCTGCCTGAGGGGCTTGCCCATATCGACAGAGAAGCCCGCCTCCTCCTGCAGATAAGGAGTGGGGTTTGCTTCTTGCGCATGGAGGATGGGTACAGGGCTCTGCTGTCCTGAAACGGACAGGCCTGCCAGCTCAGTTGATAGAGAGGGGGCTGGAAAGCTTGCCCGGGTGTCCCGCCCCCATGGCTGGGACACGAACTGGCCTTGAACCCACCCAGCCCCGGCCTCCCCTGCGTCCCCCAGGCTGGCGGCCTCACTCTGTGGCTGTGGGGCCTTTTCCCTTCCAGCTCCTGGCCCTGTTTTCCTGGGTCTTGTATGGGCGGGGGCCTTATGAATGTACCATCCAAGTAGAAAAGATGGGCTCACCACATGAACGCAGCTTCCAGACACCTCCAGCTGTGTCTCCCCAGGACCCTTCCATGGAGGTCTGACAGCCCTGGCCCAGGCAGAACACGGCCTCAGCGTGCTCCTGTGGACCCTGGTGGGAGCCCCAGGAGCCGCGGTGATGGGGTGAGTCGGGCCAACTTCTTGGCTGTTGCCTGTGGCCCATCAACGCCTGCGGGTGGACGCCCTTCAGGGCCAGAGCAGGCGCCTCAGCGTGCAGACACTGTCTGGCTCTCTTTCTGCGTTTTCTTCATCTGGATTCTGTTGGGACAACAATCAAGGCTGTCTCGTTCTGTCTGTGGAATGGGCCTCACCTAGCAAGAAGCCCCAGGGGCCCCCAGGGCTGGTGAGTCTGTGTGTACACGTGTGTGTGTGCTCGTGTGAGCTCGTGTGTGTGCGCGTGTGTGTGTGCATGAGCTTATGTGTTGTGTGTGTGCGCTTATGTGTGTGTGTATGTGAGCTTATGTGTCATGTGTGCTCATGTGAGCTCTGTGTGTGTGTGCATGAGCTTCTGTGTCATTTGTGTGTGCGTGAGCTTATGTGTGTGTGTGCGTGAGCTTGTGTGTGAGCTTATGTGTGTGCATCAACTTATATGTGTGTGCACGTTAGCTTATGTGCCGTGTGTGTGCGTGAGCTTATGTGTGTGTGTGCGTGCTTGTGTGTGTGCATGAGCTTATGTGTCATGTGTGTGCTTATGTGTTGTGTGTTGTGGGTGTGTGCGTGAGCTTGTATGTGTGTGTGCATGTGCTTATGTGTGTGTGCTTGTGTGTGTGTGCATGAGCTTTGTGTGTGTGTGTTTATGTGTGTGAGCTTGTGTTGTGTCGTGTGTGTGCACATGAGTTTGTGTGTGTGTGCTTGTGTCATGTGTGTGCGTGAGCTTATGTGTGTGTGTGCATGAGCTTATGGGTCATGTGTGTGCTTATGTGTCATGTGTTGTGTGTGTGCGTGAGCTTGTGTGTGTGTGCTTGTGTGTGTGAGCTTATGTGTCGTGTATGTGCTTATGTGTTGTGTGTCGGGGTGTGTGCGTGAGCTTATGTGTGGGTGTGCGTGAGATTTGTGTGTGTGTGTGCATGAGCTTGTGTGTGTGTGCGCATGAGCTTGTGTGTGCATGAGCTGTGTGTGCATGAGCTTTGTGTGTGTGTGAGCTTTGTGTGTGTGAGAGCTTGTGTGTGAGCTTGTGTGTGAGAGCTTGTGTGTGTGAGCTTTGTGTGTGTGTGAGCTCATGTGTGTGTGCGTGAGCTCGTGTGTGTGTGCGCTTGTGTGTGTGCATACATGTGTGTGCGTGAGCTTGTGTGTGTGAGCTTTGTGTGTGTGTGTGAGCTCGTGTGTGTGTGCATGAGCTTGTGTGTGTGTGTGTGCATACACGCATGTGTGCATATGCACAACCCCAGAGCCCCACTGCAGGGCACCGTTCCCAGCGAGTACCCCAGCGAGCCGGGTTCCATGTTCCGTCTGTGGGTGAGGATAGAGCCATGGATGCTTGTGTCTCACGTGGCCCATCAGGGATGCTGTCGCCTCCACCACTGAGCTGAGCTTTGAAGCCCCCAGAGCTCAACTCTCCTGTTTCCTCTTCCGTTTCTGCAAGACTCTTTCCTATCAGAACAGAAGGCGAGTGCCCGTTGGGCCCTTCTGCTCTTCCTGAGAAATGGAACTCGTCCCCAGACTGCCTCCCTCCTTCTTTTTGAAAGTCCAGACACAATGTGTCTCGGTCAGGCATGACACGCCTGGGGGTCTGGCCCCGAAATGGCCAGGTGGGTGGTCTTTGGGTCAGTGACACTCTGGCTTTGAAATCTCCCCCAGATGCACTTGGAACAAGGGACTCCATGGGAAGACCCCCCAGATCGGGGTGGAGTCAGCCCCACACCTCTCTCTGGGTGGCTGATATTTCAAAACTTGTAGCTCTCCAGACAGTGGCCGGGGAGCCTCTCCGTGGCGGGGGTGCGCACCCTCCCTTGGCAGCCTTGCCTGAGCTCGGGAGGCTCTCTGGTGTCTGAGGCTGAGAGCCCGGTCTGCTGTTCAAGCCATGCTTTCTCCCGTCTGTCCCGTGTCCATGCACATGTCCATGCACTTACGATGGCCCTTAGGGTGAGGCAGGAGGAGGCTTCGTGGGATTAGACATTGCCACAGCGTCTGCATAAGTTGAGGGTGGCGCTGTCACTGTTCAGGGCCCCCCGACCCTGCCCCTGAAGCCGGTTGGCCTGAAATGCAGAGTCGATGACCTGGAGCCGGCCCCTGGCCTCTGAGAAGCTGAGCTGCGGCTGACTTGGCCTTTCCTCCATCGGAGGCTGAAATCCACGACTCTCACCAGCCGGCTGGGGGCTGGGGGTGGAGCGGCGTCCAGGCATCCGGGAAGGACTCTAGGGGTCTGACTGATGGACTGAGGGTACGGCCCTCCCAGGAGTTCCTGTCCACCCTGTCTCAGTGTGGACTGACCTGGAGGTCTGGGATGTGACAGGCTTGGAAAATGATGCGGTGATCCTGCCTGGAGGGTGTTCACGACAGACTGCATGCTAAGATGGCGCTGGGGGGCGGGTTACAGAAGACAGTGTTGTATGATCCTAATTATGCACAGGACAGGGCACAGCGGTCAAGACCATGGGCATTGGAGCCTGCTGTCAGAGCTCAAGTCCAGCCCTGTCGCTTTCCAGATGACCTTGACCTTGGACATGCTGCCAAACGGCCCTGCACTTCAGTGCCTTCAGCTGCAAAATGGGGTGATGCCCACACCTGTCACTCAGGGGTATTGCGCAGGTTAAATGAGTCAATACGTGGAGCAGACTTAGAACAGCAGCCCTACGTAAGTGACCACAGAGACAAACGTCTACAGTTTCCGATGATTTTAATGGTCTTCATTTTGTTTATCTACATGTTTGAATTTTTCTACAACACACACGAATGACTGGAGTAATTTGAAAAAGGTAGATGGTTGCTTTGAACAAACTTAGAATCATCATTGACCCACGCGTTGCTTGTGGGGTAAAAAAAAAAGTAAAAATAAAAATTAATAAGAAACATCTGAAAGCTCTCAACCCACCACACACTGGTGGGGTAGCAGCTGATTGCAGTGCTGAGGTGCTAGAGGGGAGACCGAGTCAGTGGGGCTGGTCCTGGCTTCCTGGGGCTCTGTCAGGTGAGAGAGACACACCTGTGGAGGTGGGACGCTCCCCAAGGTGAGGGCTGAGTAGAGGGACGGCTCAGAAGAGGGCAGCTTGGAGGGGCTAGTGAGGGGCTGTGGAGGAGGTGGACTTTGAGACAGGTCTTGGAGGACGGGTAAGATTTTGGCGGGCAGGGAGCAGAGGCTCACACAAAGGTGTCCAGGTGCAGGGAACAGTGCGTGTGTGTGTGTGTGTGTGTGTGTGCATGCATTCATGTATGTGCGTGCATTCATGTGTGCAGTGCATATGGGTGTGCATGCCTTTGAATATGCATGTGCATTCATGTGTGTGCTTGCATACATGTGTGTGTATTTGTGTGTGCTTGCATACATATGTGAGTGCATTCGTGTGTGTGTGTGCATACATACGCGTGTGCATGCATCCTTGCATGTGTGGGCATTTGTGTGTGTACATGCATGCATTTGTGTGTTTGCATTCATATGTGTGCTTGCATTCGCATGTGTGTGCATTCATGTGTGTGCTTGCATTCGTGTGTGCTTGCATACATGTGTGTGCTCGCATTTGTGTGTGTGGATTCATGTCTGTGCTTGCATACAAGTATGTGAGTGGATTCATGTGTGTGCATGCATACGTGTGTGTTTTTGTGTGTGTGTGCGCACACAGAAGGAAGATGTGCATGCTGGGGCTGGAGTTGAGACCTGATGAAAGACAAGGTGGGAGGGCAGGGAGGCCAGCCTGCTGGGAGGTGCCCAGGCTCGGCACAGTGGTGGCAGGAGGGGATGCCTGGTGCTGCAAGAGGTTCTGGAGCTGGGGCTGCAGGTTGAGGCGAATGGGGTCCTGCTGTGTGTGGGGCAGGAGAGCAGCCTCCCTGAATAGCTCTCCTTAACCAGAGGGGAGCCTCAGCTCATGGTGGCACGTGTGGGTCCCGGGACAGCCCTCATTGGGTCCCCAGATTCCCCAAAGTGGCTCCGAAGCAGGTTGGTGAGAGCCACAGCGCAGGTTCCAGAAGCTTCAAAGCTCTATCCAGCTGGACCCCTGCCACTCTGGGAGAACACCAGCACCCTGCCCCTGCTGGACAGATAGCACCCAGCTTGGGAAGACCTAAGAGAAAAAGCTTACATATTCCTCTGGCTTGGGCTGGAGTCGGGGGAGGCTGCTTTGTCAGGCTGGGACGGGGCCGACCGAGCCCCAGGACACGCTGTCCCCTGGTCTGGCCTCTGGTGTGGGGCCCATGCTGGGAATGGTGTCTGACCCTGTGTTCCCAGCGGGGCTGGGGCAGTGTCTTCAGGACACAGCTGTGCCCAGCTGTTCCCCAAATGACACAGTGCAGAAAACCCGCCCCCTCCTCTGCAGCTCTGCCGACCATCCGTCACCGTGTGGGGGCCTTTTTGGGGACCCATGACCCTTAGGGTAACAGGACAGAGGCCAAGACCTGCTTGGCTTGCAGAGTCTGGGGAAATGTGTTGACTTCTTAAAGGCCTCGGGGGACATCAGGAGCTAAGAAGGTTTGTCTACAGCCCAGCTCCACGAGATGCCCTACGTTCAGGCTCGTGAAGTTAGGGAAGGGCCTGGCTTCCAATGAAACATTGTGACTTCCTCATGATCGCTTCCAGGGTTACCGGCAGAGAGAAGCCACTGCGACCTTTGCCCTCCCTAAATCCAGAGGTATTTGGCCCAGAAGCTCCTCCCTGAGTCCTTGCTGGAGCATTTGTCTTCAAACGGAGGAGGAGAACCAGTGAGTTTGTGTTCAAATGTCGGCCAGGCCACAGACTTTGGGAAAGTTGCAAACCTTCTTTGTGCCTCCGGGTTCCCGTGGGTTCCATGAGCTCATTCCTGTGGCTGTGTCCCAGGGGCATGGGATCTGTCTTGGGGACTTAGTGGAGTGGTCGTGACCTGGAGACCCAGCCTAAATGGTGGGTGTGTGTCCCCTTGGCTGCTGCTGCCGGCGCTGACTGCGGGTTCTTCCTGGTGCCTCTGCACACTCCGAGGGGCTCCGAGGCATCCTCCATGCACTCCTGTGCCGCCTCTCCCTGAAATGTACGCAGTATGAAGGCAGGAATGCAGCCCATCTCATTTGGTGCTGTCTGTGTGATATGGTTTCGATCTGTGTCCCCAGCCAAATCTCATCTTGAATTGTAATCCCTGTGTGTCCAGGGAGGGAAAAGATTGGATTGTGGGGGTGATTTCCCCCACACTGTTCTCCTGATAGTGGGTGAGTCTCATGAGATCTGATGGTTTTAAAAGTGGCAGTGTTTCCTTTGCTCATGCTCACTCTTTCTCCTGCTGCCTTGTGAAGAAGGTGTCTGTTTTACCTTGCACCATGATTGTAAGTTTCTTGAGGACTTCCCAGCCCTGTGGAACTGTGAGTCAATGAAACTTTCTTTGTTTATAAATTACCCAGTCTCAGTTAGTATTTTTTTTTTTTTTTTTTTTTTTTTTTTTAGATGGAGTCTCATTCTGCGGCTCACTGCAACCTCCACCTCCCGGATTCAAGCGATTCTCCTGCCTCAGCCTCCCAAGTAGCTGAGATTACAGGCATGCGCCACCATGCCTGGCAAATTTTTGTGTTTTTAGTAGAGACGGGGTTTCACCATGTTGGCCAGGATGGTCTCAATCTCTTGACCTCGTGATCCGCCCGCTTTGGCCTCCCAAAGTGCTGGGATTACAGGTGTGAGCCACTGTACCCGGCCTCAGGTAGTATCTTTATAGCAGTGTGAGAATGGGTTAATACAATGTGCAGGGCCTTAAGCTGTGGCTGACTGGTAGAAGCAGCTCAATAAATGGTGGATGGATGGATGGATGGATGGATGGATGGATGGATTCACTAATTACTGACTCACTTGTTGGGTGTGGTAGAGCATCAGATCACAGACCTTAGAGCCTGGCTTCCAAGGTTTGAATCTGTGATATACTGACTCCATAATATTAAGTGATTTATGTAATGTTCCCATGCCTCAGTTTCCTCATCTGTAAAATAAAGTCCAAAGATTTCTGTTCTTTTTCAATATGGCCAGTTAAGAACCTGCACAAACCCTCCCACTAACAGCAGCTAGAAATTCTGGGTAGAATGAAAAATGCCTGTCTTGTTGATTATTGTCTTGAGCTGACTAGGAAGTGTGGAGTACTCAGGCCAGGATAGAGAAAAGATGGGACCCAGAGAGGAAGGTGGACACTGAATCTGGCTTTCCTGGGAGGTATGGAAAGATGTGGCCACTGCTCCATCTCTGAAACAAAAAGCTGAACTTATTGCTTGTTCAGCATGGGAGAGCTATAATTGTAAGGCTCAGACTGCCCGAACAAAGCAAACTGCTGGCCTTCATAGTGTTTCAGGAAGAGTGGAGTTCAGGCATAGGAGGCTTTCAGAAGTGGGAGAGCTTGGGGAATGATTGATCTCTAACTGAGGGAGACTAGTTATTGGAGAGGGGCTACTGCTGGTTGGTTGACCAAAGAAAGTGGTCACTACTAGATTGAGACGGACTTAATGCTGGTGTTTGCTTGTTGCTGTGGCCAGACAACAGCCTATCTTTTCATTTTGAAGTTGGAGAATTGAAATTTTTTATTCTCATAGGCAAACCTGAGCATCATTTTTTGACTACTTTTGTGGCTAGAGGTCAGAAGACAAAGCACAGAGCCTGGCCATGCAGGAGAGTCTAGTGGAAGACCATTCCTTCAATGTGGGACTCCATGGGCTACACCTCACTGTCATGGGAAACTAGAAAATCTATTTCCCCTTTGGATACTACATCGGCACTGCCTGTAGCAAACTTTGGTGCCAAGTGGAGCAGGAAAAGCATTCTCTAAGAATTAATAACTATAACCTGAACTACGTGTGTGTGTATGTAGCCTGAATCCACATTTCCTCAACTATCCAAAACAAGGGATTTTAGTTTAAAGGAGTGTCAGATTGGAAGTGCCTCAATTGTTTGACAGAAGTAAATACAATTACTTTCTAAAGGACTCTGCCTTTACCTCAGGCCTCAGAAAATTTCCATAAAGTTCCACAGCAAATGAGCAGTTCAGAGTAAAAAAAAAATCACTAAATATACAAGGAAACAAGACACCATGAGGGAAAGTCAACAGAAACAACAGGCAGTAGAATCAGATCAGCCAAACATTTAGATACTAAAAATAGCAGGACTGGAAAATAAATGTGTTTTATGGAAGAAATAAGAGGCTTGGATGTATTAATGAAGAACAAGCATACTTGAAAAAGAACCAAACATACTCTTAGAAATAAAAACATGACAATCAAAATGAAAAACTCAAAAGATAGCTTAACCACAGTTTAGACATGACCGAAGAAGGAATTGATGAACTGAAGGATAAGGCAAAAGACATTAGGAGAGTTGCACTCCTGAAAGATAAAGAACTGGGAAATATAAAGAACATGAGGACTTGCGTGCAAATGTAAGCATATTGCTAATTGGATTTCCAGAAAATGAAGAGAGATAGAATAGGAGTAGGGGCAATATTTGAAGAGGATTATGGCTGAAACTATTTCAGATATAATGAAAGATAGCAACCCACAAATTTAAGAAGCCCAGTGACTCTCAAGCAAGCCAAAGAAAAAGGATTCCACACGAGTCACATAAGAATAAAAATACAGAACATTGAAGACCAAGAGAAGTCTTATAAAAGAGCCCAAGAGAAAATATAGATTATCTTCAAAGATAGTTACGCTGAGAACTTACTATTCAGGAGCAACAATGGGAATTAGGAAACAGAGAAATGATGTCTTCAAAATGCTCAGAGCAAATGATTACCAACCTAGAATTCAATATCCGGTGAAAAAAATTAAAGATGCAAATGATTGTCAACCTAGAATTCAATATCCAGTGGAAAAAATAAAGACACAAAGGATTACCCACCTATACAATTCAATATTCAGTGAAAAAAATAAAGACAATCATAGGCAAATAAAAATCAAGAAGGTGTCCCACAAACAACCCTTGCTTAAGGAAATTTTTTGTAAAATTAATTTTATTTTTTAAGACAGGGTCTCACTCTGTTGCCCAGATGGGAGTGCAGTGGTGCAATCATGGCTCACTGCAGCCTTGAACTCTCAGACTTGGGTGATCCTCCCACGTCAGCCTCCTGAGTAGCTGGGACTGCAGGTGTGCACCACCATGCCCAGCTAATTCTTGTTTTTTTTTTTGTAGAGATGGGGGTCTCCATATGTTGCCAGGGCTGGTCTGGAACCCCTAGGCTCAAGCAATCCATCCACCTCAGCCTCCCAAAGTGCTGGAATTACAGGTGTGAGCCCACCATGCCCGGCCACTTGAGGAAGTTTTAAAAGATATGTTTGAGCCAGAAGGAAAATAACCCCAGATGAAAAAATTGGGGTATAAGAAGAGATGAAAGTCGAAGAGATTGTCATATGTGGGCAAATCTAAACAATTATTGGTGGTAAAAATGTCATGTGTTGTTTAAATGAAGATAAAAGAAAAATACAAGGTAATAATCGTCTTAAAGTTAGGAGGGAAATAATTGGAATTAAAAGGTTCTATGGTCCTGCGATGTTCAAGGGGAGGGTAAAGATATGAATTTACTAGAAACTTTGATGAACTACCACTAAAGGAATGGAATTAGCATATACATTCTAACTCTTTAAAGGGTTATGTATGTTTCCTCCCAGTCTGCTTCTTCGTGATGTCTTTTGAAGGGTAAATATTTACAATTTTGATGGTCTAGTTGATCAGTTTTTTTCTTTGATGGATCACACCTTTGGTGTCATATTTAAGAAATCTTTGCCTAATCCAAGGTCACAAAGATTTTCTCTGATGTTTTCTGCTAGAGGTTTTCTAGTTTTTGGAGTTAATTTTGGGGTGGGATGTGAAAAAAAGGTTGAGGTTCACTTTGATGCCTCGGGACATTGATTTGTTCCAGCATTATTTGTGTTAAAGACTGTCCTTTGCAGAGTGGGGGAATTCTCTTTTCTTTTCTTTTTTCTTTTTTCTTGACAGGGTCTTGCTCTGTCACCCAGGCTGGAGTGCAGTGGCGAGATCTCGGCTCACTGCAACCTCGACCTCCTGGGCTCAAGCAATCCTCCTGCTTCAGTCTCCTGAGTAGCTGGAACTACAGGTGTGCGCCACCACGCCCAGCTAATTTTTAAAATTTCTTTTGTAGAGGTGGAGTCTCGCTATGTTGCCCAGATTGGTCTTGAACTCCTGAGCTTAAGCAATCCTCCTACCACGGCTTCCCAAAGTGCTGAGATTACAGGTGTTAGCCATTGCACCCAGCCTGAGTGGGAGATTTTTACACCCCTCTCTCAGGAGTTGATAGCAAGTAGGCAAATACTTGGTAATGACAGATTTAAGCAGCATCGTCAAGAAGCTTGACTTGACGGACTCACACAGAAGGCCAAGGGCAGGACTACACGGGGCCGTCATGGAAGCTGACCACATGCTGGGCCATAGAGAGAGACAGCCGCTGTGAAGGCTTGCCGTCTCAGAGACTGTGTTTTCTGACCGACCTCAGTACCAGTTAGAACAATAATGATGATGGCGATAAAATAGTTTGAAATCGCCCTTATCTGCAAAGTAAGGAAGAAGACATCATCATGAACATTAGGAGGGCAGTCCGGTACCTGTCTCACAGGGCAGTTGAGAGACCTAACAGCCGCTATCCAGAAAGCACTTCTTAATTTTTTAATTAATTAATTAATTTTTGAGATGGAGTTTTGCTCTTGTTGCCCAGGTTGGAGTGCAATGGTGTGATCTCAGCTCACTGCAACCTCCACCTTCTGGGTACAAGCGATTCTCCTGCCTCAGCCTCCCTAGTAGCTGGGACTGCAGGATGCGCCACCACGCTCCGCTAATTTTTGTATTTTTAGTAGAGACGGGGTGTCACCATGTTGGCGAGGCTGGTCTCGAACTCCTGACCTCAGGTGATCTACCTGCCTCAGCCTCCCAATGTGCTGAGATTACAGGCGTGAGCCACTGCGCCTGGCCCATATTTTAAAATAATAATAATTATTATTATTTTTGTAGAGACAGGGTCTCCTTATATTACCCAGGCTGGTCTCGAACTCCTGGGCTCAAGCACATAAAGCACTTCTAACAGTGTCTGGCAGGCACTGCGAGAGCCAATGATGGGAGACTCAACCTCCTCCCCCTCCTTCGTGGCTTGTTTTCTGATTCATGTACTTGTTACTTGCTGGGTGCTGTCTGTGGGATCAGTCAGGCACTTGGCTGCCTAGAATTCTGTCCCACTGCACTGTGATGAGCCCAACAGCCAAGATCCCTGCGAGCTCACAGCTCAGGAGGCGGTGCCTAGGGGCTTCGCTGGTCCACAGTGAAGACCTCTGTTGGGCCATCCAGTGGCAGAACAGGGCAGGACAAAGGAGGCCGTGAGTGCAGTGTACAGCACACAGGACTCAGAGACCCCAAACTTGGGGCCGTGTCCTGGCTCTGTCAGTGTGAGGTCTCACCCATGCAGACACTCCGTGGATCCTTGGTTTTCCAGCTGGTGAGATGGGGAAGCCAAGATGACTAAGATGCATGGTGATGAGGAAGTGGTCCCAGGTGCGAGAGCCTGGTCCAGGCCTAAAGACCGTCACGGGAGTGATCTCGACAACTGGTAGGGCGAAGGCACCATGGGACCCAGCATAGAAGAGCAGGTGTCTGCAGGAGGGACAAGTGGAGCTCTGGGGCCTCTTAGGCTGCCTTCTGTGCTGACATCTTTGGTTCTGCCATTGTGGTTTCTGGAATGGGCTGGCAGGCCAGGGGCCAGAGAACGCCCCAGTTTCCTCTGCCCCTCCTCTCCTACCTCTGGAAGGCTCAGGCAGCCAGGGCCGGTGGTCTGAGGCTGCAGCTTCCCGGAGCTCCAAGCCAGCAGCAGACGCTTATCAGCCTGCTGTGGTGCGGGGGCCGAACTCTGCCCAAACGTCTTCCAGATGTGGCCGCAGCTACTCGATAGCCTGGCTCCAGCCGGGGCTCTAGGCCAGCAGGCTCCCGTTAGCCTAGCTGTTAGGAAAACAAAACCCAATGAAGGCCCAAGGGACCCAGCTTCTCGGAAGGGAAGGGAGTGATTGGGCAGAAGCCCTGGCCAGGCCCGGCCACTGGCCCTAAGCTTGGGGTGGTCATGGCCGTCTGCTGGCTCCTCTGGGCTCCTCCTGGGGTGAGCCTGGGCCCCCTGGCTAAAGGGGTTCCCCTGTGTGCAGGATGCAGCTTTTGTCTCTTTTGCTTCTCCACAGTGTGTGCGGGTGGGGGGCGTGGGGTCATGTCCCTATCACCGTAGACAGGATGGCAGCTTGACAACATGGTGCAGTTTGCCGATGAGCCTGAGGGGCCGGTGCACCTCTGCTGCCTTCCTGGCCCAGGGCGGGACTGAACCCAGGCCAGGTTCTCAGTGGGGGGGTGGGTGGGGCTGGGTCCGATGGCCCCGGCAGGATAAGCAGGTGTCACTGCTGGAAGTTTTGGGGACTGAAGGGCCTTACCCAAGGACACACAGCCCCAGGGTGGGTACTCCAGAGCCAGTTCCTTTCTGGCTCATGGCCTGCTCCCGCCTGCGGCCGGTGTGCAGGTCAGCGGGGTCAAGGCTGTCTTCTGTGGTCACTGACTAACTGTTTTTTGCATGTGGACTCGTCAGGGAGGCATAAACCTGCCCTTGCCAAGACAGATATGGAAAAATCCACTCATCCATTCATTTGACAAATATTTGTTAAGTGCCTGCCTACGGCCCGCCAGGCGGAGCGCGGGAACGCGATGCTGATTTAGACACTCCCAGCCTGGGTCGAGCTTCCAGGCTTCATGGGACCACATCCGCCCCTGGCCTGCTGGGCATGGTCTTGGCCTGTGTGATGCAGGCTGGGCCCTGAGCGACGGCTCTCCCGCCACCTCCGTCGTACAAAGGCTGCAGGGGAACGAATGACTAGGTAACTGGGGGTGACCTTGACTCTGTGTGGCTTTAAGACACAAGCCAGCTGTCCAAAAGCTTTGAGCTATGATTGCTGGCAACAATTTGCCTCAATACCCCTCCCAGACCAGGGCAGCTCCCCGCAGGCTGGGGGCCATGGCTGAGAACTGCTGGAGGGACACACGTCCCAGGCACCACCAGTCACCGATGACTGGGCTTTGCACCACTGGAAAACCAGCTGGGGGACTGGTGGGCCCCCAGTGAGCCCTGCTGATGCCACCTTCGCTCTCCCAGCGCCTCCCTCCTCCCCACACTCCTGCCTGGTGGACTTGGCTCCCTCCCGATGGGCAGCAGCCTTCCTGGTCTCTTTCTGCCACTGCCCACCTCTTCATGGAAGCCAGACCCACTGTCAGGCTCCCCCACCTAAAACCCTCACATCCTTAGAACCTGCCCACTGACGCCCACCTTGTGCAGTTCCCAGACAAACCCTGTTAGATCTTTCTCCCTCTCCCTGGGCCACTGGCCCCTTCTCCTTCGGGTCTCCCAGCAGCGCCCGCACTGGGCAGCCTTTCTGACCCAGCGCCTCACTCCCCCAATCCCCCGCGATGGCTCAGTTCTGGGTCTGCCTCCCCCATCAGTCTGTGCACCATCGGAAGGCAGAGCCCAGGTCTGCTGGACTTGTGTGACTCCTTGGGGTTGGGAAAGCTGTGCGGCACATGGAGACACTCAGGAAGGGGCGACGTTTAAACTGGGCCCTGGGACCGAGCCCCCTGTTTCCTGCTGTTTCAGGTCAAGCGTTGGGGCGGCACAGCAAGACCAGGGCAGAGCTGGTGATATGACACAGGGCACGATTCACCCGAGATGGTTGGAGGGGAAGGGTCACCCGTCAGTACTTTCACACGCAAGGCCACGCCACGAGGCCAGCCTGTGTCTGCCTCCCAAGTCCTGCTCATGGGCTCAGTCGGCCACAAATCCTCCCCCTTGAGGGAGGGCAGGAGAAAAGCCCAGCAAAGCCACATTTTTCCTCCACCTTTGGCCACAGGTGACCATGAACACAGGACAGACACACCCCAGACTCAGTCTGTCTCCCTGTCCTGGGACAGAAGCCGGCAATGGACACACAGTCTCCTGCTGGCACCGTTCTCTCCACGTGGGCAGTGGTGGCTTTCTTGCTGCCCCAGTGGGAAGGGTGCAGCAGGTCTGGGGAGGTGCAGGGCACAGGGGCATGGCCAGACTCAGAACCATGGAATGACAAAGCCATCATAGACACGGCCCGAGGGTCGGGCATCTGCAGGCTCGCACGGTTCAGTCCACTTTGCTTTTCTAGCTTCAGTCTCCAACCTGCCTCTTCCAGGCAGCCTTCCTTCCTTACTTTCTTCATCCATAATTCTTGGGCACTTGGTATGAAGCAATTTGTTTCCTTGGCAAATGTGGGTATTTGGTTCCTTAACTGCAGTGAATACTCCCTGATGGTAAGGATAGAGACCCCTCTTAAATTCTAGAGATTTGGTTGGGCACGGTGGCTCACACCTGTAATCCCAGCACTTTGGGAGGCTGAGGCTGGTGGATCATGAGATCAGGAGTTCGAGACCAGCCAACATAGTGAAACCCCGTCTTTACTAAAAATACAAAAATTAGCCGGGCATGGTGGCGCACACCTGTAGTCCCACCTACTTGAGAGGCTGAGGCAGGAGAATCACTTGAACCTGGGAGGCAGAGGTTGTGGTGGAGCCGAGACTGCGCCACTGCACTCCAGCCTGGGCAACAGAGTGAGACTCAGTCTCAAAAAAAAAAAAAAAAAAATTCTAGAGATTCATTGTTTTGCCCTTGACCAATAATAATGAAAATAATAATGATTGCCATTAAAAGAAGTATTTTAAAAAATACTGTGCTGGATGCTTTATAATAAATGTGTCATTTAATCTTAACAACATCCATATGAGGCAGGCACTATTATAAAAGGGGAAACCAAGGCCAAGAGAATGCAGGGAACTTGCCTGAGCTCATAGAGGGAGAGCTGGGGTCCTGACCCCCACCTGCCCCATCTGCTTCCTGCCTCTTCTGCCTTTTAAACTCCCTGACACCTTTCCAGCCAGCCAGCCTCTGACTTAATTTACTCAAAGGGGCCCGCGTGGTCGGCGGGGTGAGGCTGCTGTTCCCATTCACAGGTGGGGAATCTGGATGCAGAGATGGGCAGAAATGGCCCCAAGGTCACCTGGCCATGGAGAGGTGGCCTGGCAGGGGGCCCCAGGGCTGCAAGCACTCTCTGCTGCCTCTAACCACCTTAGGCAGCTTGCTTTGGTAACAAGCTAACCGGCAAAGAGATTTACACCCCGGGGCTTCCTGCCGACTCTGCAGAAACATCCCTTGCCCACCCCTCCTCCACATCCTCCTAGCCAAGCCCCTGCGGCTGAGACCAGGGTGAATTCCTTTCCCGGCGTCCAGCGTGCTTGCCCTAACTACAATCCCAGCCCCGAGAGCGGGACAGTCTATGAAGTAGATGGGGAGCTGTAAAGCCTTTTTAAAAGGGGCAATAAAAGTTTTGGGTTTCAGATCGTCTTACTGGAGAAGAGAATAACAGAGACAGGAAATTTCAGTAGCAGACACGACAAAGGCCACAGCACACAGACTGCCCTTAGACAAAAACGCCTCCGCTTGTGCAAACAGAGGACGGCCTGGCAGGGGGCACTGCCCCGTGCCATGCCAGCCTCACACGAGCTGCCGGGAGCTGGAGGTGGCTGCTACAATAGCCTGTTTTGTTTACATTGCTGTTGAGTGTTTAGAATACGTCTCCGCGTTGGTGCTGCCTGAGGTGTGCAGCACTCTCCCCTGAGCTGGGCTCCTGCTATGTGTGCCAGGAGGGGGTGTGGTGTGTGCCCCAGCACGGGGCACAGGCGTGGGCAGGTCGGGGCCGGAGTGTGGGGCTGGGGCGTGGCTGACCCTGGCACTGGGATGGGTGGGGCCCAGGCTGCTTCTGCTCCCAGGCTCGGGGAGGCTGTTGCTGGGTGTGTGCCCACCCATCCCCCCAGAGTGGGAAATGATCCAGCTGTGGGAGCACATGGTCATTCAGTCACCAAGAGTCCTCAGAGCTGTCCCATCCCTTTTGTTTCCAGCAGATGCACCGTCCTATGCAGTAACCACCAGCCACATGGACAGGGCTGCCTGATCAAACAGAACACTCTGGGATAAACTCGATTTCAGATACACGATGAATCATTTTTTGGTATAGGCGTGTCTCACGCAAGTGTCTCTCCAATAGCTCCCGGGGCACGCTTATGCTGCATGATCGTCTGCTATAGATCTGAAATTGAAACGCAACTGGGCGTCCTGTATTTCATCGGCAACGCCACCCATGTGACTTTTTTTTTGGTATTTTTAGTAGAGACGGGGTTTCACCGTGTTAGCCAGGATGGTCTTGATCTCCTGACCTCGTGATCCGCGCACCTCGGCCTCCCAAAGTGCTTGGATTACAGGCGTGAACCTCCGCACCTGGCCGGACCCATGTGACTATTCGAACTTAAATTATTTAAAATGAGGATAACATTTAAAGATCCAGGTTTGGGGTTGTACCAGCTACGTTGCAGATGCCCAGGCACCAGGCGTGTTGGGCAGCCCAGAGCATCCCCACTGCTAAAGCAAGTCCTCTTGGCCAGTGCTAGCTGGGGACTCCTAGTGACATCTAGAACTACTTTTCCAAGAACTGAACTCACAGTCCCCAGGTCTCCCGATCAGGGCTGGGGAGAGGGAGTTCTGGCTGGGGCGGCCTTGGAGGCCCTTTCTCAGATTCCAGGGACACGACGCCCTCGGGGCTGGCAGACATAGGGATTCAGAGGTGTTTGCATCTGCAGGCCATAATGTTTCTTTCTTGTTAACTTGCAGCGTTGGGGTGACCATTCTGGGTGTCAAGGGAGCAGGGTGGCCCCTCCCGGGTGCTCCCTACCTGGCTCCCTGGTCAGAGCCCCCAAGATGTCAAAGTGGGCCGTGGTGCCTGAGGCCATGGGAGGGAGACACAGCTGGGGGGACTGGCAAGACCCTGGCACCGTCTCCCACCCAGCAGCCACTGTCCCGAGCTGTCTGACGTCCCTGGCCCTCGGAGTCCTTATTGGCAAAGTGGGCTCAGGACTGTGTCCTGGGGCCCCCGAGGGGTCGCCTGTGAAGGGGAGGGGCCTGCCCCTGTCGGGAGGGTCGAGGCTGGGCCTGGAGCCCGGGATCCTGCAGTGGTGGGCAGGGACTGAGGGCTGGAGCGCGCCTCCTAATTGTCCGTGACTTACAGACTTGGCCAGGCTCTGGGCGGCCTTCGTAAATCGCTGCAGTGAGGAGCCTGCCAGTGTGGCCCTTCGCGCTTGGCAGGGCCCTCGTCGCCGCCCTGCTCGGAGTGGCCTGCCGCCTCCAACTTTCCATGTGCTGCTGCTGCGAAGCGGGAAAGGGGGGTGCTGGCTGCTTGCTGTGGTGGGGAGGGAGGTGGGGCGGCCACCGTGCAGGTGCCTGCTTCTGCAGGGATGTCCAGGGCTCTCCAGCTACGGGGTCCCCAGAGCCTGTCCCCTACAAAGCCTGGTGTGAGGCTTATGTGGTCTCCACACGGGGCCAGAGGGGAAGACGCTGATTCAAGGACACCCCGTCTTTTCACAGTGCATGTAGCGTGTGTGGGTGTGTGGTGTATGAAGTGTGTACATGTGTGCACGTGCGTGTGTGTATGTGTGGTGTGTATGTGTAGTTTATGGAGGGTGTATGTGTGTGCACATGCGTGTGTGTATGTGTGGTGTATGGAGTGTGTATATATGTGCACGTGTGTATGTGTGGTGTATGGCATGTGTACATGTGTGCACGTGTATGTGTGGTGTGTGTGTGGTGTATGGAGTGTGCATATGTGTGCACATATGTGTGTGTATGTGTGGTGTATGGAGTGTGTACATTTGTGCACGTGTGTGTGGTGTGTGTGGTGTATGGAGTGTGTATATGTGTGCACATGTGTATGTGTGGTCTATGGAGCGTGTACGTGTGTGCATGTGCATGTGTGTATGTGTGGTGTGTGGTGTATGGAGTGTGTATATATGTGCACGTGTGTGTATGTGATGTATGGAGTGTGTACATGCATGCATGTGCATGTATGTGTGGTGTATGGAGTGTGTATATGTGTGCACGTGCATGTGTGTATGTGTGGTGTATGGAGTGTTTATATGTGTGCACGTGCATGTGTGTATGTGTGGTTTATGGAGTGTGTATGTGTGTGCATGCATGTGTACGTATGTGTGGTGTGTGTGGTGTATGGAATGTATACATGTGTGCACGTGCATGTATGTGTGGTGTGTTTATGGTGTATGGAGTGCATACATGTGTGCACATGTGTGTATGTGTGGTGTGTGGTGTATGCAGTGTGTACATGTGTGCACGTGTGTGTAGGTGTGTGTGGTGTATGGAGTGCGTACATGTGTGCACGTGCATGTGTGGTGTGTGTATGTATGGAGTGCATACATGGGTGCACTTGCGTGTATGTGTAGTGTGTGTGGTGTATGCAGTGTGCACATGTGTGTACGTGTGGTGTGTGGAGTGCGTGCATGTGTGCACATGCGTGTATGTGTGGTGTATGGAGTGCGTACATGTGTGCACATGTGTGTATGTGTGGTGTGTGGTGTATGGAGTGTGTACATGTGTGCACGTGCATGTGTGTATGTGTGGTGTGTGTGCAGGCATGTGTGCACCTCCTCAGGTGGACTGGAAGCGTACAGAGGCAGTGCCATGCCTGTCCCTCAACCCCAGGTCAGGGCTTAGAAGTTGGGTGTCTTCAGCCCTATGATGGGGACACGTAGGACATGTTCCAGTTCCCCTGCTGGGTGGATGGGCTTGGAGCCCTGGATGCTGGAGCCTTGGCTTGCTCATACCCTGAGAGCTGGGGAGAGGGCGCCAGCCTTGGGCTGCTCTGCATTCAAAGACTCCGGGGCCAGGAAAGGGCTGAGCTTGGCTGTCCTCTATGCCTGCCCTTCAAGGCCAGGAGGGACGCCAGGTGAGGAAGGGGCAGGCCAGGGCCCCTGAGACTTGGGGGATGCCAGGCCATCAGGGAGGGCAGCAGATGGGGCCACCAGGCCAGGGTGTCAGAGCGACCGTATGGGGGAGGGGCCTAGAGGGCCACCCTGTCCCCAGCCCAGGAGCGGAGCCAGCTATCTCCCAGCCCTGGAGGCAACAGGGGGTGACTCTAGGACAAATAACCGCCCTCTTTCCATGGGCAGTGGACCTGGGCAACCACTCCCAAGCCGGTGGCACCGTCTGGAAACACAAACAGGCCCCAGACAGGTGTAGGTAACTTCCTGCCTGACAGATGGGCCTGGAATCGCTGGGTGCCGGGGGACGCAGGTTGTGAGGTGATGTCTGGGACCTGCTGCCACCACCCCCGCAGTCCTTCACAGACAGCACCGCCCATCACGCAGCAGGGAGGCCCAGCCGAGGGAGCCCGGCATTTGGGCCCTGCAGCCTCTGCTCACGGGCACTGCACCCAAACCCATCACCTTTCCACGCTGGGGACGGCGTGCAGGGCTAAAAGCCAGCATGCGGGTGCTGAGGGCCAGAAGCGGAGCTCACACCTCCCACACCAACCACTCTAGAGGGGCAGCCCCCGCTCTGGGCCCTGAACAAGCGGCTGGGGTGGGAGGGATGACGCTTGGCTGAGTCTTGTTTTAAGGGTTAGGACGTATATAAAGTGTCTGGGGTGCAGTGAGGTTGATACATTGAGGCACTTCTTATTGGTTATAATGAAAACTGCTTGATTCAGGGACCCAGCGGGAGGGGTGGGGCCAGAGTGGGCTGGGCCAGGGATCCAGCTGGCCCCGCTGGCCCCAGCTTCCTAAATGGGGTCGCTCGGAGCCTGAGGACACAGGACAGAGATGGTGATAGCAGTTTCCAGGAGAAAACTGAAGACATGGAAGCCCCCCCTGTCATGGCTGGCACCCGGCTGGGACTCCTGGGCTCCTGGCCAGCAGTGGGGTGGGCAGACGCCAGACCTAGGGCTCCACCAGACATGCCAGTGGGTTGTGACAAGGCCTGGGAGGAGAACATTCTTATCTTTCCAGCTTGGTCCTGCGCACCCCGTCACAAGGGAATAAGCAGTTTCTTTTTTTTTTTTTTTTTTTTTTTTTTTTTTTTTTTTTTTTTTTTTTTTTTTTGAGACGGAGTCTCGCTCTGTCGCCCAGGCTGGAGTGCAGTGGCGCGATCTCGGCTCACTGCAAGCTCCGCCTCCCGGGTTCACGCCATTCTCCTGCCTCAGCCTCCCGAGTAGCTGGGACTACAGGCGCCCGCTACCACGCCCGGCTAATTTTTTGTATTTTTAGTAGAGACGGGGTTTCACCGTGTTAGCCAGGATGGTCTCGATCTCCTGACCTCGTGATCCGCCCGCCTCGGCCTCCCAAAGTGCTGGGATTACAGGCGTGAGCCACCGCGCCCGGCAAGCAGTTTCTTAAGAAGCATTTAGTGCAGCATGGTGGGCCCTTCACAGACCCCCGGGAACCTCTCAGGGTGTGGAAGAGATGTTTCTCCTGGATGCTCCAGGGCAGGGAAGGACAGCAGGAGCTGCAGGAGGAGAAACTGTCTGGGACTCTGGCCAAGTGTGAGCTGGGGAGGGCAGGGGCTCAGAGCCGGGCTGGGCGCAGCATCAGACACAAGCACAGCACAGGGTGGAGCAGTCCAGCTTGGCCGGGGTCCCCGGGGATCCAGCCTTCTTGTTGACCTTGGGCAGCAGCAGAACAAAGGACATAGCCAGGGCACAGTGGTAGAAGCTGTGGACATAAGTGTAGTCCCAGTCCTGCGGGGGGCAAGCGGTCAGTCTGGGGCCTCAGCCCCCTCCCCGAGGCTCCTCCCTCTCCAAGACCCAGCAGAGCCCCTTCAGGCCCCCGCCTCTGCCAGGGCACTGGGACACCTGCAGGAAGCCTCCCCCACGGTCGCGCTCACAGTGGTTTTTCTCTCCACCTAAACCCAGAGCAGTGAGGGCCTGTGCCATCCTCCAGGCTGCACTCCTTCCTTCTTCCCCATCCCCTCTCTCTGCTGTCCTTCTCTTCCTCCATCCTTCTCTCCCTCCTACCCTCCCTCCCTCCATCTCCCCCTCTTTTCTCTCCTTATCCCTCTTCCCCTGTTCCTCCCTCCCTCCTCCACTTTCTCCCTCCTTCCTTCCCTGTCTCCTCCCCTCCCTCCCTCCCTCCTCCAGGTGTTGGGCACCTGCCCCAGGCGTCTCCCAGGCTGTGCTGCCGTCTGAGATGCCAGCTGTCTGTAGGCAGCCAGCTTTGGTCTCTGTGACCTCCAGGTCCACACAGGCCATGGTGCTGGTGGTGCTGGGGACGGCATTGCCCCCGACATAGCCCTGGGAGGGGCTAGTGAGCAGGGACTAATACCAGACTTTGGCCTGGGGCTGTCAGAGTCCCCCCAGCGTGGGCACAGCCCTGGTATCCCAGCTGAGCAGAGCCATGCCGAGTGGGCTCTGGGGCACAGGACACCTCCCCGCTGGGCTTGGTACCTCAAAGAAGAAGCGTAGCATCAGGGCCAGCGCCCCGAAGCAGAGGCCGGGGCCTATCTGCTGGGTGTAGACGCTCTTGTCTGGGTACAGGCCCTTCTTCTCCTTCATCTTCTGTAGCTGTGAGGACAGGAGGCCACAGCAAAGCTTTTAGGTCACAGCACTGGGGAACGCCCCTCCCCAAACCAGCCCGAGAGCTGGCCCTGCACAGGCTCACCCCAGCCCTCTCCCGGCAGGAGAGGAGGCTCAGGAGCCTCCTGCCGCACCCAGCCTCAGATGGCTTCTGCTGGACAGGGCCCTTCACGGTGCGACCCAGCAGAGACCCCAGCCTGGATGGCTGGGAAGGAAGCCACTGGGCCATGTGCCCCACAAAGACCCCGCTGCCCTCCCGCCTCTTTGAGATGTAACAACGCCACCCTCGCATGTCTCCTCCTCCCTGGAGGGGAGCTCTGGGGGGACTAGACTCCATGATTGCTTACCAAGGAAAGTACTGGAGTACTTGGGACCTGCCAGCCCAGTGTGGCCCATGGGGATGGCACTTGTGGTGATCCCTGAGCCATGGACAAGCATCGTTTGCTTTCCTAGTTAAAGGACCTATCTCACTCTTCATTAGACAAACTTGGCCAGCACTGCTTCTCAGGTCCCAGTGCTTAGGAAGGCTCGCGTGGGCGTTTCCACTTACAGAGGGGTTTGCATTCCGAGGAAGATGCGGGAAGTGTGGGGCCACATCCCTGGAGCCGGCCTTGTGTTTTCTAGGCCACTTCACATGGAGTCTATTTGGGATTTTCAAGGGCAGTTGTTTCCTGGAATGAGGGTGGATTTTTCTCCCTGAGCCTGGTCCCCTCTTGGGAGGGGCTGGGGAACGACAGCCTTGTTGGGGAGGAAGGAGGGAGGGTTGGGTGATGGCGGCCTCGGAGTGGGGCCAGACCCGTGGGGGTACACTCAGGAGGCTATAGATTTCAGTGGAATCAACTGTTAGACACACAGCGTGTGGCACAAGCCCCTGGGGGTGGGGGCAGCACCCCATAACTGCACCCATTGCTGAGTGGCCTATGCAAAGAGCACAAAGAGCCTTATGCTGGGTCAGGTCAGGTTTTGCCACCCAGTGAATTATGAATTGATGCCCGGCTTTCCATTTTCTGGAATTCCATTGCCAACAAGGAATTGAGCACCTGCAGTCCTGCAGTGGCCTGAAGACAGCTGGACCGTGTGACCCTGGGTGCGGTGGTCAAGGCTGCCAGCCCACCTCTGGCCAGCCCTGCAGTAGTAACACCAGGGAGAAGAGAGGTGCCTGCCCCAGGTCACACAGTGGGCCTGGCACTATTGAAAGGGCGCCATCACCCAACCCTCCCTCCTTCTTCCTCCCGGGCTGCCATTGCCCAACCCCTCCCAAGAGGGGACGAGGCTCAGGGAGAAAAATCCACCCTCATTCCAGGAAACAATTGCCCTTGAAAATCCTAAATAAACTCCATACTAAATGGTCTAGAAGACAACAATTTGAGCCCCAGATGCGGGGAGGCGGGCAGCCCATCCTCGGCTCCTGTGGCTGGATCTGCAGCCTGAGGGCCTTGGCAGTCTCGTGGCTCTTGGTGGGAAACACAGCAGTGAATTCTCTTCTGGGCAATTACAGTTCAGCCCAGTTCAGACCTGGCCAAGACCAGCGGGAGGAGCAACCTTCAGGGGCAGAAGGAGGCGAGAGGCGGGTGGCCAGGACCCAGGGCCCCAGCACGCTCCTTCCTGCCACCCACCTTGGTCCAGCCCACTTATGCCCAGCGCTCCCTCTCTCCCCACCAGGTGACTCCCAGGGGCCTCCTGGGTCAGCCCAGGATTAGTGCTGCTTCCTCAGGTTGCAGACAGAAAGCAGGTCCTCTGTCTCCTGCTCAAAAAGTCAAGTCCAGCCAGGCGTGGTGGCTCATGCCTGTAATTCCAGCACTTTGGGAGACTGAGGCAGGCAGATTACCTGAAGTCAGGAGCTCAGGACCAGCCGGGCCAACGTGGTGAAACCCCATCGCTACTAAAAATATAAAAATTACCTGGGCGTGATGGCATGCGCCTATAATCCCAGCTACTCGGGAGGCTGAGACAGGAGAATCGCTTCAACCCGGGAGGCGGAGGTTGCAGTGAGCCAAGATGGCGCCATTGCACTCCAGCCTGGGTGACAAGAGCAAAACTCCGTCTCAAAAAAAAAAAAAAAAAAGTCAGGTTCTGGCCCCGCCACTGCCCTGCCATGACGTCCTGTTAAGTTGCTGAGGCCTCCATGCTTTGGTTCCTTCATAGGCCAAATGGCAAATCAGTCCCATGCTCCTTGGCTGTGGGGAGGATTGGGACGGGCTTTGCAAGCTGCCCACCAGAACTCGAGCGCTCTCCCCACAGCCGTGGGCCCTCCTGCACTGAGAGCTGCCCTCTGTCTTGCTGGGTGTCCTGCGGCTCTGGCCGGGGCTGGCAGTGTGGCTGGGCTGGACCAGGCCAGGTCCTCTCTTGGCACTTGAAACTGACCCTGAGACTTCAGGTCCACTCCAAAGAGGTGAAATGCAGCACAGGGATGTTCAGGCGGTGCCTGGGCTGCTGCAGGCCTGGAGAGCAGGCTCAGGCTGAAGCCTGCTGGCTCCCCAGGTCTGGGAGACCCTTGCAAGGGTGAGCTCCCTCCTGCTCTGGGGTCCCAGGAGATGCCCCGGGTCTATTTTTCCCTAAGATCCCTCTTTAGCTTGGGCGAGTTTGAGTGGGGTTTGGTCCCTGAGCCAGGAGGGTCTTGGTAGGACGGAGAGAGCAGGGAGCACTGAAGACCACGTGAGGGCCTTGCTGCTCTGCAAGGGGCTGTCTGTGCTAGAAGGTCTGGCCCAGGCTGCCTCACTGTCATACCACACTCTCCCTCCTGGCTAGAACCAAGCTCGAGGCTCACTCCCTCCAGGAAGTCTTCCCAGATTACCCCAGGCCATTTTCCAAGTTGATGTTGCATCTCTAAAGCAGCTGGTAGTAAGAGCGGTGATGAGAGTGATAACAAATAGCTCTTATGTGCGGAGCACATTGGAAGCCAGGCTCCATGCCAGGACTTCAGGTGCCTGATCTCAGTGAGTCTTTGAACCACCCCATGAGACAGGCAGGGGGCTGTAATGACAACACCTGCTTTACAGGTACGGGCGTGGAGGTGAGACATTGGGTAACTTGGGCTCAGTCTGGAGCTGGTGAGTACAGACAAGCGTCACACACAGTCTACACAGCCGGAGCACCTCATGGCTATTTTCTACGTGGTTTTGCTGAATTCCTGCATCCACCCATTTGCCTATGAGGGCAGGAGGTAAATGAAGATCCGAGGCAGGAGGAGTCAGACAGGGGAGAGGTGACGGGCCTCCTGGGTCCCCGTTCATCGAGGCTCGCGCAGTACGCACCCACTTTGCCGCGATGATGAGGATGGCTGTGCCGATGGGGCCCGAGTACACCCCGTAGCCCCATCGGTCATGGTAGATCCGCACAGCAATGGTCAGGACGCCGAACATCACAAATGTTGACCTCTTGGGTTCGTCGAAGTCGGCCAGTGCTGGAGGGGCCAGGGAGACACAGGGGGAGGTGAGTGGTCTCTCTTGCTCCTCCTGGCTACCCCCCCACCCCCCAGCCCCCAGGAGGCATCCTGTAGATGCCCTCTCTCGGTGTCCCCTCAGCCAGCGAGACCCTGAGGCCCAGCCTGGTCATGGAGGGGTCTGAATTCCAGCCAGTTTGAGAGGACAGGCAGCCTGCTGCTTCCCCATGGACACAGCAGCTTGGATTGTGCTCCCAGCACCTCATTTTAATAAACAGACCACAGCTGGTTGTGGTGGCTCAGGTCTGCAATCCCAGTGCTTTGGGAGGCAGAGGCAGGAGGATCGTCTGAGACCAGGAGTTCAAGACTAGCCTGGGCAACATAGCGGGACCCCCATCTCCACAAAAAATTCGGTGGGTGTCGTGGTGCATGCCTGTCATCCCAGCTACTTGGGAGGCTGAGGTGGGAGGATGGCTTGAGGCTGTGAGTTCGAGGCTGCAGTGAGCCGTGTTTGTGCCACTGTACTCTGGCCTGAGTGACAGAGTGAGACCCTGTGGCTAAAAATCAATAATCACTATGCAAAGTGAATAGGATCGAATCTATCCCATAGGATCACAGGACAAAGACACTAAGATTCAAGAGAAGAAATGAAGCCCCTCACAGGCCCGGTTAGATGGCAAGGAGCCTCAGGTCATGGGGACCTTGCCACAGACAACAGTTACGTGGAAAAAAACATGGTGGGAAAGGGGGCTTATGAACAGTCCCGTCTTCCAGGCTGGATATCACCCGTGTGTGTGGATGTTTGTATGACAGTCTGGGAAGCCAACCCCCCTGAGCAGTGAACAGCGGTCCTCCCAGGGAAGGAGTGACGGGAGGGAGCCCTTTCACTTTTTCCTTTGTATGCCTCTGCTGTTGAAATGTGTCACAACAAGCTTTTACTAAATGAGTCATTTTAAAAGGATATAAAAAATCGGCATCAGGGCATTTAAGAGGTGCATATTCTTTTTCATAGATTAAGCACAACCCTGAAACCCAGACAAGGGAAGACATTCCTGGGGCTGGGAGTGAGTGGGGATAGAGGGCTGCAGCGGGACTGGTTTGAGGCTGGGTGTGCGGACACTGGGGAGCCGGTCCTTGTCCGCAAGGCTTGTCTGCAGGGGTTGACCACTCACCCATCAGCGAGACCCACATGCTCAGGGCTGTCCCGTAGACACTGAAATACTCCAGGATGTCGTGACGCATGAAGCACAGCACAGACAAGCCGGGTCCATTGCAGGCATGGTGGAGCTGCCAGAAAACCCACAGGTGGTCACAGCACAAAGAGGCCAGAGCTGGTCCCCGAGCCACGGCCCCCAGAGTGCCAGGTCACTTGCTGGCTGTGAGAAGTCACTTTGGCGAGTCACTTAATGACTGTGTGCCTCAGTCTCCCCGTCTGAAAAATGGGGGTACTGCCGAGCACTCCCGCAGAGGGTCCTGTGGGGATTAAGTGGCACATGCCAGCGAGGTGTTTAGGGGCTGGGGTGTGCCAAGGGTTCACTCAATGTCACCTCAGCAGAATTCGCTCATCTGCACTGGCAGGACTGGGCGGAGACTGAGTGGTCACTCAGGTGAAGCCCGCTTAGGTGGGGCGGTCTCCGGGAGGGACCCTACACGGCTCTCCCCGGACCTTCAGCATCTGTGCTTCCTTGAAGCACACAGCTGCGTGTTCACTCGCCAATCTTTGGATGTGAGGTCAGAGCCTCTCTGGGGGCTCCTTTGCTCTTTGGGGGCTCCTGGGGCCTTCTCTTGCACAAATTACCCCTCTGATGACTGGTCTACACTGCAGCAGCGTTCTCAGGCTTGAGTGGGCATCAGAACGCCTGGGGCCTTGTTTAGACACAGGTTACTGAGCCCTGCCTAGGGTTGCTGATTAGGGAGGGCTGGGTTGGGTAGAAAATGTGCATTTTGAACACATTCCCTGTGGCACTGCTGAGGCTGGCAGGGCCCACACTGAGAGCCGGGCTGTAGCTCCTGGTTTCTGTTGCCTTAACGTGGACGAAGATCTCTGAGACCCCCTTGCAGAAGCTGAACACAGCCCCCTAGGCTCATCCATCTCTGCCCTATACTCTCGTCGTCGCCTCCCCAACACCCACTTTCATGGCAATTTTTAAGGCAAAAGGCTTATAGGGAGTGTTTTCAAAGCAGTCAACTACTTTTCTACGGAAAACAACTCTCTCTCCTTTTGCATTCGCATTTCATCATTTTAGGTAATATTTAATTACATGACATAATTATTTTGACAGGTTCAACTGGCACAAACAAGCTTGGGAAACAGCACGGTGGACTCTTGGTCAGCCCAGCTCAGCGGGAGGAGCAGGCGTGCTGGAAAGCAGCCCGTGTCTGGAGGCGACAGGGACAGCACAGAGGGAGCGGGGGCCCTGGGTGATCTGGGGGGCAGGCAATTCGGGGTCAAAGTGGAGTGCTTCTACTGATGGCAATTGTACACGGCCTAAAGTGACGGTGCACCTAGGAGGCATTAATAGGGATCCAGCATCTAAAATGAGGGAGGCGGCGGTCCTGCTTCTCTCTGTTCTTGTCAGGCTCATCCAGAAGACTATGCCGAGCTCTGTGTGGTGCACCTTTCTTGAAGTGAGACTGGGAAAGACGCGGCTAGAGGAGGGTGACCAGCGGTGGACATGACTGTTTACCTTGGGGACAGGGAAGCTTCAGGAGGGGCCTGATCAAGGTGCTTACACCTCTGTGGGAAAGAGGAGCGAGGAAGACTCCGGCCCTAGGCTGTTCTCCTGTTCTCCTGGCTTCTTCCCATCCCCCACCCCAGCCCCATCACCTGCTGTCTGTGTGCCTCAATGTAGCACAGATGGTCATGTGTGATTAAGGCATTCACTGTGAGATTGTGATAAGGCCTGTGCCCTTGCCCTGCCAGGAGCAGGAATGGCTCTGTCTGGTCCCAGTTGCATGGACGGCTCCCAGCATAGAGTGCTTGCTGCATGTGTTCAGGGAGGGGGACGCCAGGCTCTGAGAATTCTAAAGGACAGCCAGCTCACCCTGGGGACCCAGAGCCTCTGCCACTAGGCCCTTGGCTCCTCCCAATGGTGGGAACTTAGCTCCATTCGACAGATGGGGAAAGTGAACTTCAGAGCAGCACTGCCTGCCCAAAGAGGTGAAACAGAGCAGTGCTTGGCACCTGGCCACTTCCTCCCATCCTGCAGTGCAGGGGGCAGACCTGGCCCAGCCGGGGCACTGGTGGGGTGGGTGCGGCTGAGGGCCTGGGGGGTCAGAGCTCAGGCTCGGGGAGTCTGACTTTGCAGATGTTCCCAGTGGGGGCTCAGGTGAGTGGCTGTCGGGGGGGGGCCTCCTCTGTTGTGTGGGGACAAGCACACTGTCTCCGTGGGGTTTGCACCCATAGCAAGGTGTCCGGCACAGAGATGGAGATTGTCACGGGAGGGGCCTGATTGGAAGGGAAGGGACGCCATGCGGGTGGCAGAACTTTGGGAGGGACTGAGTGTGGCTTTGAGTTCAGAAGACGTTTGTCACAAGAGGCAGCTGCCCCTGCCACTCTGGGTGGGGCAGGGTGGGGCCTCTGAGACCAGTGCAGAGGCAGCTGCGGGGCCAGCCTAGGCCCAGGCAGGGAGGTGTGGCCTGGTGGGTGCTTGTGGTTTGCTGGGCTAGGTCTAACAGGAGCCTTGAGAACAAGACCTCAGCTTTTCTCCCTGCGCTAAGGCCATGGGACCTGCAGAGAAATCCTGGCTCTGCTCTGGGCTTCAGTCTCTCATCTGCCCAAGAGGCTTCCTAGCCCTAGCCCAGGCTGGAGTCCCAGAGGAGCGAATGCAGTGGCATTTGGGTGAGTCAGGAGCTCTGGAGAGCTTGATGGTCACAGTGACACAAGTGACTCTGTCTCTCTGGGATTTGGTTTCTTCATCTGCCAAATGGGAATCAAGATCCTAGGCTTGTGGGGAAGGTGAAAAGGCTGAATCAGACACTGTGCACAGAGCGCCTAGCCGAGTCCTCTGCCCTGGGTACTGGCGCTCGAGGTGGACTCAGAAGCTCCAGGGCATCTGGTTCCACAAAGGACCCAGCCTGTCCCAGGCCACTGTCACCCCTGGGAGTGGCACACACTGGAGGGAATGCCTCGCTCCCAGCCCACACGTGCACACTCAGCTTCTGCCATTGCGGGCAAAATTGGACTTGACCAATTCAGGATACAAGCATAACATGTGAATATATGCTTGCAAACACACGTGTGAGCTCACGGGCCTCACCCGCTCAGGACTCCCTCTGTGCACTCACATGCACTTGGCATTCTTGCCCATAGAGGCCCTGCTGCTGGAGAAGGAGGCTGTCTGGGGAGAGGAGGTGGAGTTTTCACAGGTTGGGCCCAGCACTGCCCCAAGAAGGAGGCTAGTGGGACGCTTGCCTCCCCAGAGCAGGTGTCATGCTGGGGATTGGGCTGTCAGTGAAGGAGGGGTGTGATGGAAGGTGAGCAAGGAAGGCTTCGGGAGAGCAAGAGGTGGGGCACCACTTGTGGGAGTCCAGGAGTGAGGGCATGTTAGTGGAGAAAGTCGGAAAGACCCAGAGGCAAGAAGGCAGGGGGTACCGAGACATATAAATGATGGCTGAATGGCGAGATGGTAATAGACGAATAGATCACAGGTAGATGGATGCGTAGATAGAGAGATAGATGGAGAGAGAGAGAGAGAGAGAGAGAGAGAGAGAGAGAGACAAGCTGGAGAAGGTGGATAGCTAAAGCCAGAGAGACACATGGAGAGTCAGGGGACTAAAACCAGGGAGGGTGGGACCAAGAGCTTTAGAGAGAGTGAATTCCATGGGGATCGAGTTCCAGAAATCAAAAGAGAACCAGACAGAGAGAGAAAGGAAAAAAAGAGAAACAGAGAAAACTAGACACAGAAAACCAATACGAGAAACACAGAGTGAAAGAGACCCAGAAAGAGAGAGAGAGAAGACAGGGGAGACAGGGGTCCCAGAAACAGCGACCTCAGAAACAAGGACAGATGGGGTTCTGGGCGCTCCACTGAAAGCCGGATAAGATCACCCAATGACAGGTACCAGGAAACAGAGAGCAGGAGAGAGCCAGAGAGAGAGCAAGCGGAGACAGTCAGCCAGCCAGACACATAAATAGAAAGAGAAAGACGGACCCACAGAGAGAGAAGTAGGCCCCAGAAGAGGGAGAGACCAGCAGGCCCTCCTGAACCAGAGCAGCTCCAGGATTCTGGAATCAGACTCACTCACCCAGGCCTTCACACTCCCTGAACCCTGCAGACCCCTTCCCAGGCCTGGCTTGCCCCACTCATCTCTGCTCCATCGTGGCCTATGGGTAGAGCTCGAAGAGAGGTGGGGAGGGGAGGTGGCCCCATGGGCAGCCGTGGGGGCTTTGATTAGCAGCTGAGAAAAGGGGCACGCTGGAAGGGTTTATCCTCAACTCAATGGCCCTGCTTCACCCCAGGCTTGGTCTCACACAGGCAGTGATCCCAGAGCAACTTCCTGGCACAGATGGGAAAACTGAGGTCCAGATAGGGGAAGGGACTCCCCTAGTCCTCTCTCTTCAGTCTCCAGACCCCACCTGGGCCTGCTGTTTCATTTTCAAATCACTTCTGCTCATCACCCAATACAAGAACGCTGTGGACAGAGAGCCTCTCCTCTACCTCCAGGATGGGGCCTGTGTGGGACTTCCTCCCAGCCCCCAGACTCACCGCCACGAAGAACAGGGTGAAGAGGTAGACCATGGCCTCCATGTGGAACCGCCTCTTGGCCGCGATGCTGACAGTGGGGAGGAAGGCCAGGCTGCTGAGGGTGGGCAGGAGCAGCTTGGCCACCAGCGTCCCCATGGGCCAGGAGGAAAGCACTGGCTGGGGTGGGGAGGGTGCTGGTGTCCCAGGTCCCCAGCACAGGAGCACGAAGTGGGAAGGCCAGCTCCCTTTGGGCAGGGCTCTGATGGCAGCTGCGGGGAGCACCCACAAGAGGGTTTAAATGCCCTTGACGGAGGCGGGGATGTGCGTGCACGTGTCGAGTAACACACGGAGAGGGCCAACAGCTGACATGCCACGTGACCAGCATTTGTCTCTGATTTTTCTTTTCTTTTTCTGAGACAGAGTCTCGCCCTGTCACCCAGGCTGGAGTGCAGTGGTGTGATCTCGGCTCACTGCAACCTCCACCTTCCAGGTTCAAGAGATTCTCCTGCCTTAGCCTCTGGAATAGGTGGGATGACAGGTGCCTGCCACCACACCCAGCTAATTTTTGTATTTTTAGTAGAGACAGGGTTTCACCATGTTGGCCAGGCTGGTCTCAAACTCCTGACCTCAGGTGATCCGCCCACCTTGGCCTCCCAAAGTGTTGGGATTGCAGGCATGAGCCACAGCGCCCGGCCTTCTCTCTTTTTTTTTTTTTTTTGAGGCCAGAGGAGTTAATTCAAGGATTCAGGGAGACCATATTTCTTTTCTCTGAGGCAACAACCTTGGGGAAAAGTCCCCAACAGGACAATCCCTGCCTTCTAGACATTTTCCATCCTGATCCTCCCCCCAGAATGGGAAGCCTGGTGGATGCTGCTGCTTCAGTCACGTGTCCATGGGTGGCCTGAGGTGAGAGAACCCAAGATTTCACCAATTCTAATCCTTAAAAGGACCTTGTAGATAAATCTCCCACCTTACCAGCCCACATATACTTCTCACTCGCCAGCTCTTGCCCCACACAGGTTTCCTTGGTGGCCAGACTAATGAAACTAACGTTCTTTTCTACTTGGTTACACTGTTTCACATTGTAAGTAAACAACCTGGGGCCATCTCTTTTAGTGTTCCAAGCACCAGGCCGGTGCTTGCCCTCTCGGTGTTTCTTCCCTCGTCTATTGACAACAGTTCTTTGGCTGGCCTTCCGGAAATTACCTTCCCTCGTTGTAAGAGGTCTTGCGGGAGCTGTCTGGCAGGGTGCCCCCTATCCCCTGGCCAAGGAATGATGGGTGTGTGTGGTCTGAGCTACCCAGGCAGACTCTCTTTCCCTGGATTGATTGATTGATTTGTTGTTAGCAAAATAACAGCTTTTACTTCCATGCTCTTTTTTCATTGTGATGTAATTCACATAGGACAAAACGCACAGATTTCACCTGTATAGTCTGCTGAAAACGCACCTTTGTAACCAGCACAGTGTCCATCCTCACCACCCAGGATATTCTCTTGAGCCCTTTCCAGTGAGCCCCCTGCAGAGGCAGCCACTGGTATGATTTCTGCCCCCGTACCTGACTGCCTGTCCTAGAACTCCTACAAATGGACCGTGGACTTTTTTGGATCTGGCTTCTTTTGCTCACAATGTCATGTCTGTGCGATTTGTCCCTGTCCTACTCATGGACAGTCCCTTCGGTTGCTGCTGGGTGGTGTCCAGTGTAGTATTCCTGCACCTTTGTTCTCCTGGAAATTAGAATCTGGGGACAGCAAGACCAAGGACCGTCTCAACACTGGCCCCTCCAAGAGAGGCTGCTGGGCCAGTCCTGCTTTGTGAGGCCCGGCTGTTCCACCTTTCCCTCCATGTGGGAGCTCCCACAGACCTTTCCAGAAATCTCTCTTAAGTTGGCTGGAGCCCATTTCTGCTGTTTGCAATGAAACGTCTGACTTGATATGTCTCATTCTGCTGCTTAAGACTCTTCTGAGGCGTCCACAGCCCAAAGGGTGAAGTCCAAGTGCTCACAGAGACCACCAGGCCATCTATGGCCCAGACCCGTTCCCCCAGCCCCCATGCACACTCTCAGACGCTGCCTCCTCTCCTCCCAGCCTCCCACCTCCCCTGCAGGGAGGCACTTCCTGCCCCGCCTGTTCTGGTGAATGCCTCGCTCCCTCTGCCTGCAGCCTAGACAGCCTGTCTGTGGGGAAAGCTTCTGTGATGAACAGCACCCGCCCCCCGCCGGCCCCCAAGGAAAGCTGAGGGGCTCCGCGCAGTGCCCTCCACGCCACGTCGTTCCTGACCCGCCACCTTGGCTGAGATGTTGATGTTGGGTTGTCTGGGCTGTGGCCCCCTTGGACTGCAGGATCCAGGGCCCAGGGCTCTGGCCGGCTGGCTCCCTGCCCCACCCCCGATGCCCAAGCCTGGCACATGGTGGTGTTCAGCACACACTGGCTGAATGAATGACTTTGTTAAAAGAATGAATGAAAGTCCAAGGAGGCGGGGCTGCCGCACACTTCAGTCTGGCCTCTGAGGAGCCCAGTTCCCTCTCCAAATGGGAAAACCAGGCCTGCTGTGTGTGCGGCTCTGGTGGGAGGCGCACGATCCCCTGTGAGCCTGTCACGGCAGGGGCCCTGATCCTCCTTGATCCTCACCTCTCGGCCCCTCGGCTCCCGCTCAGACTGGGCCCCTGTCCCCAGCCCCTAGCCCAGCTTTCAGTAAGAGCGAAAAAGAGTGGTGAGGAAATACAATTCAATGTCAGGTGCTATGAGAGGCAGTGGAGGAGAGAGCTCTCTGGAGCCATAAACCCCGCTCGAAAGCAGGAAAACATTCCACAGTTGGTTTTGTGCATGAGTGTGTGTGTGTGTTTTTTTGCAGCTGTAAACTCCAGGGCCAGGGCTGTAAGCTTGGGGAAGGGAAAAAGCGAAGGGGGAGGAGGTGGAGAAGGGAGCGGAGCTGCACATGTGTTGCAGCGATTAAGGAGAATGGGGGCCGGGAGGGACGTCCCAAAGGGGGGAGACAGGTGGCTGGGCCTGGGGCAGCCTGAGGAGCCCCTGCAGAAGGGCTGGAATGTGAGCTGCCCTCTGAGGGAGGCAGTGGAGTGCAGAACGGAGGTGGGCCGGCGGGGAGCGGGATGTGTGTGGCTCCCGTCCGAGCCCTGGCCGCCTGGACGCAGACCAGCTGGCTTTGGGGAAGGCGTCCAGCTCTGAACAGGACTGAAATGACCCTCGGTTCTCCCTGGAGCAGGGGAAGCGATTGGCCTGGGGAGCTGGGAGAGGGGGAGGCAGAGTGGAAAAGCCAGACCGGCTGCTCTTGGGGGTGTCGCTGCCCCAGGAGACACAGGGTGGGGGGCACAGGATTGGGCCAGGCCGGGAGCCGCTCAACCTGGGCAGGCTCTGAGCCAGCACAGACGTGAGCTGGCACCCCTGTTCCTTCTCACCCCGAAGCCTCCCATGGCCCCTGCCTGCCAGCCCACCATTCAGGAGTCCCCGGCATCCACCCTACTCTCCACCTGCTCTGGGCTTTAGCCAAACCAGATCCCCACAGCCATATGCCCTCCAGACTCTGGGCCTCTGCATGACCTTCTGCCAGGAGACCCTCCCCTGGTTCCCTGTGTAGCCTCAGCTTCTCCTGACCCCCCAGAGGGGTGTGGGCTCTCCCTGCTCAGAATCCCCATGGCACTGAGTGTGTCTTGAAAACCAATCATGTCCACGGATGGACGGTTGGTCAGCGCTGGCCATGTACCAAGGACTCTTCATACCTGTCTCGTTGGGCCCTTCCAGCAGCCGGGAGGTGGGGTGGAGGCCTCTGTTCTCCCCATTTTACAGAAGAGGAGACTGAGGCCCAGGGAGCGGCAGCAGCCCTCCTCTGCCCAGCAGATGGCAGGCCCCAGTGGGCTCCAGCGGGCTGGTCCTGGGCCACGCTGGGGAGCAGGGCCGCCCTGCACTCCCCTTCCCTCACCCCCACAGCCGCAGGAGCGCCCCTGCTTTATAGAGGCGCTGAAATGCCTGGAATGCCAGGCAGCTCCCGCCTCCCAACAGCTGTCTGTCTGCCCGGCCCAGGAGGGCTGGCCGGCTGCTGCGTTTGCGTCCTCTACATTTTGAACACCTGACCTACAGCACTGGGTCACCCCAGAGCACAGCAGTCCTTGTGCCTGGGCTCTCCATGGGGCCCATGGAGGCTCCCCCACAACTGTTGGGAAGGGCAGGGCTTTGCTGCTTTCTGCCTGCTCCTCGGGGTCCCCATGCCTGTCTGGACTGCCACCCAGGGTCCTCCCCTGCGCAGCGTGACATGGCTCCGCGTGTGCCTCTGCGGCCAGGGCTGCAATGAGCAATCCGATATTATCCTCAGCTGCAGGCTGAAGATGAGCAGCTCACCACCCCCAGCTTCTGAACACCTGCCAAGTGAGCCAGGTGGAGGGCTTGGCCCATCCTAGCTCTGGGACCTCTGCATGCCCTTGGCCCTGGGAGCCTCAGTGTCCTCGTCTGCAGAATGGAGCTTGGGGCGGGGCTACCTCCCAGGGTTGCTGCAGGGGCTGAAGAGTGCACAGACGTGAATAGCTCAGCTGCCAGCCCGGCCTCTGGCAAGGGCTCTCTAATGTCTGTTCTGTGAACCAGGGACTCCTCACCCTCCGAAGTGGGGAGACCCATCTTCCATTTACAGAGACCCAGGAGCTGGGAGAGGGGTTGGGGCTCGAACCTGGGCTTGCCTGAGCTACACGTCTGTTACCTGCTCCCCTTTGCAGGGCTGTGGGATGGTGCCTGGCAAGTGCCACTCACTGAGTGTGACTGAGAGGGGACAGCCACACCTGGGTCAGCAGCAGCCCCAGCCCACAGTTTCTTCTGGGGACCTGAGAATTCAGCTCCCGGGACCCAGCCTGCCCTTGGGGACGAGACTTGTGGCAGGGTTGCAGCTGGCGGGGATACTGTCGGGGAGCTCTTGCGGGCAGGAGACTCTTTTGCAGGCTTGCTGGGAAGCCTTTCATCTTGGCTGTGGTTCCTCCCAGAGCTGTCTCCCAGACAGCAGGGCTCTGCCTGACCTCAGGCCACAGCCACACCAGGGCTGCTCAGGTCCCTATCCCTGCTCCAGATCTGGAGACAGAGGAGCCTCTTTCTCCTAGAGTCTCAGACCAGGAGTGGCCTAAGCAGTCTCTGTTAGCCATAGACATGAGCTCCCCCAGCTCGAGCTTTCAGCGTTGGCCTAACAGAAAACGCCAGTGCTCCTGGCTGAGAAAGAAGGAGGAAGAGGAGGAGGAGAAACCAAGTTCTGTGGTCCGGCACCAGCTGGTCACCCCTGGGGGCTGCAGTCCCCTCCTCAGGGCAGGCTCTGATCGGGGGCATAGGTGTACCACCCAGGGATGTCCATTCTCCACCCGTGGGCTGAGCCACAGCAGGGTTGATGTTGGCAGGGAGCACTCCCAGAGGGGAATCGGAGTCCTGTGTGTGTGCTGGGAGGACGGAGAGCAGGCCAGCCCAGACCCACACCTCTCAGTGAACCAAAGGCTGCTCCTGACCCCTTTGCAGGCCCTGCGTCCCTGTTGGTCCCAGCCTCTTGTCTGCCCCAGCTTGCCTCTCTACGTGGAAACTTGCCCCTCTTGGGCACCACATCCCTGGGCTTGCAGGGAAAGGAGAAGCTGAGTCAGGGCTCGCAAGGCCCTGGGCTCCAGGAACAGCAGTGGAGGCCATCGGGGAGGGTCCCGCTGCTGGTCCTGGTGGGGAGGCTGAGCACGTCCTGCTGCTCTGGGCTCTCCTGGGACCCAGGTGCACCCCATCCTGGACCAATGACAGGCACCCCATCCTAGCCCCAGACATCTCACAGGCACACTCGAGAGACAATGTGAGAAAGTTGGCCAGGCTGAGAAAGTCCACTTGGACTCAGGCGGGGTCCAAGCCTTGGCCTCAGCTTCCTTCTCTGTCTGGGCGTGGCAGTGTTACCTGATGTGGCATTGTCAGGATGGAGGATGACAGCAGAGTAGACACTGGCCCCGGGCTACCCTTTGGGCTCAGAGCAAAGCACGTGCAGCCCTTCCTTTCTCCACCACCATCCCAGGCCCTTCTCCCATATGGACTCATTTCAGCCTCACAAGAGTCCAGCATGGGGAGTGCCTTATCACCGCCACTTTACAGGTGAGGAAGCTGAGGCACAGAGAAGCTTCTGCCCTCGCCCAAAGTCACCCAGCTGGAGAGAGACGGAGTCAGGATTTGAACCCAAAGAGTCCGGTTCCAGGCACTCACGCGTGAGGCTGCTGTTGCTGTGCTATTGGAAGAGCTGCTGCTTCCTATGCTGAGCCTCCACGCTAAGCCTCTGAGACGGGGCCCTTCTGAGTGTCGGGATCCAAGGTCCTGGGTTTCCTGCTTCACCTGGCTGTGACACCAGTGGCTGCCCGCCCCTGGTCACTGTGGGTGGCATGGAAGAAAGAGCTCACTGGCTTGGTGATGTCCTCCTGCCCCCAGCAGATATCCCTGACACGGGGCATCTCTGGAGGTCATGGCCGTGTGCGAGCAGAGCCCGAGGGGCTGCTGGGGGCTGGGGTTCTTCCGGTCCGCCAGCTTTCAGATGATGCTTCCAGGAGTCCTGGTGCCCAGAAGGGGCCTCAGGGCTGCTGGGGAGAAGAGGGGAAGCAGGAGCCCCCACCTCTGCTTTTGTCTCAGTTGTCTCTTGAGTGTGCCTGTGAGATGTCTGGGGCTAAAAAAGGACCTTGACCTTGTGCAACAGACCAGGAAACTCGGCCTGTCAGGGACAAGTGGCCTGAAGTGACCTGGCCAGCCAGTGGTCGTGCATGGACCTGGGACCAGCCAGGGAAGGCGGGGGAGGCTCTTCCCGTATATCCAGCCCCAGGGGGGTCTCAGGGACAGCTGGCTTCTATCCTGGGCCAGGAAGGAAGCTCGGGGACAGGGACGGCTCTTGGGGTTGCTGAGGCCCCCTCGCTCTTTCCCTGGGGCTGCCTTCTGAGTCCTGGTCCTCTTCCGGGGCTGCCAGCCACCTCCCAGCTGGCCACATGGTCCCTTGGTGGCCCCGTCCCAGTCAGGTGTGAGAACTCTGGCTGGGTCTGCCCAGGAGGCTCCTAGGATGTTCTGGGTCCTGGGCTGGCAACAGAGAAGAACCGCAGGATGCCAGGGAAGGTGGTATTGGTGGGCCACTCTTGAGGCTGTGGCCGGCCAGCCCTATCGGCTAGGTGAACCACACTACACACATACATTTGCCAGGCCTGCTAGGCCTCTGGGTGACAGAGAGGGGACCCACCTCGACAGCTCGGGCCACGTCCTTAAACTCCCGAGCCTGCTGTGGCCACTTTGCTGTGAGGACAGGCCCTGCTCCCACTGCGGCAGCCTAACATCCTCCCCAGGGAACCTCCAAAGTGGTCAGCCACGGCCCACCAGCCCCTCTGCCTCAAGCCTGCTTCTCTATCCCCGCCGTGTTTTCCCTGGAACCCCACCCTCCCGGGCATCCCCCACACATATTCCTGCTGTCCTATTTCTAAGCTCCTCAGATATCTGGAAAACACTGGCGGAGAAAATCCCCTTCTTTTTTTTCTCTCTCTTTTTTTCTTTTTGAGACGGAATCTCACTCTTTCACCCAGACTGGAGGGCAGCGGCGAGATCTCGGCTCACTGCAACCTCCACCTCCCAGGTTCAAGCAATTCTCCTGCCTCAGCCTTCCGAGTAGCTGGGATTACAGGTGCCCGCCACCACGCCCAGCTAATTTTTGTATTTTTAGTAGAGACAGGATTTTACCATGTTGGCCATGCTGGTCTCAAACTCCTGACCTCGTGTGATCCCCCTGCTTCAGCCTCTCAAACTGCTGGGATTATAGGCATGAGCCACTGCGCCTGGCCAACAATCCCCTTCTAAAGGCAGGTGGTGTCTCCAGCACCAGGGCCATACGGCTGCAACACCCCTACAAGTGCCGGTAGGTGTGGGCTGAGACCATCCTACATGGGGAAGGCCCTGAGAGGCCGGGAATTTGCAGGCCGAAGAGGGATCCTGGAGAGTGGGGGACTCACCTCAACAGCACTCTCTAAGGGGTAAGGAGCCCCTGGCATCAGGAGCTACCAGAGCACCTGCTACGTGCCAGTCATGGCTCCCTGTGGGCCTCAAGTCTGCAGGCTCTGGGGTAAGGGGTGGGGGTGGTGTGGAAGTGTGGCTGGCCAGGGGAGCTGGGGCCTGGAGGGTCACACACCTGCAGGAGGTCACAGAGCCAGGGGATGGCTGGCCCCACAGACCCGTCTCCCAGGTGGCCAGCCTGCAGCCTGTGCCGTCCTGCTGAGCCAAGAGAAGACACTGGGGGTGTTTGTGTTGGTCGGCTGTGGGGTCCCTCCCAAGGGAAACCGTTAGTCACCCTGGCGCTGGCTGGATGTGAGGCCACAAACGCCAGGAGAGCTCGGGGACTGTGCCAAGGGGTGCGAGGCCTGGCGGTCACCAGAAGAGAGAGGAAGGGGATGGCAGAGGCACCCAGAGCGAGTGTAATCCGGTCATGTGAGAGGGACTGGGTGTGTGTGTGCCTGTGTGTGTGTGTGTGTGTGTGTGTGTGTGTGTGCTGGGTGACAGGTGCCACCATGTCTGTGATTCAGCACAGCGACCCCAGGGGGCAGTGTGGGCCTGGGTTAGGGTTAGGGTTAGTCCTGGTTCCACACCGCAGGTGGCCCTGTGACTAGGAGCAGCCACCTTGCATCCCAGTTGCCCCAGCAGGAGAATGAGATGAATAAGACTTGCCTGCCCGAGGGTCCCGGGGAGAGAAACTTAAACAACCCGGCAGAGGAGAGAACCCGACACTCAGGAGCGCTGGCATCCCAGCCTTGCCTACTGGAGAGGTGACTTGGTCCCCGAACCTCAGTTCTTCCACCTGTGAAATGCAGATCATAAAGGTGGATCTGGCCTCACAGCTCTGGGCCCGTAGGACAAGCTGGACAGAGGGCAGACGGTATTATCGCTTTCACTACTATTACTGGTGGCTTTCCTTCCCAGCCTTTCTGGTGGGTGGTCAGACACAGGGCAGAACTTTCTCATGAAGGCAGCTGAAGGAACTCACAAGTTTCTTCCAGCAGGGAGGACAGAGGGAAGGAGAAGTGTCTTCCCGGCACTGCTGTGGGCCCAGGACATCTGCTGCATGGAGGCAGGGGCATGGATGAAAAGACACAGATGACCTGATGGAATGGTGCCCCAGCTTCCTCCTCCTCCCCTTTTTGGAGGTGCCTCTGTTTGCCGAGGATGGGCTCTGGGGAAGCTGGTGTGCAGAGGCTAGGTGCCCAGCCTTGCTTTAGGAAAGCCTCACAAAGTCTGGGGCCCGCCGGGAGTTTCCCAGGGGGGCTCTGCTGCTCCACCCACTCTCGCTCCCCTCTGTGCCCTGACTCAGCAGGAACAGAGGCTTGAGCTCCAGGCCTGGCCTGCCAGGGGCTGCCAAGTTGGTGCTGGACATCTGCAGAATCCCTGAGCCTCTCTGCCCTGGCCCTGGCTGCTCTAGCCATCTGGTCAGCAGGCCACGGGCACATCTGTCTCCTCCCTGGAGCCCTTGGTTCATTCTCGCTGGGTCTCCCTGCGTCCCTCCACCTGCTTAGGCCCCTGCATCTCGGGAGCTTTCTGAGGCTCGTGACCTGGGGCACGGTCGTCCCGGAAGTTCAGCCTTTCCCTCCGTACAACGGAGCCATCAGACGGGACACCTCATACATCCCAGACCCCATTCTCAGGAGCCCCAGGGACAGGGCCCGCTCTGGAGGCAGAAGCCGGACAGGCGGGGCTGGGGCTTTGCCACCGCCAGCCTCCCCGGTAACCTCAGGCCAGCGGCTGCTCCGTCTGGACACCCGACATGTGGCCCCCAGTTCTGGACCCGGGAAGAAGGCCTCCCTGCTCGCCGCTCCTGGGCCGCCGCCGCCGGCAGCAGCCAACAGGCAGCTGGGCCGGCCTGGCCGGGCTCCAGAGGCGCAGAGCGGGTTAAAGTGTGCGCCAGGCCGGCCGGCGCGGGCGGGGGAGCGGCCTGGTGGGAAGTGTGAGTGTTCCTCCCCGTCTGCCTGACAGCTATAAAGGCGGCCGCCGGCGCAGAGCCGCCACTGGGCTGCGCCCCTCCCGGGAACCCCCTCTCTTGGATGCTCTTTGAAGTGGGAGAGGGAGGCGGCGCGGGGGAGGAGGGGAAGGGGAGAGGGAGGCCGGGCCGCAGCCTCTGCACTCACGCCGCCCCCGCACGCACAGCGCACCTGGCGCCGTCTGCCCTCCGCAGCGCTCGCCCCTTTCTCTGGGAGGACAACCTGCTGACCCGAAGCCAGGTAGGCCACCTCGTCCCCGTCCCCCTCACGTTGCAGCGTCCACCAGGCCAGCCCACTGCTCAGAGTGGGGCTGGGGGTAGGAGCACCCCGCGCCCTCTGGAGCCGTTACATAACGTGGGGAGGCTTGTGGGGAGGGGTCGGGCCGCAGAGCACGGGGCAGGGTGGCCTCCCAGCACCTAGCCTTGTGCGCCCGGAGCTCTGTGTGCACGGCAGACCTCTCTGCTGCCGCCAGCCGCTGCTTTTGGACCCCAGGGAGGGATGGATCCCCGTGAGCGAGGCCTGGCCAGAAGCCAGTGGTGTCTGGAAGCCTTAATGAAAAAAGCAAGTGTGAGGCCGGCTGGCACCTGTCTTCAGCCGGCAGGCAGAGGCTGGGGCACCCGTTAGCCAATGGCACAGTGGAGGGGGCTCCTGTGGGTGTGAGGCTGAGAGTGCAGATGGAGGTCTGCAGGGGAGGGAGGTGGGGGGCAGGCGGCGGGGGCAGGGGAGGTCAGACTCAGGCTCCCCACTCCAGGGTGCACTGCTGCGTCGTCCGGGCTGCAGTGGTGTCCTTGGAGTGGCCCCTGAAAATCTGCAGGTGCCGGGCCTGCAAGGAAACTCTTCAAGTTGGATGGAGGCTGCTGAGGAGGGAGGGGCAGAGCCCGAGTTGGCCTCTGGCCTGGCAGGGGTGAGGGGTGACCTCCATGCCTTCTTCCCCTGGAATTGGCCAGGCGTGGGGGTCGAGTCCCTGAGTTTGCTAGTGTGCTACCTTGCTGTGTGGCTTTGAGCAGGTTGGCTCCCCTCTCTGGGCTCCAGGTTATGAGTGCAGGCTGCGTGGTTTCTGAAATCCCTTCTCTAACTCGCTGGCAAGTGACCCTCAGCACCTGAGCAAGGCCTGGACAGAGGTCATGGTGGATCTCTGGTCTTCCCTTCCACAGGGCAGGGTCGACGCTGAGGAGGGGGTGGGGAGAGCTGAGGGCCTGGAGGCTGGACAGTCCCTTCCAATGGGCTTGCTTTGACCCCTGGCAGGTGTTTTGAGCCAAGGGTGCTGGCTGTTGGGAGGAAGTCAGCCTTGTGGCCCTGGACTGCTGACATGCTGGCACAAACTGCACCTCCTCCTGCCCTGCCCCTCCCCCAATTCCATCTTCTCTCCGGGGATCGGGAGGCGGCATAGGTACCTGGGTTCTGCCTCACCTGAGTGCCGGCTGTTGCTGGATGCTGACTGTGGAGCTGCTGGTCTAGGGCGAGGCTGCACATTCCCCCGGGACCTGGCCAAGCCCATCCCCATGCACTGACCCTAGCAGCCAGTGGCAGAGGCCATTCTCCTGCGAGGCCAGCAAGAGCTGAGCCAGTTAAAATCCCAAGGTGCTCCTGCCAAGGCGCTGGACTGAGCCCAGGCCCATCCCTTCGAACCAGAGCCTTTCCCCCCGCCTGGGTCCCCAGCCCCCTCAGCCGAGGCTGGCTGTCTCCACAGCCCTTCTCTAGGGGGCTTGAGGACTTGGAGGCAAAGCATGGCATGCTTCCCTGCATGCCCTTGGATCAAGGGTGGCACAGGCTTAGCACGCACACCGCCGCTGGGTGTCTTGCCTGAAGCAGGCATTACTAATCATTCACCAAGCTCCTTCTTGCTAAGCCTAGACTGAGGCGGGGGGTTCATCCTTCCCAACAGGGTCTGCCAGACAACCACGACCAACTAGTCCCAGATAACCTTGAGGCCTGGGCACTGGCTGGGCCCCGAGGGCTCTTCCCAAAGCGTACCCTGGTCATCTGGAAGAGGATCGGAGCTGGCCTGGTGGTGACAGTGGCCTTGCTTCCTAGGATGGATGGCAGATGGCAATGTTCCTGCTGGGCCTGGTTCCTGCTGGTTCTGGCAGTTGTAGCTGGGGACACAGTGTCAACCGGGTCCACGGTGAGTGGGGTGTTGTGGTCTGAGGGCCCATGCCAGTCCCCTACCCAGGTGCTGTGATCACTCTCAGATGGACTGGCTTGGAGGGAGCCGTGTGGGCACGTGCCCCAGGTCCCAGAACCCATCTTGGCTCCTAGAAACTTCTGCCCAGAGCCAGTCAGATCAGCCTCTGAACTGGGGCCCTGGCTACTGTGGAGCCCCTGGCGACTTGGCAGGCGAGGGCTGAGGGGGCTGAGTGCTTCCCTTCCAAGTGAAGGCCCCAGCACGGCCAGGGTAGGCTGTGTCCTGCAGAACGCAGTTGGGCCCTGAGCTGCTCCGGGGAAAGTGAGGACAGTTAGATGCGGCCCCAGGAGCTTGCCAAGCCCCCAGGCCATCCTGGACCTTAAGGTCAAGGAGGACCCGTGGCCCACGGTTCCTTGGGAGTTCCCCCCAGCGCCACCCAGGAGATCTGAACCCAAGCTGCCGAGTGACCCTGCAAGGGGGCCCAGCCAGGGGGCTGTGTCTTCTGGTCCCGCTGACGGTGATACCCTCGGGCATGGGGTGGGGGCAGGCTGGTCCTCCTGGGCACTTGAGCCCTCTACCATCTGGGGGTCCCTCTCACCCAGGACAACAGCCCAACATCCAATAGCCTGGAGGGGGGCACCGACGCCACGGCCTTCTGGTGGGGGGAGTGGACCAAGTGGACGGCGTGTTCCCGCAGTTGCGGGGGTGGGGTGACATCCCAGGAGCGGCACTGCCTGCAGCAGAGGTGCGAGGTTGGGCACGTGGCCCTGAGGGGATGGCATGAGGGCAGGGTAGCGGGCAGGAGAGGGCGGTTGGCTCTTCAGCCTGGTGGCTTCTCCCCCTGGGAGGGCTCTCGGGTTGGGGGCAGCACAGGCTGAGTCCCCCCATCAGCCTCTGCTGGACGCGGCTATGGATGGGCCCCAGCACTGGTGCTCTGGGGTCCTTCATGCTTCAGGGCACCAGGAAAGCCCTTTCACGAGAGGGCAGGAGCCATTTCTAGAGGTCTGTCCTGGAGGCGGAGAACCACCCTGACTTCTCTTCTGAAGACCTGAGTGAGGGTCTTTAGAATATGCCAGGGAGCCCCGGGAGAAGCAGAGGACTGGCAGGAAAGCCTCCGCTGCCAGATGGACCTGGCTCCTATCTAGCCTGTGCTACTCCCTCACTGTATGACCTTGGGCAAGTCACTTAACCTCTCTGAGCATCAGTTTTCTCATCCATGGCATGGAGAGCGTGCTGGTCTCACCTCATGCTTCTGAGAACACACATGTGTGTGCACCTGGGCACAGGCCTGGCACACAACCCATGTGGTTGTTTCAATTCTGTGTACTGAGCCCCTGTGCTATGTGCTGCTGATGTAGAAGTGAATCAAATCTCATTCCCCCTTGGCTCTGGTGTGTGTACGGGGTGGGAGTTGAGTAGGGAGGAAGGAGCCCTCTGGGTCACGGGTATCGGGAGATTCTGGATCCCAGTGGCCGTGGGGCCAGCCCAGGCGACATTCCTGAAACTCCTCTGCAGCCCTCACTCCGAGCCTGCATCTTTCTGCCAGGAGGAAGTCCGTCCCGGGCCCCGGGAACAGGACCTGCACGGGCACGTCCAAGCGGTACCAGCTCTGCAGAGTGCAGGTGAGGCCCGGCCCGGGCAGGGGCACCATGGCCTGCTCTCCCTGTCATCATGCAGTTTTCAGGGGGTCTTCCAGGTGGCTCCTGGGCATTCTGGGCATTCTGTTGTGGGCTGCTCTTCAAGGAGAGCCCAGGAGCAGGGTTGAGAAGGCTGCGGGGGGCCCTGGGCTAGTACGGAGCCATCCACTGTCCAGACCACTGTCCCTGTGCTCACATGTGCTCAGCAATGCTGGGACGGGCGGACTCACTCTGCTCCTGGAACTTCAAGTGCAGCCTCAAGGTTTGGGGTCTCTGGTCGCAGCTCCACTTTACTCACAACATTCGTGCACCTGGTGCTCACAGAGACCCAGCAGTTGCCAGGCTTCCCCGTCCCATGAAACAGTACCCCCCACGCCATAAAACAGTTCCCTGGGTTGCTCTCGGAGCCCTTCTGCTCCAGCCCCCATCAGCTTCCTTGGGTAGCCGAGGCTGAAGAGGAGGTTCTGACTCTGACCAGGCAGCTCTCAGTGGGGCCCTGGGCAGTTGGAACCTGAACACCTTTCCAAGGACTGCAGGGCGTGAGGCTGGGGCACGCCGAGCTGGGATCTGGGCCTCCCAGGCTGGCTCGTGTGGCTTGCCTGGGCAGGGAAGGCAGAGCAGCTGGGGGTCTCTGTGTCTGTGTGTCTCAGGGGGTGTGTGCGCACGTGCAGGGAGTGAGGGGCTGGAGGGAGGCAGGTGGCCACCGCTTCTGTGTTGGCGTCACCTGGTCAGCTGCCCTCCTAGGGCAGTGCAGCCAGGGTTGGGGGAGGGGCATTTATGAGCTCCAGCATGAGAGGGACCCAGGTTTGAGCTCTGGCCCCGGCACGACTAAGCTGGGTCCCCTCCGAGGATGAGTCTCTTGTCTGCACGCTGGGTTCCTCTTTATGGAGTCAGGACCACGATCTTCCTGATTTACGCAGTGTGCATGGCCACGGACCGTGTGCCAGGCCCTGTCCCGTCACTGTAGACACACAGTCAGGGCCTGCTGAGGACACGGGCGAGGGGAGCACCCTTGCCAGCCATCCTAGGGTCATGTCCCCTCCACCGCAAGGCTGGGAGAAGGCGTGGTGGGGACTGGGAGGGTTGTGTCTAGAGTAGGCGGAGGGCTGGCGTGGGGGGCGGAGCTGCCCTTTCCTGCGTCCTTGCTCCCTCCTGAGAGCGCATGGGAGCGCGCAGGAGCCCTAGAGGCCACCCCGTGGGCCGTGGCCCCCGCACGGCTGTCCCGGCTGTCCCGGCTGTCCCGGCTGCAGCCACTTCCTGCTTAGCCTGGACAAAAATGCCTTTGTCGGGCCGAGTTCCTCCCGGAGCCTCCCTGTCCCTTCGCTTCCCAGGAGTGTCCGCCGGACGGGAGGAGCTTCCGCGAGGAGCAGTGCGTCTCCTTCAACTCCCACGTGTACAACGGGCGGACGCACCAGTGGAAGCCTCTGTACCCGGGTACCTGCCGCCCTGGGGACCCACCTTGCAGGGAGCTGACTGAGCTTTGGGGGTAGCCCTTCCGGCACCTGGGACCAAACTCGACGGGTGGGCAGGTGGGGAAATGGAGGTGGTCAGACGAAGAGCCAGGAATGAACCTGGGTCTCCTGAGCCCTGGCCCAGGGGTCTGTCCCCTCCCCCATGACCCATGACATCAACGCAGGACAGATTACGGGACTGAGTTCCCTGCAGACCTGACCTCTGACGGCAGTGGTGACTTGCTCACTTACTTACTGGCTCCTGGGCACAGACAGGAACCAGCCTAGACGATCCCAAACGGAGACTGCCCACACGGTCCCATGGAAAGCAAGTAGCTCAGGCAACAGTGTAAATGCTTCATCCTTCTCCTGCTCACCCGCAAGGGCCAGGGCTGGGGTGCCCAGGGCCAGCAGCACAGGGGTGTCGAGTTGGCTCAGACCTCCTGCAGAGGGGGAACCCCAGTATGGGTCTCAGGCGCTGCTCCCCACTCACGAGGAGGTAGAAGCTGGAACTCACGGGGTGTGGGCTGAGCCAGAAGACCCATCAGTTTCTGCCACTGAGACCTGGACAGGTTCCTTCTGTTCTCCAGGCCTGAGTTGCCCCATCTATGCAATGGGAGCTGTCTCAGAGGGAGGAAAAGGGAAGTCCTCTGAATCCGGCATTTCCTGCCCCGCTGAAACCTTCTGTCTTTGTCTCCCTCCACCAGATGACTATGTCCACATCTCCAGCAAACCGTGTGACCTGCACTGTACCACCGTGGACGGCCAGCGGCAGCTCATGGTCCCCGCCCGCGACGGCACATCCTGCAAGCTCACTGACCTGCGAGGGGTTTGCGTGTCTGGAAAATGTGAGGTTGTTAAACGTTGTAGCAAAAGTACCGCCGGTCTCACTGTGCTGACTGCCCGCCCGCCTGTGGGAGGCAGTGGCGGCCCCGGGGCCTGGCCACAGCGCCCTCCCAGCAGCCCTCTCCCTCTCCCTTCCTGCAGCCCATCGGCTGTGACGGGGTGCTTTTCTCCACCCACACACTGGACAAGTGTGGCATCTGCCAGGGGGACGGTAGCAGCTGCACCCACGTGACGGGCAACTATCGCAAGGGGAATGCCCACCTTGGTAAGCCACAGCGCGCCCTGGAGTCCAAGCACAGCAGAGTCTGGGAATCGGGGGTCCTGAGTGTGCTCCTGTCTGCAGCCTCCTGTGTACCACTGGGCAAGTTCTTCCCCTCTAGGGGCACCTGATTCAGCATCCCAGGCCGGGTGAGCTGGCCTGGTGATTGTAGGCCTCCGTTGGCTTGCAAGAATGGGCAACCCTTTGTTGAGGACCTGCTGGGTACCAGTGGACACTTGGCTTGGGGGTCACATTTGCCCTTTGAGACAGCCTGCAGGGAGGTGTTAACAATGCACCTTTTTTTTTTTTTTGAGACAGAGTCTTGCTCTGTTGCCCAGGCTGGAGTGCAGTGGCTTGATCTGGGCTCACTGCAACCTCTGCCTCCCAGGTTCGAGCGATTCTCATTCCTCAGCCTCCCGAGGAGCTGGGACTACAGGCATGTGCCACCAAGCCTGGCTAATTTTTCTATTTTTAGTGGAGATGGGGTTTCACTATGTTGGCCAGGCTGGTTTCGAACTCCTGACCTCGAGCGATCCACCCGCCTCCGTCTCCCAAAGTGTTGGGGTTATAGGCATGAGCCACCATACCTGGCTAACACCACACTTTAAAAAGGGAGAAACTAAGGCCCAAGACCCATTCTCTCCACGGATATGAGGTTTGACCCTGGCACGCTGGATTCTGGGGCCTGAGTTTCAGAGGCTCCCTGTCGGCTCCAGGCTGACCCAGCCCAGAACCCCTCCTTCCCTTGGGCAGCACCTGTCCCCTTCCTAAGCTGCAGGCATTTGGCCCGATGTTTGTGTCCAGCTCTGTCCCAGCCCTCATCGGGGGTGGGCGTCTGTGCATGGGACAGCACTTTCTACTTTTGGAGGGATGTCACTTGTAATGCTTGGCATTAGATTGAACACACTTTTGGTTCTGAAGAAATGTTTGAGGAATGGAACTGGGTTATTGCAACCTCCAGACCTGGGAAGGCAGGACAGCTTCAGACCCACTTAGCAGATGGGGAAACCAAGGCCCAGAGTGGGAATAATCTGTCAAGGTCCCAATGAGGCCAGTTGACTCTGGACTAGAACCAGGCCTGTTAGGGCCACGGAGGACCCGACCGTGTCTTGAAGGTCGAGGGAATGACCTCAGCCTGCCACTGAGGGCTAACTGTGGCGTGAGTGTTGGCTCCAGGAGGTGCCAGTGGGAGGGCACTGGAGAGGGTGGGGCTTGGACATGGGACCTAGGGACGGGCGTGCCGGACTGACAAGGGACAGGCAGGGGTGTGAATAATGCGGGCTGGGTGTCCAGCAGGGCGAGGTGGGCAGAGGCCCTTTCTTTGGAGGCCTCGCTCTAGGAGCCGCTAAGGTGTCTGATTTTCCTCCCTTCCTCTCACAAACCTGCTCACACGGCCTCCTGCTGGACCCAGGGCATGCAGAGGGAGAGTGGGCATTGGGGCAGCACGTGTCTTGTAGGGCACGTAGTGTGTGCCAGGCACTGTGCACACAGTGAGGCCTGAGAGATAGGGCTCATGTCCTCGTGGAACTCAGCCTGGGGCCAAGGGGCTGACATGCAAACAGCGCCCCTCATTCTTCTCCATATTCACAAGGTAACTCATTCACGCCTGGCAACAGCTCTACAAGGCTGGCACTATTACTGTTGCTGAAATATACAGAAACAGTCAAAGAGAGGCTAAATAACTCATCCAAGGTCACACAGCCACAAGAGGCAGAACGGGGCCTGAACCCAGGCAGCCTACTCTTGGCCTGTGATCCTCCCAGCTGAGCCACACTCTTTCCCCGGACGAACTGTGCTTGGTAACCACGCTGGGGGCTGTGGGATGGGCTGGGGTATTAAATGCTCAAGAATCTTGTGAGCTGCTTGCTAATTTGAAAATTAAAGTATAACAGTCTATATTTAAATACATTATATTTAAAACAAAGTCACCATTTTCTAATCCTTTAGTGTCTATAACTATTTTTTTTTTTGAGACGGAGTTTTGTTCTTGTTGCCCAGGCTGGAGTGCAATGATGCGATCTCGGCTTTCTGCAACCTCCGCCTTCTGGGTTCCAGCGATTCTCCTGCCTCAGCCTCTCAAGTAGCGGGGATTACAGGCTCCCACCGCCATGCCCAGCTAAATTTTTTTTGCATTTTTAGTAGAGACAGTGTTTCACCATGTTGGCCAGGCTGGTCTCGAACTCCTGACCTCAGGTAATCTGCCCGCCTCGGCCTCCCAAAGTGTATAACTATTTTATCTGTGTGGCAAAAACACCATATACGGGTGTGCTGCAGCCTCTCTTCCCAATGCCACACCCAGTGATATCAGGTTGGTAGTGCAAACAAACATAGCTTCAGTCGCTTGCTTCAAGCTTCTATCTTGAAACCCAAAGAAGGGGAAAAATGTTTTAAAATGCATTTTGAAGTTAAGCTGCCCCATTACAGTGGCTTGAAATTGGCCACAGCGGGGGTGTTTACACCACGGAAATTGGCCAATGCTACAAGTCACAGCTCCTGTTCCCCTGTGTCTCCAAAGAGCCCACTGTTAAACATTTTCCAGAGCACGGCTGTCTGTGAGGGACAGGTCAGGATCTCCAGGGACCTGTAGGTGTGATGGTGTTAGGGGAGGGATGGCAGGCGGGTACTGGCCTGCAGGAGACACTCACCCCAGCAGGGAGATGCACGCGGAATCCTCCGTTCCCAGAGGGATCCGGTGAGACAAGCGTCAAGCCTCAGGAAACGTCCGACCTGGAGAGCCCCTTCTTTCCTGTCCCAGGGCGTATTAAAATCTCTCCTTCTCCCCAGGCTCCTCTCTCAGCCACCTGCCAGCAATGCCTCTCCTTCTCTGAGCACCTCCCCTCCAGACCCTTGGTTTCTTTCTAGCTGGGAGGACTGCATGGCTGCCTCCGCACGGGCCTGGGGGCCTTGAAGACAGGCTCTGAGCTGGCTGATATTGCCCGATCTGGATCTCAGCCTGGGGCCTGGTGCTTAGGAAGGGCGTAGGCTTAGTTGGAGATTCTATCTGCAGCTCTCCTTGTCCTTTCTCACCCACGTCTTTGAGTGTAGCTAGCCTTGAAAGTCAACGTGTTGTTGTCACAAGACAGGATTTTAAAATGGCAGTGACAATGCACGCAGGGAGCTGGGGCTCCATCGGCTGCCCAGGGTCTCCTGGGTGACACATGGCAGAGCCGGACTGAACTCCCAGTGTGCTCCATGTCCCTGTGGCCCTCGCTGTCCCTCGGGAGGGGCTGGGGCAAGCACGGATGAGCCTTCCTATGGCCTTGGTAGGAAGGGGTGAGCCTGGGCAGGTGCCCAGCTTGGTGAGTCAGCCTCTGCAATGGGACGGGGCTGAGCTGAGCTACACAAGCGGGTGTGGGGGTTGGGCCAGCCCTTAGACAGCCACCGCTCACCCTCCAATAGCTGTGGAGTGGGCGAGTGCCACCCAAGGCTGCCTTTCCAATCAAGAGGGGCTCACTGTCATCCTTTTGCCTCCAGGTTACTCTCTGGTGACCCACATCCCGGCTGGTGCCCGAGACATCCAGATTGTAGAGAGGAAGAAGTCCGCTGACGTGCTAGGTGGGTACGCAGTGTCTGGCAGCTGCCTCACTGAGCTTTTGGTTGTGGAGCGTTGTGCGTGGCAGAGAAGGGGCACTTGACCCTGGACCCCTTCCTCCAGGACAGGGATGGACCAGTGCTGTGGGCATGGCTGCAGGAGCCAGAACTTGAGCCAGCTGTGTGGGTGTGGCTGGGGTGCTCACAGGGGAGCCAGCTTTACCCCTGTGCATGGCAGGACCTTGAACTCAGAGCTGCTGGACAATGGGAGGGTGGTGATGTTGGGTGGTGAGCTCCCTGTCACTCGAGAGCCTGGCACAGGCAGAAGCTGGGGGCCGCTGCAGATGAGATCCCTGTGGGGTTCGAGGAGTGAGTCTCAGGAGATGACAAGGTCAAGGTAGCACTGAGAGGAAGTCGGTGCAGAGGTAGGATTCCGACTCAGGTCTGGGGTCTCATGCTGATGTTCTTGCCATTAGTCAGACTCCGCTGGGAGGCTGGGCTGTAGGAGGGGAGTCCTCTAACCTGAGTATTCTGGAGTTGTTTCCATGATGGACAGAGTGGTGAGGCCCCATCTTGGTGGCAGATTTTGAGTGTAGGGAGCCTTGGTGGCAAATTTTGGAAGAGCCCTCTGGGAAGATGGAGTATTGGCCGAGCAGCGTGCCATGTCTGCACCCCTTGGGCCACAGTGGGCAGGTGCTGACACCTGTGAGCTGCTCTGTGCTCGGCCCTTCCCTTTATGGGGCGGGCTTGGGTATAGGGACGCTGTTCTTGGACACAGGTGCAGCCCCAAACCTGACACTACCTGGGTTTACTCCCCCCACTGCCTCCCACTCTTCTTGAGAGCCAGAACTGGTGGGGTGAAGCCCATCTCCTAAGGGGGTGCTGGAAGAGGAGGCTTTGCTGAAGGTCTTCAGGCTGGGACCCACCTTGGGTTCTCCTGTTCCCTCTCCAGAGCCTAAGGGCCAGCCCTCCGTATGTGCCCTGGGGTCTGAGTGCCCCTGCCCCAGCAGGTCTGTGCTGCAGATGCTGGCTCCACCACCCAGCGCCCTGGGGGCTACTCCCTGGCCCGAGCGGGGAGCCGGGCCTCTCGCCAGGCCAGTTGCTTTGTCGCTTGCTTGCTGGGAGAGTGGAGAGGCCAGGAAACTCCACATTCTCTGAGCTGGCTGCAAAGCTCTTGCTCTTGAAACAGACGCGTAGAAATACCAAGGGTGGGCTCGGAGCACTGGGAAAGCCGCAGGAAGGAAGGTCATTACTGTCAGGAAACAGGTTTTGGACGAGAGCCTCGGATTTAACCCTGTGCATATACCTGGAAACAGGGCCGAGACAACCAGGCCCCAGCACACTCCCCCTCGCAGAACTTGGACTCTAATTTGCGTTATCTTCTGACTTTTCTACGTGAAGGGGGTTTTTCAAGCAGACATGTCCTGCTTGTTGCGTCTGTCTGATAATAAATTAATTGCCCCGGCTCCTCTGTTCATATTGCATCAGGAATTTGGAAGCCGAACTCCTCTTCTCCCACTGGCCAGTTCCTGGAACTGGCTTTAAGGACACCCTTTGGAAGACAGAGTGTCCCGAGCGCCGAATCGGCCTCCTCCCTGCGTCCCCAGCCCTGGAGGCCCCCCACCTCTTCTCACTCTCCATGGCCCCAGGGAGGATCAGTTCCCCTTGAAACCCCACCAGCTCTGGGCTGTTGTTCCAGTCTGCAGGGGTGGTGGGGAGTGGGGGCTGCAGGGCTTCATGGGCCATTTGTTTCCATCCTGAGCTTCCATCAGGCTGGAGTTAGGCCCTGGGAGTGCCCACCCACCCGGCCCCAGGAAGAGGGCAACTGAGATTGCACCAGGCCACCCTGGCCTGATTGGGCACCCAGGAAGAGGGTGACTGAGATTGGACCAGGCCGCCCTGGCCTGATTGAGCACCTCGGCCAGGCCTGGGTGCACGGGTTGACTGGGTGAAGGGTCAGCATGGCCCTGCCTGCAAGGGCAGCAGGAAGTCTCTGCTCCCGTGGAGAGGTTGGAGCTGGCCAGCTCAGGGCGATCCCCAGGAAAGGCCTGGTGGTCAGCACACCCATGCCAGCCAGGCCAGGGCTGCAGGGTCACTCTGTGTGGATGACGGGAGGGGCACCCAGGACCCCTGCTGCCTCGTGTGTGCCTTCCACAGGCCACAGACTCTCCTGCTCCAGACTGGGTCCCTTGGTTGTGGTGCGACCTCATTACCTTGCAGCCCCTCAGCTTCTTCACAGGTAGCCACAAGAACAGGACCAAATGGGTCCCCAGCCAGCCGTGTTCAATGTCTAGACCAGTCCTTCATTGCTGATTTTAGGCTGAGAGGAACGTGCGTTTGCCCCTCCTCCGCATTCACTGGCCAGACTCTCCATGATGGGAGTTTCCTGTCTCGGGAGCATTTGAGCCGGGGTTCTGGAGGGCAGGGCTGGTGGTGGTTCCCTGAGTTGGTGACACTGGCTCCTCCCCCAGCCAGTTTGGCCTTTTGTGACCGGCGGCTTTGCCCTTCCAGCTCTTGCAGACGAAGCTGGCTACTACTTCTTCAACGGCAACTACAAGGTGGACAGCCCCAAGAACTTCAACATCGCAGGCACGGTGGTCAAGTACAGGCGGCCCATGGATGTCTATGAGACCGGAATCGAGTACATCGTGGCACAGGGGCCCACCAACCAGGGCCTGAATGTCATGGTACGTGTGCCGCAGGCCTTGGGGGCCCCAGGGGCCCTGGGCACTGTTTCCCCAGAATCCAGCCACAGGTGAGGTCTTCCAGCCCGTGACGCCCCCAGGGCCACTGTGCGCGTGCACCCGGCAGCCTCACCACTCTGCGTGGGCTGGGGCTTCACGTTCAATCACTGTTACTCATTCACTTGTTCTTTCACTAACTCCCTCCCCCATTCATTCATTCACTCGGATTTTGGTTCATTTCCAGTCTCCCATTCACTCATCAGTTCATTAATTCATTTACCTGTTCACTTCTCACTCAACCACCTATTCTCTCACCCACTTCTTGAAATCATTCATTCCTCCATCCATTCACTGTGGCTAGCTTCCCTGGAGGACCAGCGGGGGTTCCGTGCTGGCCCATTTCCTGCCCTTTGGGAAGTCCACAGGGAGCTCGGGGCATTAAGGTTGAGGCTGGACCCCTCCCTACCCCACGGTGGAGGGGTTTATGCCCCTACCTAGCTTCAGGCTCCACCCCCTCCCCAGGCACTATGGTGCTCGGTCCTTAGTGCCAGGGCCCAAGGTAGTTCCCGTGGCCCCTGCCCCTCCCCTGACATGGCCTCCCCAGGATACTCAGGGGTTCTGGGGTGGGGCTCAGGGCCCGAGCAGTGGGCAGGAGGGAGCGTGGGCCTGTTATGCCCGACTTGCCACAAGTTCTTCTATGGCTAGCGTCTGGAAATGGAGGCTCTGGTGGCTTGGTGCCTCAGCACCGAAAATATGTAAAGGACTTGTCATGTCACTGAAGTCAGGTGACATCAAGAAGGGCAGTTGTGGTGCCCGTCAAGGCCTGCTGACTTTCCTGGAGGCCGAGGGAATACAGCAGGGTTGGAGCCACCCCACAACCTGGGCTGTTTTGGTTTCCAGATCTCCCTGTGGTGGGTTTCATTGCCTCATGTTGCAGGTCATGAAATGTGGGCACAGAGCGAGTGACTTGCAGTCATGGAATTGTGAGTGGCACGACTGGGCTTTGAACCCAGGCCTGCCTGGTGCCAGAGCCTGTTCTTTGTTTAGCTGCTGTGCTGGAGGGGTCTCTAACTGGGGGTGCTTGTCCATCTCCCCACACTGCTTTTTGGCTGAAGAGCTTTCCTGGTGACCCCGGAATCAAATGGGGGCCACGCATCTCTGTGTCTGTGCTTACCTGGTCCTGCCTGGAGCTGTGTCTGGAGGTGGACTGACCACTTGGCTTTGCCTCCTGGCTGCAGGGGCTGTTTTGTAGGTCAGGGTCCCCAGAAAATAGACTCTGAGGTGGGGGTTTGTGTGCAAGAGAGCTTGGGGGGCAGTGTCAGGAGCGGTCTCAGGAACACTGATGTGGGCAGGAGGGCACGGGACTAGACAGAGGGAGCAGCTGAGTTGTGATGCAGTTTCAACGGGCTTCGGCCAGCCCCCTGGGGGTCGCATTATCTCAAGTTGGGGCAGGAGGGCATCACATACTGCCAGGTGTAGTTGCCCCTTGTGGGGGGCATGACCTGGGGAGAGACAGCTCCCCCTGGCTGAGGGAAATTCCTGGGGTGGGGCACAGCTGTGAACTGTTGCGCACCCACCCCAGGCAGTTCACCGAAGGGTGGGGTCCGTGGTCCACCCCCAGCACAGCTTGGACCTATGCGCTTTGCACGAGTCTGCCTTGGCAGGGGAACAGCCCCTCTAGAATTGCATTGGTTTCTTTCTCAGGGAGCCTTACAGGAGGAAGTTTAGTGGGCTGAACTGCAGCTGGTGTAGGGGCTACAACTGACACTCACAGTTTCCTTCTTTTTTTTTTTTTTTTTTTTTTTTTTTGAGACGGAGTCTCGCTCTGTCGCCCAGGCTGGAGTGCAGTGGCGGGATCTCGGCTCACTGCAAGCTCCGCCTCCCGGGTTCACGCCATTCTCCTGCCTCAGCCTCCCAAGTAGCTGGGACTACAGGCGTCCGCCACTACGCCCGGCTAATTTTTTTTTGTATTTTTAGTAGAGACAGGGTTTCACCGTTTTAGCCGGGATGGTCTCGATCTCCTGACCTCGTGATCCGCCCGCCTCGGCCTCCCAAAGTGCTGGGATTACAGGCGTGAGCCACCGCGCCCGGCCCACAGTTTCCTTCTTCTGCGACGCCCTCTATTTCCCCTTAGCCTGGCTTAGCACCTCAGAGGGGCCAGGTGGCTACCTGGTGAGGTGACCCTGGTCTCCATGACCATCTCAACCTGAGGCTGCTGCTTTTGTCCAGTTATCATCACAAGGGGCAGGGGGATACCAAGAGATGCCCAGGGCATCAGCAGGTGCCACATAGATTCTTTGGCCCCAGGGTCAAACAACGCCTTTCCTACTCTTTTTTTTTTTTTTTTTTTTTTAAGTAGAGAGAGGGTCTTGCTATGTTGTCCAGGCTGGTCTCGAACTCTAGGCCTCAGGTAACCCTCCTGCCTCAGCCTCTCATAGTGCTTGGATTATAGGCGTGAGCCACCTGCCTTGGCCTGTCTGCTCTTGATGATCAAGTTCAATCACCCAGCCAGGACGGCCACTCGTTTCCATGCTGCTGGTCTCTTGGCACAAAATGCCCAAACAGACCGTGTGTGGCCGCAGCCTAAAGTGTAATGAAACTGTTGCTTCGTCTTTGGGTGGAAACGTTCCCCATGTGCAAACCAAGGTCTCCAGACCACAGACCCCAGAGCTGCAGGGATGGGGAACACACAGTCCCCAAGTGGTGGCTGGGAATGATCGCTACTGCTACTGCCCCTCCTGCATCCCAGACCCATGTCTTCTATGTGCTGGGCACACAGCACCAGGACTAGGCACAGGGCCAGAGGGTATGAGACAGCTGTGTCAGCAAGGGACCCAAGCTCCCCCATCCAAGACCCTTGCACCCACATCCGCTTTCTAGCTCACAGCTATGGCTGTGTGGGGGTGCCCTGAAGAGCAGAGAAAAATGGCCAAACTTGATTTAGAGATGGGTCGGCTTGCCCTGAGGGTGCAAGCTGGAAGTAAGATCTACTTCACTAAAGCCCCATCCAGGGCTGGCCTGGAAAAACGGCAGTGAAGGAAAATCCTTTGATTTATGTGGGTGGTGCCTCATGGGAGATGCCCCATCCTCACGGGCGTGCTGCCTTTCAGCTGGCACTGTGGCTCCCCGCTCCATTGCTCCATCAGGCTGGCATTTCTGGGTGTTGGAGGATACGGCAGGCCCAGTGGATCTCACAGTCATGCGCCCATTGTGGCACGTCCTCTGCTATAAAGCGGGTCCCTTTGTTTAATGCCATGTTCTCGGTACCCTGTCCCATTCAATCAAATACTCTGTGAGCCTTTGGGCGTTGGGGCTGTGGCTGAGCTTCTGTGGGCAGGAAAGGCAACTTTTATTTAGGACCAGATTCAGCACTTCCCCTTCCAGGATGGAAGGGGTCTGATGTGATCAGCTTGTCACCCAGTAGCTGAGTGGCCTTTAGAGGTGGTACTTTAGAGGCTTAGTGTTGAGGCCAGAGACTGGACGTTCAGGAGCGGAAGGAGCTATGGTGGCTGTGGTGAGTGAGAAGCCGTGTGCTGGGGCCACATGTAGCTTCCATCCCTTCCTCCACGCTGATTCATTCACCCGTTGTGCCTGCAGTGGGGTGATGATGCCTGTGACTAGCCTGTGTCCAGTGGCAAGGCCATTCTGTCTTCTACTGGGGTGTTTAGTGCCTCTCGCATGGTGACACTTCCTGGTACAAATGAACAAATGAAAGGAAGACCTCCATCCTTTATGCCTACTCCCTAGATCCAGCCACAGGTACCTCCTCCAGACCTCCTGGTCCCCAACCTTCTGATCTTTCCCACCCAGGCTCCTGACCAGCCAGCCAAGCCACTTGCCACCACCCATGATTCAGTTCATACTCTCATCTCGGGCTGCCCTGCCTCCCATCACACCGATGCTTACATCACATGCACTGCCTGAAGCCCATGGGGAAGATTTTCCTTCACTGCTCTTTTTCCAGGCCAGTCCTGGATGGGGCTTTAGTGAAGTAGATCCCACTTTCAGCTTGCACCCTCAGGGCATGCCGACCCATCTCTGAATCAAGTTTGGCCATTTTTCTCTGCTCTCCCTTCATCATAAGGGCCCCCCCACACACAGCCATAGCTGCGAGCTGGAAAGGGGATGTGTGGGTACAAGAGTCTTGGATGGGGGAGTTTGGGTCCCTTGCTGACACAGCTTTGTCGTACCCTCTGGCCCTGGGTGTGCCTAGTCCTGGTGTAACACTTCCACCTTACAATGGATTGCTGCTGGCGGAGCTGGTAGAACTCGTGTTGGAGGCAGCTCTGGCTGTGTGGGTCGCCTGATGTCCCGTAGCCCAAGTGTTCCATCTCTAGTAGGGCCTCGCAGTGTGCCAGAAGTTTTTTGCAAGTGATGTGTATTTATTTACTGCAGATGGCCTTGCTCCAGAACCATAGGGTGCTATGTTATGCTTTCCCTACAGGCTTTCCAGAAATTCCATCTGACATCTTTCCCTACCACAGATATCTCTATTCCTATAGGATCTGCCAGGTCATACGGCCCATGTGGCGGGCTGCTTGCCTCACAGCCTGGACCTGCTGCAGGGCCCCTTCCACTCAGGATCCCACCCAAAGCAGCAGCTTTTTTTTTTTTTTTTTTTTTTTTTTGTTATTTTTGAGATGGAGTCTTACCCTGTTGCCCAGGCTGGAGTGCAGTGGCACAGTCTCAGCTCCCTGCAACCTCCGCCTCCTAGGTTCAAACGATTCTCCTGCCTCAGCCTCCAGAGTAGCTGGGATTACAGGCGCCCACCACCACACCCAGCTAATTTTTGTACTTTTAGTAGAGATGGGGTTTCACTATGTTGGCCAGGCTGGTCTCAAACTACTGACCTCATGATTTGCCCGCCTCGGCCTCCCAAAGTGCTGGGATTACAGGCGTGAGCCACCGCACCTGGCCAGCAGCAGCTTTTAATGTCACCCAGCAGATGAGTTGAACAGATATTCTTGGATGTGGAATATGCTGGCTCCAGAATTACTCTTCGTGGTGGAGGGTATGAGATGCTGTCAATTTCTCTTTCCTCTCAAAGAGATGTCTGGTACGCCCTAGCCCGCGGAACCCTGACATTTCCACTAATGTAAGGGGCTGCCGAATCTTCACAGGGTTGAATCTCTGCTCCTCTGGAAGACAGGTGCTTTACCAAGACCTCTGGCACCAGTGTCTGCTCCTCTGATCTGATAAGTGTGGCGCCATCAGTGCAGAGGACAAAGGTCAAGTGCTTGGAGTGGTCCAGATGCCTTTATAGTGTATTGTAATTGGGAGCGGGAGCGTAAGTGTAGCCCTGGGTCAAGACTGTAAACACATACGGTTGTCCACCCCAGGGGAATGAAATAGTTTCTGGTCCACCTTCTTGACAGGGATAGAAAAGAACATATTTTCCAGATCAGTGGCCACCTAGGATCAACCTGAGGCCATGCTGATCTGCTCTAGGAGAGAGACCACAGTGATCACATCCTGGCAGTGGAGGCCACCACTTGGTGGAGGGTGCAGCACCCATCCAGACTCGGATGGCAGATCCCTGGGGTCTGTCTTGTTATTGTGGGGGCTGAACTATCGAGTTAAATGCGGGATGTGATGGGCTGGCTACATCTGCATCCTTTAGGTCAGCCCCTACCTGCTCTATGCTTCTAAGTGCCATCCTAGTAGCCTGGTAGCATTTCTCCCCACGTTCTTACCAAGGCGCTAACTTCTTTGTCATGAGAGGATGCACCCAGCAGTTCCTGAGGGCTGGTCCTGCCGTTCCATTGGTGTATAGCCCCTTCTCCCAGGACTGCCCTGACTGGGCGAGAATGTGACTTAATCTAAGCTATTGGTCTGGTGGCTGGGAGAGGAGGGCAGGCCAGCTCCTGTGGGAGGCCCGCGTGGCCGTGAAGGCAGAGGTCTCTGTGTCGTCTTCAGGCAGGGGTGGCGCTGGCTTTAACAGGGACAAATGGGACAGGCCCATTTTTGAGGCCCTGAAGGCTTGGGACGTTTGAGATGTGAAGTTTTTCAAGTGTATTGACGCAGATCCCCACACCCCGAGTCTCAAGGTCCCCCTCTTCTGGTTGGTCTCTGTCCTGGGCATAGCAGGCCTAGCAGAGTTGGGAAGAGCACGCTCTCTGCTCCTTGGAGGTGCCTCTGCCTCTCCCGCCTTCCAGCTGCAGGACACGAGGGTGTCTTTCTCTGCGGCTGCGCAGACCCTCACCCTCACCTTTCCATGCCATCCTTCCGTTCTTGGGGTCCTTTACTTCCACAAACCTCTGCAAGTTTTTAACCCCTACCCCTGCCCCAGCCAACTCTCAAACACTTGAGCTATTGCACCAATAGTGCATTTCCTTTCGCTGGCATTCTCTCCCAGTTCCCTAGTGGTGAACCTTTTCACAACCGCTTCACTGTCTTCCGGGGGTCTCTGTGCTCCAGGCATTTCTACGTGGGCCCTCGTTGCCTCTGCCAGCCCGTGACCCTCTCCGACATCCTATTTTAAAATCCTAGGCCTGCCTGCTCCTGACACCAGCTGGTTTTGGTTGGAATCTCTGGAAAAAGCAACTCCTGGAGAGAGGGGCAGCAGGGGTCTGTGGAGGGAGAAGCCGGGCTGCCCCAGGGTCTTGACAGGGGCCTCAGCCCATCCCACAGGGAGCCCTGGAGCGGGGATGAGCCTTCACTGTTGTCTCGAATTGAGGCAGAGCCTGGGTCTTTGTACTCCCACCTGGCCTGGGCAGTGGGGCTCTGGGTTGGAGGGTGGTGGGAGAGGGACACCGTGATTACTTAGAATTTCTGGCACATGGTGAGAAGAAAATGCAGGCCAGGTTTTGTTGGCTTCATTACTTAAATTCTCTGCATACAGCATGCAGAGACGAGGGCCCACCTGGGCGTGCCTGGAAGACTGTGACGCCTTGTTGCCTGTACCCAGGGTGGGCCACTCCCCCCACCACACATCCCCAGCCCCCGCCCTGTTCCCAGGCTCTTTGACTTGGATGCCCCTGGGGCAGGAGCACTGCGTTGGGCTGGGCTAGTCAGTGTCATTCCCTGAGGGGGCTCAACTGCCAGTCACAGCAGGGAACGCACCCTGCAGCTCTGTGGGAAGGGGATTGGTGGGGAAGGGGCTGGACAGAGTAAGGAGGGGCTGGGGACCCACTTCTCTTTCCCTAGGTGTGGAACCAGAACGGCAAAAGCCCCTCCATCACCTTCGAGTACACGCTGCTGCAGCCGCCACACGAGAGCCGCCCCCAGCCCATCTACTATGGCTTCTCCGAGAGCGCTGAGAGCCAGGGCCTGGACGGGGCCGGGCTGATGGGCTTCGTCCCGCACAACGGCTCCCTCTACGGCCAGGCCTCCTCAGAGCGGCTGGGCCTGGACAACCGGCTGTTCGGCCACCCGGGCCTGGACATGGAGCTGGGCCCCAGCCAGGGCCAGGAGACCAACGAGGTGTGCGAGCAGGCCGGCGGCGGGGCCTGCGAGGGGCCCCCCAGGGGCAAGGGCTTCCGAGGTAACCAGGAGGAGGGAGGCATGAGGGTGGGGCCCGGGAGGCAGCCCAGGGAAGGGGGCCTTGGGGAAGGGGTCTCAGACCCTTTGCAGACCTGCAGAGGAGGTTCCTAAGAGCTGCCAGCTACCTGCAGATGTCCTCTGGGCAGGCACAGGGTTGAGGACTTGGGATAGGTCCTTCTGTCCATGCATTCTTTGAGGTAGATGTGGTTATCCCCATTTGATGGATGGGGAGACTGAGGCTTAGAAAGAGGAAGTGGCTTGGCCAAGTCATGCAGTCCACCGTGGAGGAGCTGGGAGTCAAATGCAGGATGGTCTGATCTCTCGCTCACCCCATCGCTCACTCAACGAGCACCTGGTCTCACCTCAGCTCGGACAGCACAGGGAGCAAAAGCTTCGGGGGCCCCAGGCGCCCCTTGGCTGTGACCGTGTCACTCCAGCCTCTGCCTTTGTCCTCATAGGCCTCCTCCTCTGTGCCGGTGTCTCTGTCGGTCCCCTTCTGATAAGGATATTTCTCAGTCCACGATAATTTCATCTCAAGATTCTTAACTAATTATATCTACAATGACCCTATTTCCAAAGAAGATCACACTCTGAGGTTCCGGGGGGGGCCATGAATTTTGGGGGGATGCTATTCAATCCACTACAGAAGTCGATTGAATTCCCATCAGCAAGAGATGATCCAGGCAGGTCTCATGCCTCCGTTTTGCCCGAATTACGTCCTCTAGTTAGGCAGAAGCCCTCCTTCTGGGAGCTTCTTGGTTCAG